>NT_187660.1:3990297-4292101 GCF_000001405.40 Homo sapiens | reverse complement strand
TGGTCTGGAATGGAAAGATTTTCCCTGGCAGGGTTAGGGATATCAGTTGAGCAAGGTAGGTTCTACCTGTCTGGAATTTGAAGTGAGAAGTTTGGTAGCAATGAGCTCCTTGGTAGGCAAACAGAAGGTGGCTCCGCACAGGGAGGAATGGACAGACAGCATAGAGCTGAGTGATCTGCCAGCGGAACCCTGGAGTGGAGGTCCTGGGACTCCCACTGCTGAGGATGTCAGTCTCCAGCATTAACACTCAGGATGCCATCCCACTCAAGTCTCCCTGGTGGCCGGCCTGGTCTTCCTGACCTGGAAGTGAAGCTTGGTTGTTCAGTTTTCTCTGAGTTCTTGTGAAGACCTACCCCATGGTTAAGATTCCTGTTTTCCATTTTCTTAAATGAATCCTTAAAATATATTCCCACTTACGTGAGGTGGGGTGAGAAAATCTGTTCCATGAAGCAAGCAAGCCCCAATGAATCATTGCTTTGATTTCTTAACTTTCTAGAAGGTGGACTCCAGCTTTGATCAAGAAGACACAGTCAAGCATAAGAACATATAGCTAGGCTGGGCGCAGTGGCTCACACCCGTAATCCCAGCACTTTGGGAGGCCGAGGTGGGTGGATCACGAGGTCAGGAGATCGAGACCATCCTGGCTAACAAGGTGAAACCCCGTCTCTATTGAAAATACAAAAAATTAGCTTGGCGTGGTGGTGGGCGCCTGTAGTCCCAGCTACTCAGGAGGCTGAGGCAGGAGAATGGCATGAACCCGGGAGGCAGAGCTTGCAGTGAGCCGAGATCATGCCACTGCACTCCACCCTGGGCGACAGAGCGAGACTCCGTCTCAAAAAAAAAAAAAAAAAAGAACATATAGCTAGAGGGAGGGCTTCATGCTTCAGTTTTCAATGGCTATGAGCCACACATGGTGGGGTAGCCATGTACCCCCTCACATGGCTTGTGGAGGTAAAGTTGAGAGTGTGGTTCTGACTTAGGAATGTCAGTGAATTAGGGTGCAGGGGTTGTGTTGTGTAAGGATCAGGAGTGAAGAAGGAGTTGTGTAGGGAGAATGGGAGCCTGTGATGGGTGGGATGACATCTCAGGATATATGTGGGGCATGTACTCAGGGTTCCAGGTAGTTAATCTTGGTAGTGGTTGTTTTATGAGCACTGGTTAGAAGGATAAAGAGAGGACATCTCAATAAATCTAGTAAGAAAATAACCATAATACTTTGATTACAAGTAGAGTGACAAACCATCCAGATGTGTCTGGGACCGAAGGGTTTCCTGGTATGTGGGATTTGTAGAGCTGAAACCAGGAGAGTACCGGGCAAACCAGGATGCTTGGTCAATTCCAGAACTTGCAAGTGACAGAAACCCAACCCTCACTAGTTAAGCAAAAGCAGATGATTTTTTGACTAACAGGGAGGAAAGCCCTGAAACCTAGTTTGCAGAGTTCCATATGGAAAGGATTAAACCATTCAAGGAGCTCCTGCCTTGACCTTCCAGAAATTTCACCGATCAGCATGAGGAGCTTTTGTTAATCACCCATGCCCAGCCTCCTAGAGATTCTAACCCCATTGTTCTGGGCCTGGGATTCAGTGCTTTTTAAAAACCTCCCTTACGTGATTCATATATGAAATCACTGCTTTTCAGGAATAACAGGATAAGCCCATTGTTCTCAAACTTTTCTTCCCATTGCAATCATCTGAAGGGCTTAAAAAATGCCTATGTTGGAGTTCCATTCCCCAGAGATTGTGGTTTAACTTGTCTGGATGTGGCCAGGGTTTGGGGAGTTTCTGAAGATCAGCAGATGATTGTAACTTGCATACCCACAAATTTGGGATCCACTCCTAGACCCTCTCCCAGAATAGCCCCAGAATTCAAGCAGGGGAAGAGTAAGGATGTGTGGGTACTTTAGTCATCAAATAAATCAGCAAAAATCATTTGCAAACCCTATGAGCTAGCTGAAGGTCTGGTCTTGTTATTCTGCCTGAATGGAGCATGGGTACAAGTGATTAGAAGACTTTGCAGGCAGCTGGGATGGGACCCTGGCCAGACAGAGGCTGACTTTTCCATGATCCTCTCACTCTCTCCATGATTTCATGATTGTCAATCAAGGCTTCTGATAGATGTGCAGTTGAAGTCCTAGCTCTGGAACCTATGAACTTACTTGATATCAAATCATCCTCAACTTTGGTTTCCTCAGTTCTAACATGGGGATAATACCACATACAGTGGAGGACCTATATGAAGTAGTGATATGTAGCTAACATAGAACAAATTATTAGTATTTCTTTCTCTCACCACTTTGAATATCTTAGTCCCTCCAGGGACTTCCTTTAGTAATGGAATATGTGTCTGCTATTGTACAATCTCAATCTGACTCTTAATTTCTCAGAATTTATGAATTGGCAGCTGCAGAATGTTTGAATCAAAGCTGAAGTTTTCAAAGAGAATGACTATGGGATTCTGCAGTTTTGATTTTAATATCCTGAAAATGCAAATCAAGGCTTGTGTGCAAACGTAATTTTCAAATATCATGACTCAGCAGATCTCAGATTCCATGATTCTGTAGATATTCAAAACCCATGACTTAGTGATTCTCTGATATGATGGCACCGATTTTCTATTTTAGTGATCAATACACAGAAAACATAAATGTGAACCTCTAGCAATTGTGCAAAGGAATGTTCATTTCTAGAGCCAGCCTTAACTTGTTTGACCATGAATGAAGAGGGTTGTATCTGCAGCTGCGAGACTCATGTACCTGAGGCTTCCTTAGAGGATTCGATTCTACAGTTCCAGCTCATTGAAGAAATAGCATCTATCAGAACAGTTGAAATTCCAAATTGAGATTAATTTTTGTTTGTCCTTTTTAAAGATAATGGATACTGCTTAGGCAATAATCGGTATAGCCGAGCATTTGCACAGTGAGCACAGAATAAGGATAAGATAATGATGCTTCTCAGATTGACTCAGAAATCTTCAGATGTAATAACTTGATGGTTTTAAGATTGAATGACTTGGCAATTCTTATAGGCAAACAATAAGATGCTAAAAATAGAGAAAAAAATTAATTCAGCATTATAGAGAGAGAATTCAGAATATCACAAGGCACAAAGACCCCAAAACACACTCAACAAGGGACAGAACATGTAGGATCTGACCATTGCTCCCTCTACAGTTGAACAAGCTGGAAGCTAGAGAAACTTATTGTGAGGGACTATCCCTGCTGATGGCCACTGGGTGGTGGGTGGGGTGGGGTGTGATTTGTGCAGAAAAACACAGAGACAGGAGACTCTGCTCCCCGCTCCATATGTGTTTTCTTCCCTCGATTTCCAGAACACATGCCCCATTAACTTTTTTCCTTGGATTTATGTATGCATTATTTATTATTTATCTTTTTGTTTTAAGATGAAACAGAAAACCAGACCCAAACAAATGTAGAGATTAGTTAATTATGATTATAAGGCAAATGTCTTTGTCACAACTACCCAGGTCAAGAAACAGAACTTTGGCCGGGCGCGGTGACTCACGCCTATAATCCCAGCACTTTGGGAGGCCAAGGCGGGCGGATCATGAGGTCAGGAGATCGAGACCATCCTGTGAATGGTGAAACCCCGTCTCTACTAAAAAAATATAAAAAATTAGCCGGGCATGGTGGTGGGCACCTGTAGTCCCAGCTACTCAGGAGGCTGAGGCGGGAGAATGGCGTGAACCCGGGAGGCGGAGCTTGCAGTGAGCCGAGATCGCGCCACTGCACTCCAGCCTGGGTGACAGAGTGAGACTCCGTCTCAGAAAAAAAACAAAAACAAACAAAAAACAGAACTTTGCAACAAACCCAAAAGCCCTCCATCATGCCCCAGCCAAATTACATTGCTTCCTGTAAATGTAACTATGTTATATTGATTTTTGTAACAGACATTTCCTTGCCTTTCTTCATAATCTTACCAAGTGAGGATAGTAGTCACTATAGTACAGTTATGTCTATTTTGCCAGCTTGCTATGGTATATACTTATCTTTCAGTCAATCTTGAGATTACTCCTCCATCCTTTTCTTTTTTTAATATACAATTTGTCTGTTGAGTCTGGGCTCTTTTACCTGTAGAGTCTTCTAATGCGTGGATTTCAAACTGGTTATGTAGCTCAGCATGTATCCCTGCCCTATTTTCTACCAAATAACAGTGGGATCCAGAGGCTCAGTCAAACTCAGGGTCAGTCCTTTTGAAAGTTCACTGTTTATGTTGTGGCCTTTCACATTGTGGCTGGTTTTCACTGTTTTGATGTCACCAACTAATGATACCCAGTGCCTGCATCCACTAATTAATTGAGTGCTGTGAAAAGCTAATATAGTTATTGTATCACTTTGTTTTCATTTACTCTTTTAAATTTGTCAAGGTATGTTTTATAGTCCAGAATGTGATCTATTTCATGAATGTAAGCATGTAAAATTGAGGAGACTGTGTATTCTGCTGTTGTTGAATGAAGTATTCTATAAGTGTCAATTAGATCCAGTTGATTGATGGTGTTGTTCAGTTCAACCATGTTCTTATGGATTTCCTCCCTGCTGGGTCTGTCAATTACTGATAGAAGAATATTTAAGTCTCCACCTATAAGAATAGACCCATCTATTTGTCCTCAAAATTTAATAATATTTTGCCTCATGTATTTTGACACTTTTTAGGTGCACATACACTAAGAATTGTGATGTTTGGGTGATGGAACCCCTTTATCATGATGTGATGTACATTTTTATCCCTGATTATTTTCCTTGCTCTGAAGTCTGTTCCTTCTGAAATTAATATAGCTACCACAGTTTTCTTTTAATTAGCGTTAGCATGCATATGTTTCTCTACTCTATTACTTTTATCTATATGTGTTTTTATAGTTAAAATGAGTTTCTGGTAGACAACATATAGTTGCGTCTTATTTTCTTCTTCACTCGGACACTATTTTAATTGATGTATTTAGACCATTGACATTTAAAGGGATTACTGATATAATTGGATTAATATCTAACAAGTTTCTTACTGTTTTCTATTAAATATCTTTGTTTCTGCTTCTTTCTTTTTTTTTTTTTTTTTTTTGTCTCCCATTCTTTTTCTGCCTCATCTGGTTTTAGTTGAGCATTTTGTCTGACTCAATTTTTACTCTTTTAAAATGTTTTTCAGCGATTGCCCTAGAGTTTGCAGCATACATTTACAACAATCCAAGTTCGTCTCCAAATATGCTAAATCATTTTAAAGGTTTTAAAATAGAGTGTTTACAGTTTCTCCTTCCTACTCATTATAAAATTGCTGTCATTCATTTCATTTATCTCTGTGCTACATCCACACAATTCACTGTTTACTATTATTACTTTGAACAAACTATTATCTGTTAGATCCATTAAGAAAAAGAAAAATGAAAGGCTTCATTTCATCTTTATTTATTCCTTCCCTAATACTCTTCCTTTCTTTATATAGATTAAAGTTTTTAACCTATGTCATTTTCCTTCTCTCTGAACAACTTTTTAAACATATCCTGCTAGGCAAACTCCCTCATTTTTGTTTGGCTATAAAAGTTATTTATTTCTCTGTAACTTTTGAAAGATAATTACTCTGAGTGTGGAATCCTAGGCTTTTTCGTTATTCCTATAAGCACCTTAAATATTTCACTCCACTGTTTTCTTGCTTGCATGGTTTCTAAAGTCAGATGTAATTTTTATCCTTGCTTCCCAATAGATAAGGTGGTTTTTACCCTCTGACTTCTTTCAATACTTCCCCCTTGTCTTTTAATTTCTGCAGCTTGGGTATGACATGCTTACATGTAGATTTCTCAGCATATATTCTACTTGGCATTCCCTGAGCTTCCTGGATTTGTGGCTTGGTGTCTGACATTAATTTGGGGAATTCTCAGCCATTATTGTCTCAAAAATTTTCTCTGTTCCCATATCTCTTATTTCTCCTTCTCATATTACCATTATGTATATGTTACATCTTTTGCAATTGTCCCATAGTTCTTGGATAATTTGTTCCATTGTTTTAATTGCTTTTTCGCTATGCATTTCAGTCTTGAAAGTTTCTATTACATTTCTTAAAACTCATTGATTCTTTCCTTGGCTGTGCTTAGTCTACTGATGAGTCCATCAAAGGTATTCTGTGTTTCTGTTATAATGATTTTACTTTTTTATCTCTGTTTATAATTGAGGAACAAAAATTATATATATTTATCATTTATAAAACATTTTGATATACGTAGATATTGTGAAATGGCTAAAAAATCAAGCTAACTAATATATATTACCTCATATTTTTATGATTAGCACACTTAAAATCTACTCTCAGCAATTTTCAAGCATATTATATACTGTTATTAACTGTAGTCACAATAAAGTACAAGCGATCTCTTAAACTTATTCCTCCCATCTAACTGAAATTTTATACCTTTGACCAACATTTTCTCAGTTCTACCCACACGCCAGCCTCTGATAACCACTATTCTACTCTCTGCTTCTATGAATTCAACTTTTTAGATTTCATGTATAAGTGAGATCATGCAGTATTTGTCTTTCTGTATCTGACTTATTTCACTTTGTATAATATCACCTAGGTTTATTCATGTTGTCACAAATGACAGGATTTATTTATCAGGCCAAACAGTGTTCCATCGTGTACATATACCACCTTTTCTTTATTCATTCATCCATTGATGAACACTTAGGTTGATTCCATGTCTTGGCTATTGTGAATATTGTAAATACTGTCTGCTTAAAATTTGCCCACTACTTAAAATTCACCAATGTATCTTGCCTATGACAACTGTACCTGTAGTGTTCTAATGGTGTTTTTAGAATATCCCCAATTTCTTCTGCGCTTACTGACTGGAATTTTTATGTAAAGGGAAAATGATCACTTCTTTATTAATTTATGTATTCAGTTATCCATTTACATTGGATGGATTCCTGGGCATTTATTTTATTCTTTGGATTATATTCCAACACGATCATTACATTTTAGTCCAAGTTGTTCATGGGGAATGCTTTGGTCATTGCTCTTATTTATTTATTTATTTTTTAAATTTTACTTTTAAGTTCGAGGATTCATGTGCAGAATGTGCAGGTTTGTTACATAGGTATATATGTGCCATGGTGGTTTGCTGAACCATCAACCCGTCATCTAGGTTTTAGCCCCGCATGCATTACGTATTTGTTGTAATGCTCTCCCTCTCCTTGCCCCCACCCACTGACAGGCGCCGGGTGTGTGATGTTCCCCTCCCTGTGTCCATGTGTTCTCATTGTTCAACTCCCACTTATGAGTGAGAACATGTGCTGTTTGGTTTTCTGTTCCTGTGTTAGTTTGCTGAGGATGATGGCTTCCAGCTTCATCCATGTCCCTGCAAAGGGCATGATCTCATTCTTTTCCATGACTGCAAGGTCATTGTTCTTTAGGCTTAGAGCCCTTTTAGGTTTACTCCTGTGCTCTTTTGACACTCCCTCAAACCATTTTGCTTTTCCTTTGCTGGCTTAATTTGTTTTGTTTTATTTTAGCACTTCCTTCCTACTGGCACTACAAGATGTTACAGAATCTTTGTGAAGCTTCCCTGCCACAGGCCTGGAATTAACCACACCTGCAAAGAACCATGTTTTCCTTTTGTTGGAGAATGGTAATTAAAAACCACGAGCTGGGCCGGGCGCGGTGGCTCACGCCTGTAATCCCAGCACTTTGGGAGGCCGAGGCGGGCGGATCACGAGGTCAGGAGATCGAGACCATCCTGGCTAAAACGGTGAAACCCCGTCTCTACTAAAAATACAAAAAATTAGCCGGGCGTAGTGGCGGGCGCCTGTAGTCCCAGCTACTTGGGAGGCTGAGGCAGGAGAATGGCGTGAACCCGGGAGGCGGAGCTTGCAGTGAGCCCAGATCCCGCCACTGCACTCCAGCCTGGGCGACAGAGCGAGACTCCGTCTCAAAAAAAAAAAAAAAAACCACGAGCTGAAGAGAAGGCATGCTCATTGCCACGGGGTGTCAGAGCATCTAGTTCCTATCAGTGGATAGGGCTCGGAGATATATATGCTAACTCATGTATACATACATCTACATTTACTTCTGCATCTACTTTCATATATTCACACACACACATACATGCACACTCATGCGTTCATATTGATTCTCAAACTTCAATGCAGCATCACTTAATCCATTTTAGACTTATCTCTTTCCTTATTGTAACTTCTTACAATAAGGAGAACCTGGCTTCCATTGTTTCAAATATATTTACTTATTTATTCAACACTACTATACAAATAAAGTGGTTTCAGAATTCTTTTTATTTATTTATTTTTTTACAGACAGGATCTTGCTCGGTCACCCAGGTTAGAGTGCAGTGGCTCAGTCATAGCTCCCTGCAGCTTAGAACTCCTGAGCTCAAGTGATCCTGCAGCCTCAGCCTTCCAAGTAGCTGGAACTGCAGGCACTGCCACCACACCATGTTAATTATTATTATTTTTTTTGTAGAGTTGAGGTCTTGCTTGCTATGTTGACCAAGCTGGTCTAGAACTCCTGGCCTCAAGCGATCCTCCCACCTCAGGCATGAGCCACAGTGCCCAGCCCAGAATTCTCAATCCAACCCTTCTGGGAAACAAATATGCCAACAAAAGCAGTCTTCGTTTATGTTCTTTTTTTCTTTAGTCTTACAGTAACCATTTAAAACACTGCTTTTTGAAATGACTTAGGTCAGCTCTTTTGTTCCTCATGCCCTCACTGTGCTTATGTAATTCATTTGTAATATGGTTTAACTCATCATCACAGTCTGGGGACTCAATCTTTTCCCCACATCCTGGTTGATTTTTAAAAATTTATGTCAATGAAATTCATTTTTTATGGTAAATTGTTCTTTGACAAATGAAAAGAGTCTGTAAAACTGTGTCAGCCACCAAAGTTTTATATGAAACTGTTCCATCATCCTCAAATTTCCCCTTTGCTGCTCCTATATATGAAACCCCTTGTCCAATCCAAGACAACCACTGATCTTCTTTCCTTCTGACAGTTTTGCCTTTTCCAGCATTACATAAATTGAATCACATGATGCATAGCCTTTGGACCTTTCTTCTTTCACTTAGCAGAATACATTGAAGAATCATCCTTATTGTCACATGCATGCATCATCTGTTTCTTCTTATTGTTGAATAGTATTCTATTATATGAATGTGTCATAGTTTATTTATCCATTTGTCATTTCAAGGGCATTCACATCCCTAAATCTTTATTTATCTTTGGTAGATACAGAGGAATAGAACTCTGGATCATAGATTAGGTGGATGCTTAATTTATATAAAATTGCCAAATTCTTCTCCCCAGTGCAGACGCAGGGACGGCCAGGCAGAAAAGAATAAGACCTGGTCACATCAAGTGATCAGGCTTTGGAAGCCTCTTTGATCCTGTGAGCCCAAAACTCTCCTCCCTCACTCAGAGACACCGAGAAAGAGAGGAGGGAGCTTAAAGTGAGACCCCTCCCACATCAAGAGACATCTGACTGCCATACCTGGAAAAATCACTTTTTCCCTACAGGCACCACCAGCAGACTACAGTGGGAGCCTTATGGGCACTGGAAGAATCAAGCAGAGGAAAATAACACTGCAAAGTTTCTGAATGTTAAATTGCTATTGGAACCACAACCCGTAAGAGTAGGCTAAGACCCACATGTTGAATCTGAACCGGTTGACAGCATGCTAAAATAAAATATTTAATATTTAAATAGGACCAGCCAGTACAGTGGCTCAGGCCTGTAATCCCAGCACTTTGGGAAGCCGAGGCGGGTGGATCACCTGAGGTCAGGAGTTCCAGACCAACCTGGCCAACATGGTGAAACCCCATCTCTATTAAAAATACAAAAATTAGCTAGGCGTGGTGGCAGGTACCTGTAATCACAGCTACTGGGGAGGCTGAGGCAGGAGAATTGCTTGAACCCAGGAGGCAGAGGTTGCAGTGAACGAGATCATGCCATTGCACTCCAGCCTGGGCAACAGAGCAAGACTCCATCTCAAAATAAAATAAATAAATAAATAAATAGGACTCAAAGTCTCCTGGCCTAACAGATATAATTTTCAGAGCACAGTTGAAAATTATATCATAAGAAAAATCACCTTCAATGAGAAAAATCAATCAACTGACACCAACAACAAGAAGAAACAGGCATTAGAACTATTTGACAAAGATTTTAAAGCAGTTGTAAAAATATTTCAGCCAACAACTACAGATGCTCTCAAAACAAATAAAAATAAAAACTAGAAAAGTTTAGTAAAATAGCATATGGTATAAAAATGACTAACTTGAAATTATAGAACTGAAAAACATAGTAAGAGAAAGTTTTAAAAGCCCACTGGATGAACTCAATAGTGGAATGGAAATGTCAGAGGAGGGAATCAATGAACTTGAAAACATATTAATAGAATTCACCTAGACTGTACAAAAGAGAGAAAATATACCAAAAGAAAATGAACAATCCTTTGGAGACCTGTGGACAATAACAAGAGATTCATTCAAAAATAGTACCACCAAGGCCTTAGAAGAAGAAAAGAAAGTGTGGAAGAATGAATATTTGATACAATGATGGTGGAAAATTTTTCCAATCTTTTGAAAGAGAGAAACTTACAGTTTCAAACAATTATTATATGTAAATCTAAAACTAAAAATTTTAAAAAGAAGCAAAAGTTTATTTTCTAATTGTGTATTACTAGTATATAAAAATATAGTTGTATTTTGTTTATGGGCCACAATTATTGCAACCTTGTTACATTTATTTATTACTTCTAGCAGTGTTTTTGTAAAATTTATAGGGTTTCTTATGTAAACAATCATTTGTCAGTGAACAGTGTCATTTTTATTGTATAATGATACTGGCTAGGTCTTCCATTATTAGTGTTGAATAGAAATATTTCCTAGTTAAAAAAAATCTCCACAAATGCAAAAGAACCAAAATACTGTGTGAGTGTGTGTGTTCTCTAACCACAATGAATTTAAACTAGAAGTCAATAATGGGAATATATCAGAAAAATTTCTATCCAAGTGCAAATTAAAGTACACTCTGAATAATCCATGAGTTAAATAGGAAATCTCAAAGGAAATTTTAAAAGACATACAGTTGAATAAAAGCAAAAACACACCATATCAAAATTCATGGAATGTAGTTACTGCACTACTGGGAAATTTATACTGCTAAATATTTACATTAAAAATTAGAAAATATCTCAGATAAATAACCTATATTACCACTTCAATAACTAGGAAAATAAGATCAAAATAAATGGAAAGTAAGCAGAAAGAAGGAAATAATAAATACAGATCAGAAATCAATGAAATTGAAAACAAAAAATAAAGAAAATAAATGAAACCAACAGCTAGTTCATTGGGGGGAAAAAACCCAATAACATTAGTAAACCTATAGCAAAACTGGCAAAAATAAAAAGAGAATACTCAAATAAATAATAATAGAAATAAAACAGGGGGTATTACTACAGATTCTTCAGCTATTAAAAAGATATTATGGGGGATGGTATGAACAATTACTCATAAATTCAAAAACTTGGAAGAAATGGAAAACTTCCAAAAAAGCTCCACAAGCTACAAAAACTCATGCTAGATAAAATAGATACTCTGAGTATCCCTATGCCCATTAAAAGGATTGAATTTGCAATTTGAAGTGTCTGGAGGAATAAATCTCCAGGCTGATATGGTTCCACCAATGAATTATAAAGTCATTTGAAGAAAAATAACACCAATTTTATGCAATCTATTTCAGGAAATAACATAGTGAGGGGCATCTTCTGCCTCATTTTTTAAGGCCAGTATTACCGTGACTAACCAGTATATGACAGTATTTTCAAAAAGAAAACTGTAGACCAATACCTCCCATGAGTTTATATGCAAAAATTCTCAAAAGTATTATCAACTGAATTATCAAGTTGGATTTATTCCATGGATGTAAGGCTGGTTTGGCATTTAAAGTCAATCACTGTAATGCACCATGTCATTAAGCTAAAGGAAAAAACCATATGCTATTATCAATTGATGTAATACGCTTTTGATAATTGATGTAAAATGCAATTGACAAAATCCCACATCCATTCATGATAAAAATTCTCAGCAAGTTGGGAACAAAGAAAAATTTTCTCAATTTGATAAAGACCACTTGAAAAATAAAAACAAAGCTCAAGATTATACCTTACATCACATTTAATACTTTTTTCCTCCTTCAAATTGGAAACAGGAGGAAAAATCTCAGCAATCACCACTCTTGTACTGGAAGTTCTAGCCACTTTAATAAGATTAAAAAAAATAGGCACACTGATCAGAAAGAAAGAAATAAAACTGCTCCTATTTGCAAATGACTTGATTGTCTACATGGAAATCCCAAGGATTCTACAAGGAAACTCTTATAACTAATAAGTAAGTTCAGCAAAGTCCTAGTTTACAAGGTCAGCACACAAATATCAATCCCATTTCTGTATACTAACAGTGAGTATGCAGAAACCAAAATAACATTTGCAATCATGCCAAATAAAATTAAAACTTAATTATGGATTTATAACCTCTGTAAGATCTGTATGCTGAAAATTTCTTTCTTCACAGAAGAAAGAAAGAAATCAGAGAAGAAAGAAAGAAATCAGAGAAGATCTGATAATAAATAGGCAGTGTACCTTTTAATAAATAGGCAGTGTACCATGTTCATGGATTAGAAAACTCAGAAATAGCAAAAATGTCAATTTTCCCAAAATTGATTTATAGGTTTAATGCAATTCCTATTAAAATCTCAGCAAGGACTTTTTGTAGACATAGATAAAATTTGTATTATTTTAAAATTATTATCATAGTGTAATGTTTATTATATTATTATATTTTATATAGTTGTAATTTGTATTATTCTAAAATTTATATGGAAAGGCACACATCCTAGAATAGCTAAAACAATCTTGAAAAAGAATAATAAAGTGGGAGGAAACATGGTACTTGGTGTTAAGTTTTGCCGTGTAGCTGTAGTAATCAAGACATTGTGGTATTGAGGAGAGAGAAACATAGATCAATGAAACAGAATAGAGAACCCAGAAATGGACACAAACACATATGTCTAATTGATTTTAACAACAGTATAAAAGCAGCTAAATGGAGGAAGGATAGTCTTTTCAAAAAATGGTGTAGAAGCAATTGGCCATCCATTGGGTAAGAAAAAAATAAACCTTATATCTTATATAAAAATGAACTCAAAATGCTTTATAGCCTTCAAGGGAAAATATAAACTATAAAAGTTTTAGAAAAAAATATTTTAAAATGTTCAGAATCTAGGGTAGGCAAAGTTTTCTCAAATTTGATGCCAAAAACAGATAATTTGGAGCTCAAGAATATTAAAAACTTTTGCTCTACAAAATACCCCCTGAAGAGAATAAATCTATAAGCTAAAGAATGTAAGCAAATATTTCCAAATCACTTATCTAGTAAAGGATTTATAGCTAGGATATATAAAGATTCTCAAGAATTCAATATTAAAAAAACCAAAAAATACAACTAGGAAATGGGCAGAAGATATGAACAGATACTGTTTTTTGTTGTTGAGCCGTAGGAATTCTTTATGCATTCTGGATAATAATCCTTTATCGACATATGAGTTGTAAATACTTCCTCCCATTCTGTGTGTTGTCTTTTCACTCTTTTGATAGTGTCGTCCAATGTACACAAGTTTTAAATTTGGATGAAGTTCATATTATCTATTTATTATTTTATTGCCTGCTATCAACTTTTTTATAAGTTAGTTTGAGTGGCTTCCTTCTTCCTGTTACCAAATCATCCCTGGCTAAAACACCAAGAAACAGAAGCACCGGGCAGGAGAGAATAAGGGTTCTGAGAAATGAAAACAGATCCACTGGGAGAGTTAAATGCACCAACATGCAGAGAAACACAAGTTCAAGGAGACGGCTTAGGGAAGACTTAATAGCAGGGGCAGAAAATTGGCTTGCCTCCTGCACCTAGCATCTTCTGTGCCACATAGGGCCTGGTATGCAGGTCAAGTTCAAGTTGGAGTCATTTAGGTAGATACCAAGCTGAATGGTAAAACCAGATTAGACACCAATAAATACAGCCATAGCTCAAAGGCCATGGGGAGGCTCAGTAAGCCCTGGGCCAGCTAGGGTGGGCAGAAAGAGAGATCACAGTAGGCAAAAGGAGGTGAAGTATGAGGTAAGGCCAGGTATCTCTGGCACTACTCCATAAACAAGATGACATACCAGGGGTGATTTTTATGTACAGAGAAAGATACCTCCCGGCATTAAGAGCATCCTTTCAATGGGGCCACACGGGTTCCCGTAACTGAATCTGCCTGGTACATGCTAAAACAGGTAGAGAAAGGATAAGTACAGGGTAGGCTAAAGCCAGGGAACAACAACAACAACAACAATGTGTCAATCAAGAGACAGTACTGCACTCATCTGGGCAAGGTGCAAGGGAGACTTGGTAACAACAATGGTCCCACCAGGCAGTTACTATAGAAAGAAGAACAATGTAAGGCTGAATGTTGAGGTGAGCATAGTTTGATGAAAGGGCTATGCAAAAAGATGTAAAGAAAGTAAGATGTTGAGTAATCAGCTGTCCTGATTTGCCTGAAACTGAGATATTTCCCAGAACACAAGACCTTCAGTGACAAACTAGTACAGTCCCGGGCAAACCAAGACTGTTGGTTACTTTAGCAAAATGTCAGTGTGAAGTTGGATGGAATGCCCTTGCCTGCAAGGTGTGCAGGGCTCTGCTGAGCAGGATATCTCCACAGCTTGCCCTTCCACCCCTGGTTGCTTGCTGTGTGAATTTTCTACCCCTGCTTCCCACAGGGAATGTGTGTGTTCTCAGGCATAGGAAGCAAAACACTGATAGAGCTAAGAGGTAAGGTAAAAGGCCCACATATAATAAGAACTTAAGAAATGATGAGAAAAGGCTGGACCCAGTGGCTTACGCCTGTAACCCCAGCACTTTGGGAGGCGGAGGTGGGTGGATCATGAGGTCAGGAATTCAAGACCAGCCTGGCTAACGTAGTGAAACCCCATCTCTACTAAAAATACAAAAAAATTAGCCAAGCTTGGTGCTGTGTACCTGTAGTCCCAGCTACTCAGGAGCCTGAGGCAGGAGAATTGCTTGACTCTGGGAGGTGGAGGTTGCAGTGAGACAAGATCGTGCCACTGCACTCCAGCTTGGGCAACAGAGTGAGACTTCATCTCAAAAAAAAAAAAAAAAGATGAGAAAAAAAGATTTGAATAAGTATATAAGTTAAAAGTGACAAGAGTTGAGAGAAGGCAGCAGAATTTTAAGAGAGGGTAGGGCAAGCAGAAGAAAAACAGTGACAGAAAGAATCTGGAGACAGACCAATAGAGTGGTAGCAATTTGTACATAAGAGACAGCGTGATGGAAGAACCCAGGAGAAGCGACAGGGAAATGAAAGGTGGGCTCATGTAGAAGAAAGATGGATGCAGGGGAAGTGCAAAAAATATAGGCAGAGAGAAATGAAGGAAAAAGTTGGAAGAGGCTGAGGAGACATGGAGAAGAATATTCAAACTCTACTTTGATAGAATAAATATTTATCCTTGAATTCTAGGCTGAATTTAAACAGAATAATTTAATTTCAAAGCTTTGCTCACATCCTATAAAAATGAAGACATATATTTCAAAATAAAGCTTAAGAATGGAAATGGCTCCCTATCGGTTTGAATAATAGGTCTTGGTATTATATAAGACATTTTTTCTAAGCTCCCCCCCGCCACGCCTACCAAAACAAACAGCAATGCATGCAACAGAGAAATCTTTCATGAGAGGAAGAGTCCATCAATGCAGCAAACTTCACAGTTGTCTTATTTTAAGAAATTGCCGTCGGGTGCAGTGGCTCACGCCTGTAATCCCAGCACTCTGGGAGGCTGAAGCAGGCAGATCATGAGGTCAGGAGTTCGAGACCAGCCCGACCAATATGGTGAAACCCCGTCTCTACTAAAAATACAAAAACTTAGCTGTGCATGGTGGCACGTGCCTATAGGCCCAGCTACTCAGGAGGCTGAGGCAAGATAATTGCTTGAACCCGGGAGGCGGAGGTTGCAGTGAGCGAGATTGCACCACTGATTCCAGCCTAGGCGACAGAGTGAGACTCAGTCTCAAAAAAACAAAAACAAAAAAAAGAAATAAATTGCCACAGCCACCCCAACCTTCAGCAACCACCACCCTGATCAGTCAGCAGCTGTCAAGGGAGGACCCTCTACCAGCAAATAGATTACAACTCACTGAAGGCTCAGATAATCATTAGCAGTTTTTAGTAATAAAGTACTTTTTAATTAAGATGTGTACATTTTTAAAAACATGCTATTGCACAGTTAATAGATTACAGTATAGCAGTCTATTCTGCGAATCACTTTATTGTAACATTCAGACCATTTATTGCGGTGGTCTGGAACCAAACCAAAATCTCTTGGATATGCCTGTAGTAAAATGTGACAGAAGACAGATAAATTGAAGAAGAAATTATTACATCAAAAGAAACAAGAACTTAAAGATTTGGAAAATTCTTAGTCTGTCCATGTGGCAAATAAAAAATAAAAATGAGAAAGTGTATCCTGAAGAGAGAACCAAGGGTGTGGCTCATTGAAGGGAATACAAGCAGAAACACCTACACCACTGGCTTACACTGAAGGGGATGAGAGAGGGAATAAATGAAGGAGGGTGGTGGCACTTCTTAAACTCTGCAGGCGACGACAGTGGTGCTAATTGGCTGTGAACGTGGACTGTTTCATCAAGAAAATGGAAGAACGACGTGGAAGGTGTTTCAGAGAACATCAGGGCTGCCTCGTTGTCTTCAAAGGGTCAGGCTCAGGCCACCACTTTGGTTTCAGCAGGTAGATGGCCTCCACCAGAAGCACTGGGGTGGGACTGCCCTACAGAGCTGTAGGAGCAGGGCTGCCCCACAAGGCCCAGAGGCAAAGGTGCTGCCCCACTGGATCCAAAGGTAGGGCATTGAGCCCAAGAGGATTTTCCTCTCAAGCCTTAAGATCTGATGGAGCTTGTCTTGCTGGGTCTGGGACTTGCTTGGACCCTATCATCCCTTTTTTCTTTCTGACTTCTCCCCTTTGAAATGGGAATGTACGTCCTAAGCCTGTCCCACTATTGTAGTTTGGAAGCACATAATTTGTCTGTTCACAGGTTTACAGCTAGAGAGGACCTCACCCATAGCTGATTTGGATGACATCCAGATGAGAATTTGAACTTAGATTGATTCTGGAATGAATAAGACTTTGGGGGCTGTTGGAATGGTGGTTTGTGTATTTTGTATGTGAGAAGAACATAAATTTGAGGAGGCCTGAGAGTGGAATGCTACGGATTGAATTGTGCCCCACTCTAATCCATATGTTGGAACCCTAAACCTCAGTGTGGCTGTATTCAGAGATAGGGCCTTTAAAAAGATAATTAAGGTTAAATAAGGTCATACGGGTGGGGCCCTAATCCAATAGAACCAGTGTCCTTGCAAGAACAGGAAGAGACATCAGCAATCTGTCTCTCTCTCTGCACACACACACACAGAGGCCAAAAGCCATGTGAGCACACTGTGAGAAGGTGGCTGTCTACAAGCCAGGAAGAGAGCCCTCACCAGAAACCAAGTTTTCTGGTGTTTTCAGCATAGACTTCTAGAACCTAGAATTGTGAGAAATAAATTTCAGTTGTTCATGCTGCCCAGCCTGTGTTATTTTGTTATGGCAGCCTGAGCAGACTGAAGACAGAAGGTATATTTCAGCAGCATGGTACAAACATGAAAATGAATCCAAAGATAAGAAAGAGACAGAATTGTTGATGTAGCCATCAAAACAGTTTGAACATATAGTTTTAGGTATAAATATGTTATAAACGTAGTAACAAATTGCATGCAAAATCCAATGTTTTTTAAAAGAACATTTAAATATCAAAGATCAATTATACATTGTTTAAAAAAATCGGACAAATTCCCAAAGATTCCAAAGTATCTTGTGGAGAGGGGTGAGGCAGTTGGAGAGATTGAACATCAAAGGAAGCAAAGGTGAGCAAAATTCTTCATTGAATATGGAAAAAAATAAAAAGTCACTTTTTCATAACTTTGCTAGAAAATTTGTGATTAGATAAATATAAATAATTAGGCTTAAGCATGATTTTTTTATATATTCCAAAATAGATCGAGTGCCTGGGATTTTGAATAAGAGGTGGTGTCTGCTCTCCTGGAGCACGCTGGCTAGTGGGGAAAACAAACTAGCCAGAAACCAACAACAAATGGTGTTAAGGATGGAGAAAGATGGGAGACAACGCCCTGTGCACTGCTGGGCCAGGGAGGCCCTTTCTGCAGGATTGGTTTGTGTGCTGCACCCTGAGAAAGGTGAAGACCCAGCCACGTGAAGAGCAGGGAAATGTGTGTTCCAGGGAGGCACGGAGACTGGAGGGGCCTGAAGTTGGCAAGGAACAGAACACAGGCCAAGTAGCTGAGCAGTTAGTGAGAGGGAACATCCAGCGGGAGGATGGAGGAGGAGGGGGAGACCTGATTGAGTAGCCCATGTGAAGAAGTGCGGATCTCCACTAGAAGCATGAAGCAGGTAGAAGTCCCTGAAGTGTGAGTGTGTGTGTGTATGTGAGAAAGAGAGAGAGTGATTAATATATTCAACAAGATTCAAAAATCACATAAAAACACTATCATAAATTATACAATGGGAAGCCTCACTTCTCTTTCTTGTTGACCTCACCACCCTCACACTCAAGTAAAGATAAATTTTTATTTCTCTCTTTATATAAAAAAGATAGCATACTATAAAATACTATTTTCAACCTTCTTTTTCGTTAACAGTATATCCTGGAGATATTTTCATATCAGCATATGGAGGGCTTCCTCAAAATTTTTTTCACTGCTTCAAAGTGTTCTATTGTGTTGATTACCATAGCTTATTTATCCAGCTTCTTCTTGATGGGATTTTGAGTTGTCTGGAAATTTTGTTGTTTCAATGCTGCTTACAATAAGTTTGTGCATTTATTACTTTGCATGTGTGCAAATATGTACAAAAGACAAATTCCTGGAAGGCATTACTGAGTCAAAGGGTAGTTGCGTTTGTCATATTGACAGACATTCCCAATTTCCCTGCATTGTGTTCTGTAACATTTTGCATTTTCACAAGCAGTGGATGAAGCACTTGTTTCCTTAAGCAAAGGAGTGACATAATGGACTTACAATGACAAAAGTCCACTCAAAGAGAGTGCATGGGAGGTAGAGGAGATGACTTAGGCCTTGCAATTGACCTTGGAAGAGCTATGGGTGCAGGGCAAGCAGAGAGAAGTGAATAAAGCGATATGCATTTTCTTAGAATCTGCAGGACTTGCTGATGACTTGGTTGCGGGGAGTGAGGGAAAGGAGGAAAAAAGAGTGACTCCTTGGGGCAGGACAGGAGAGCATGTGGGAACAAGAGTGCAATAACCAGCCTGTTAGGGGTGAGTCCCCTATGGGACGTCCGAGCTGAGTTTTCCAGCAGTCAGTCTCGCAGAAGAGGGATTACACCTGGAGCTATGGATTGGGGCTGGGACGTAGAGCAACCGACTGTAGGAGATCACACAGGAAAGGTGCAGATAAAGAGAGACAAGGAAATACCCCAGGTCCAAGGCTGAAGGCAAACTGACATAGAGAGTGCAGTAGAACAGGGGGTGCCAGCAGGGAGGCAGGTGCAGCTCTGGTGTCATAGAAGGAGTGAGGGAAGAGTTTGGAGAAGGAAGGCATGGTCCCCCAATCCCAAAGCTGCTCAGGGGCTGAGTTGGATGAGGACCACACGAAGTGAATTCACTGGATGGGACAGCAGGGAAGCACTTGATAAGAGCTTGCAGGGGAGTTCCAGCAACGTAAGAACAACTGCTGGTAAGGTGAAAAGACTATCACCTTCCAAATCACAAGGGAAAGGAAAAGGGCCTAAAAAGATATCATTGTGAAGAAAAATTGAGAAAACATAAGGAACAGGAAATCGAGAAAACACAAGCAAAACGTGCATTGAGATGCTTATGCACATGACAGTTAGGAGCAGCGCTCGGGGTTCACACTCGGTTCCTCGGCTGCCTGCAGGAGGTGAGCTGATCAGCTCCCGGATCCCAGTGTGTCGTGGTTTGCCTGCAGGGTTAGTGTGAGGACTGAGCAGATAGTACCGCACTAGCACATAGGACGTGCCTGGTGACTGTGAGAGTTCCACTGGGAAGGCGCAGTGGAGGTAAGTGGATTGAACTGTTGCAAGTTAAAAAGAATTCTGAAATCACAGAGGGGAAGAGGATACACACACACACACACACGTGTGTGTGTGTGTGTGTGTATCTTTCATCTTATATGATAACCTAAAATAAAATCACATCCAAGGGATTGAAAAAGAAATCATCTATCCACCAATAAGGTAAATGAAATGAAGTGTGGAGCTGAGCACAGATGGAAAGAGAAAGCAAAGGTCTCATTACACATGTTATAATCCTGGGCTCCAGGGAAGTCTGTTAGCACCTCAACCCAGAGATCTAAAAATAAGCCGCTTAGCTGGAAAAATATGAATAAATTCTGTAGTTTTTATAATAATATTGTATCATTGTTTGTTTCCTGGTTTTGATCATCGCACTGTAGATGCTCACAATTAGGGGAAGCTGGGTGAAGGATTTACTGGAATTCTCTGTACTATTTTGAAATTTTCCCATAAGTCTAGTTATTCTAAAATAAAACTTTTTAAATGAGCACACCTTGCTTCTCCCCCAAACCTCCATCAACTGGCCTGTCTCATTAAAAGGTGTCATTCTTCTCCCAGCTTTCAAACGGGAGACCTCAGATGCATCCCCACCTCCGTCTTTCCTTCCTTCCCTCCCCCGCTTCCTGTCTGTTCTGCCCTAGAAACATCCATCATACCTGTCCCTCCTCTCCTGCACAGCTGGGCTCGGACTCAGCCTGGCATCTTCTCTACAAGGTTCCTGACACTCCTGCAAAGACAGCAGCCTGTGCCCTCTCTCCCCGCACTGTGGCCAGAGTCTTTGTTCTAAAAAAGGAACCACATTTTTTTTTCTTTTTTTGCCACTTCTGTCTTCAACGACTGCTTCCCGTGAGGCTCCCCTTGAAGGCCCCAGGCCTGTCAAGTCTCATGTCCAGACACTCCCCAATCAAGTCACAGCAGTCATGGCCATCTGCCCCCTCTGTCCCAGGCCCCAACTGGTTTGCCCCAAGCTTCAGTCAAAGGCTGCCTCCTGCCTCCAGCATGTCTCAAGCCTATCCACTTCCTGGAAGTATGCATTGCTCTCTAGTCTGTGTTCTCACAATGCCAGATGCCTCCTTTATTGGAGTGATGCTGCGAGATTGCCACCATCCTGATGCCTGTGCCTCCTTCAGCTTTAGATCCTGAGGACACAGCTCGGTTCCCAGTGTATAATAGATTCACAAAGGGGTGTTGTTGCATTGAACATGTGCCAGTGCTTCATTTATGCCTTGTTTAATCATATCAAAAAAGCCATGGAACTTCAGATGAGCCAGAAATAAGCCATTTTCCACCCTATGAAGCGATGCAGCTCACTACCCCCATCCCTCCACTATTCAACAGAAAATGGCCAACAATATCAAACTGTAATCTACTTAAATGTTCTTCTCTTCTGAAAAGGATTCCATTCAGTAGAACTTCAGGTTGTCCTCAGCTTCCTTAACGAAATTGGAATTAATTCAACTCACGTTGGCAGACTGGATGGAATGTGCATATCGGTACAACCCCAATCACGCTGTTCAACAGCCCATGCAGTATTCATCTAGGCAGACAGGGAGTGGGGAAGTGCACCCTAAGCAAAGATGCAGAGGGGCCTGTGGGAATCTGCATCTGCAAGAGGTGCAGGGGAAGTTTGATGCAGTAGAATTCAGGAGGCTGGAGTCTCAGTCCTGACTCTATTTGGCTCATTACACCTTCACCTCAGCTGGACTTCTAGTCTCTCTTGCCTCCTGGGTGAAGGCAGGAGTGTGAGCTTGAGGACCTACCTCCAGCCCTCGACAATCCTCTGATCTGAATTTCATCCTTTACAATGTGTGACAGCTAATGTTATGTGTTAACTTGACCGGGTGAGGGAATGCCCAGACAACTGGTAAACCATCATTTCTGGGTATGTCTGTGAGGGTGTTTCCAGGATAGATTATTGTTTGAACTGGTGAACTAAGTCAAGAAGAAGGCCCTCTCCAATGTGGGTGGGCATCATCTAATCCACTGAGAGCCTGCATGTAACAAAAAGGTGGAGGAGAAAATTTGCCCTCTCTGCTTAAGCTAAGACTCCATCTTCTCCTGTCCTTGGACATCTGCTCTCCTGGTTCTCAGGCCCTTGGACTCAGACTGAATTGCAGCACTAGCTTCCTTGTTCTCCAGATTGCAGACAACAGATTGTGGGACTTCTTGGCCTCCATAACCACGTGAGCCAATTTCTATAATGAATCGCCTCTTGTGTGTATACACCTGCATTATTCCATTTGCATTGCTATAAACACCTGAGGCTGGGTAATGTATAAAGAAAAGTGGTTTATTTGGCTCATGGTTCTGCAGCCTGCACAGGAAGCATGGCGCCAGCATCTGCATCTGATAGGAACCTCAAGCTGCTTCCACTCATAGCAGATGGCGAAGAGGAGTCCGTGTGTGCAGAGATCACAAGACAGGAGGCAAGAGAGAGGGGAGCGAGATGCTAGGCTCTTTGTAGCAACCGGTTCTTGTGGGAAATAATAGAGCAAGGACTCATTACCACAAGGACAGCACCAAGCCATTCATAAGAGATCCACTGCCATGACCCAAACACCTTCCATTAGGCCACACCTCCAACACACTAGGGAGCAAATTTCAACATGAGGTTTGGAGGGGTCAGATATCCAAACTACAGCAACATTCTGTTTGTTCGATTTCCCTGTAGAATCCTAACTGACACACTATTAGGAGATAATCATAAAAACAAGGACACACTTGTCTCCAGCTTCCCGTTCTTCCTCTCAGCCCTGCTGAAGCACGCACACAGCACTCCCTCCCATGTGTGCACACATTTGCATATACACACAGAGCTTTTTTTTTTTTTTTTGAGATGGAGTCTCGCTCTGTCGCCCAGGCTGGAGTGCAGTGGCATGATCTCAGCTCACTGCAAGCCCTGCCTCCCGGGTTCATGCCATTCTCCTGCCTCAGCCTCCCAAGTAGCTGGGATTATAGGCACCCACCACCTGGCCTGGCTAATTTTTTTTGTATTTTTAGTAGAGATGGGGGTTTCACTGTGTTAGCCAGGATGGTCTTGATCTCCTGACCTCGTGATCTGCCCGCCTCGGCCTCCGAAAGTGCTGGGATTACAGGCATGAGCCACCGCGCTCGGCCTATACACACAGAGCTTTTTAATCAAGCAGCTTTGCTGGGTTCCTTAGCTATTATATTAGGTTATGCATAAAGTGTCTTGAACTCCTCTTTTTTAGGCACCTTCCCCAAGGAGGAGTTGTTTTCCATGATGATTCATAGGGCCAGGGTCACACGACTTCGGGGATCTGCTCTGGCCAATCCTTACCCTGCATCAGGTCGACAGAGCACTCCACAAGAAGGAGAACAAATATGGGTGTGGGAGGCCTTGGTATAGCTGCTCCTTAGTCACAGCTTCAGAACTGTTCGAGAGGCTACAGGGAAGCTTGTGCCAGTGGGAAGCGTGCACCTATCTCCTAGGCTCACGCCAACAGCATCATGGCTGTAGCTTGGATGTATCAGGAGCAGTGTCTCCTGGCCAGCACAGCGGCTCACGCCTGTAATCCTAGCACTTTGGGAGGCCAAGGCGGGTGGATCACCTGAGCTCAGGAGTTCGAGACCAGCCTGGCCAACATGGCGAAACCCCATCTCTACTAAAAATACAAAAATTAGCCGGGCGTGGTGGTGCAAGCCTGTAATCCCAGCTACTTGGGAGGCTGAGGAAGGAGAATTGCTTGAACCCAGGAGGTGGAGGTTGCAGTGAGCCAAAATCGTGCCACTGTGCCACTGCACTCCAGCCTGAGTGACAGGAGCAGGACTCCATCTCAAAAAAAAAAAAAAAAAGGAGTGTTTCCTATAAAAAGGAAGAAGCCATAAGCCTAAGGAAAGAGCATAGAGCCTACAGAAAAGCAAACTGGAGCCTGGAGTGCTCAGGCCACTGGAGCGGGATCCTCTGCTCTTGGACAGAGATATTTATGAGGTCTCTGGGAACAGGTCTTGGGAAACAACCTCAATGTCTTCTGCTTCATTTTTCTATAACTCCATGCTCCCCTGAGACCTTCTCATTTCCAGTTGCTGTACTGTCAGAGAATTACCTCTTTCGGCAGACATGGCCATAGTTCCCCGGGAGGAAAGGCTGTGCGTAGGCCCTCCAGTGAGCATCACACACGGCCTGGTGCAGTGCAGAGCTCCATCTGGGTGTCTAGCATCAGGTGGGCAGAACTGACAGCCTGTTTGCCTGTCCTGGGCACTGGTGTGGGGGCACCATCCACCATGAGTACTCTGTGGTGGTGTTTGTGGTTGATTCACACACCTGGATCTGCAATCTCCTAAGTGAAATCTTGCCAATATTTTCTGCTTATTGTAAATTGGCTGAATTTTATGCCCCTGGATCCTGAACCATCCATAAACATGCACTAGAGAGGAAAGGTCTCCAGGAAGAAGGCATATCTGGAAAGCTCCCTCCTTTTCATGGGCTGCTTACCTGAGATTCTCACAGCATCCAATTTCATCTCTGACATGCTGATTGGTCACCCTTTAAAGACCTTTCTGAGCAGACAGCTAGAAAAATGCCTGATGGCACACTTAGACTGACTTCATTCAATTTCTTGCCTTTTCTCAGCTAATCTTCAACTCGTAATTTCTTAATGGCTTTTCCAGGCACTGTTCTGGATCACTAAAAGACATAGCCAGCCAAGATCCTCTGCATGGGGCTCCTGTTGGGATTTTGTCAGCATTGCTTTCTTAATTATGAACCAGTGTAAGGGTCTCTGGATTTCCAGCATTTCTTTAAGGTGATCATTCTCTACCCAGGAATTGGGTTTGGTAGAGACCCCAGGGTATAGGCATAGAGGAAACTTTGGATGTCCAGTGCTGTAGAGCCCAGAGCCTTCCTGCCCCGTCCGCAAGGCGCTGGGCTGTCTCTGTTCCCTTCCCCATCATAACCTGCACAGCATAGTTTGGAAGGGACCTACTCAACCAACACACAGCTAGGCTTTCAAATATACGGCCCTCCACTGATCTGTACTGTTTACATCCACTGGCACCTGTCTCCCCTTGACTTTTCCTGTGGCCTTGGTGCTAAGGAAATGCTTCCCAAGTACATTCATTAATGTCATACTATGAAATTGCATAAGTGGTTTATCATCCTAATTGCCCATACTGCATTATTTCCAAGTTAATGAGGTTATGAGCCTGCAGCAGGCGTACTATATTCTAATAATAGACTTTAGGACATGCCGTTAAAAAGTCATTACTATTATTATTGTTATTTAATTGGGAGAAGGTCCTCTCGCCCCCTCACCTATAGGCAAAAGATGTCTTAAATAAAAAGACACGTGAGCAGATATATGATTCCAAGGTCAACCCTGGACCAGAAAGACATCTGAGCTCTACACTGCTCTCTGCCCCTGCACACTGGGAGTCCCTCTTCCTTTCCCTCCCTCTCCTTGATCAATAAGGAAACACAGTATTCCCATCTGCTCTCCACCCCTGTTTGATGCCTGCCTTATCTTCCACCAGGACAAGTTCTATGGATCCAAATCTATTGCACCCATTGGACCCACCACAGTAATTTCTTCAGGAGTTACCTCTACGATCTTTCCCCAGTTGAACACACATTGGTGTGAGTAAGAACAAAAAAATCAATTTTGTTTGCAAGTGCTTAAACCCTTCCATAATCCAAACTCTACCAGTCCTTCAGAATCTGTCTCCAGTTCACATTGTCCAATCTCTAACCCTCATTCCCCAAATCACCAGGGTTATTACAATTAAATTAAAGCTTAGTCTGGTCTCTGAGCACACCAGGCTGTTCCCATCCCCGTACATTGTCATGTTTCTACTGTGGCATAGAAGGCAAAATCTTCCTTGTCCGTCTGTGGCTCCCTAAACCATTCCAAGATACAAAACAAGCTCATTCCATCTGTGAGTATTCCAGGGGAGCAAGATACTCTTTCTACATCCATGATCCATTGAATGATCATAGCAACAGCATAAGGAAACCAAAACCAGATGACTCAGGAAGTAATTAGTGTGTGCCAAGGACAAAGCAGTAAGATGAAAGGTTGTAATTCAGCCCATCTAAGAATTACTAAGAAGTTTACTTCTCATTATTAAGAGTTTACTTAATTTTGCAATACTCAATTTATATGTAAAGCAAGTAAAGTTGAGGATAGCATGAGATGACACAGATCAGAGAATAGAAAAGCAAATTAATCATCTCTGTACAAAAACAGACTGAGAATGATCTATGCAGAAATCCATCCCATCCACACAAAGCAACAATCTAAGCAAGATCAAATGCTGGAGGCCTTTTTCCTTCATTGGTGCAGATGGTCGCTACAGGTCACAAAGAAGGATCCCTGTCCTCAAATGTGCAGAGTATTAGTGAAAAACAAAGTGAAGGGGCTTTTCAGAACACACAGACTCTCAGCACAAATAACACATGGAAGGAATGCAGGTCTCGTGTGCACACTCTCAGTGCAAGTGACAAAAAAATGGCCCCTAACTTCACCCATATAGACACTCAATACCAAACATCAAAAGATGACACAATGTCCAAACATTTGCAAACTCTAAGAGAAGATTACAACTGAAGACCCTGTCATCATGGGAGCACGCTGTCAGTACAGATCACACACAAAAGGCACTATTTTCCCAGGCGCACACCCTTAGTACAGGAAAAAAAAACACCAAAGGCACCTCTCCTCCCAGGTGCATACTCTCATTACAGAAAACAAATAAACAAACAAACAAAAAACACTGAAGGCCCCTGTGCTCCCAGGTACAGACCCTCAGTACAGTTCACACACTGAAAGTCCCTGTCCTCTGTCCTCCCAGGTGCAGACCCTCAGTACGGATCACACACTGAAGGAACCTGTCTTCCCAGGTGCAGACCCTCAATACAGATCACACACTGAAGGGCCCTGTCCTCCCAGGTGCAGACCCTCAGTACGGATCACACACTGAAGGAACCTGTCTTCCCAGGTGCAGACCCTCAATACAGATCACACACTGAAGGGCCCTGTCCTCCCAGGTGCAGACCCTTAGTACGGATCACACACTGAAGGAACCTGTCTTCCCAGGTGCAGACTCTCAGTACAGATCACACACTGAAGGCCCCTGTGCTCCCAGGTGCAGACCCTCAGTACAGATCATACACTGAAGGTCCCTGTCCTCTCAATGCAGACCTTCAGTACAGATCACACACTGAAGGCCCCTGTCCTCTGAGGTACAGACCCTCAGTACCGATCACATAGAGAAGGCTTCTGTCCACCCAGGTGCAGACTCTCAGTAGGGATCACACACTGAAAGCCCCTGTCCTCTCAGGTGCAGACCCTCAGTACAGATCACACACTGAAGGCCCCTGTCCTCCCAGGTGCAGACTCTTTGTGCCGATTGTCCCCGGGACAGGAATCCTGGCTGCAGTGCCCTTGTCGTATCCTGGCCACCTAACTTTCACTCTACACCAGTCTTCATTTGCTTGTCTATTATTATTGTCTCCTAGAAATCTTCACATCCCATACAGCATCTCATGCTTTTATTTCACCCTGACTTCTTTCAACATTAACTTTCCATCAATTTTTTAAATCAAATTCTCTATTGTTCATCCTTAAGGCATAGAACACCTCTCCAGGAATGCCTAGGGAGTGTGGCCTGGCGTTCTCTCTCAGTTGCTGTGACTGCTGTGGATTTTGTTGTGCTCCATAAAATCCTTAAATGCAGAAAATGTGGGTGCTGATTCTCAGAAAGTAACAATACATTTGATTTCACCAACTTGCCCACAGCAGTCCGATACTGGGGTGCGATCCTCTCTCTTCCGCCTCTAGCAGGGGATTTTACAGCCACCTCAAAACCAAGGGCACTAATAGGATAGCAGATTCTTCTCAGCTGGGCTCTCCAATCTGCTGAGATTCCAGGAGGATCTCCCTTGTGGGATAAGAGGGATTCAAGGACCCCCAGGCCTGTGACTCAGCCTCACAGGATGCATGAAGTCTCAGGTGTGGACCACCCAACTGTCCCCCTCACCCACCATGGGCTCTGAATCATGAGAAATGGGAAGAAAATCATGTAATAGTACCGGAAAGGAGAACAGCATCAGTATAACAGAAATTGGAAAGAGGTTTGAAACACACAAAGGAGACAGGATGGGACAGAAGCTCAGCCTCCAGGAACGCAGCAGCACGAAAGAACCGTGGGGAGAGGGTGGTGGAAGGGCATCTTTGCGGGTCTCAGCTCCCAGGGAACAGCACTCGCGTCGGGACTGCATTCAGACCAGAACTGTCCTGGAACCTGCGGGCGGTGGCATGTCTGACTCACTTCCTTTAATCCAGGGAGGTCCTGCCCCATACCCTGTGTCCCCAGGACAAGGAGAACTAAAAAGTTAGCAAGAATAGAAGCCTCAGACCATCAGGGGGAAACAAATAAAAGCATATTTAAAACCTTAAAAAATTACAGCATCCAATAGCCCTGGGTAAGTGATTTGCTCTCTATTAATCAGAAAGCACAAAGTTTTCTAAGTGGGTTTTACGCGGAGATTGTATTTTTAAAAATTACTCACATTTTAAAAATTCCCTGCTTTTTATGAAATCTGCTCCTTTCTGTCTGTGTAGAGGTTGGGGTTATCTGCAGCTCCTTGTCTCACAGGAGGGATCCAAGGGCGTCCTCAGGCAAGGGTCCCTTGTCCAGCAATTGAAGGGGTGAGGGAGGATCGGGGTGTGGACAGAGGGTGGCTCTGCCCCCTGGTGGCTGCTTGGGGAGACCGCCGCGGCCAGATGCCAGGCTGGAGGAGGCGCCAGCCCCAGCCCTGGAGGTGGTAGGAGATGAGCTCTCAGGGCACTTCCCATCCTGGTGCGGGGCTCACGGCAGAGTCAGGACTGGCTGGGCCTGCAGAGCCCCACGCACAGGGCCTGGTGAGCTCCCCAGCGAGGCCTGCCTGAGCCCACCTCCGCAAAGGAGGGAAAGCTCCAGCCAGGGCTGGGGATGAGCTGAATGAAGGACAGGAGTCCCCACCTGCTCAGGGGTATCCCCAGTAGAGAGGAGGGACTCCCTTAAGGGCCTCATCCTGTGGGAACTCCCCAAATAAATGGAGAGTGCCTGGGGTGGAAGCTGATCCCTGGAACAGGCTAAACATGGGGAGCTGCCAGGCAGGAGTGTCCCCAGGAAGGAAGGCAAACTGCGGTGGAAGTGAGGGCAGAGGCCACCTCAGCTCTGCTCGAGCAGGTGGCGAGGACGGCCACACAGGGTGTCCTCCCCAACAACGAGGCAGTGCCAGGCGCACAGGTGGGTGTTGGGACTCAGCACAGTGGGGCAGCAGACACATGTGCTGGACACACAGCCCAGGACACACAGAAGTACTGGGTACACAACACAGGGCGCACAGCACAGGACACACAGCACAAGACACACAGCACACGGCACACCACACAGGACACAGCACAGGACACACACTACAGGGCACACAGTGCACGGCACACCACACAGGACACAGCACAGGCCACACAGCATAGGACACACAGCACAAGACACACAGAGCACACACACAGGGCTAACAACAGAGCACACAGCACAGGACACAACACAGGCCCACACAGTGGGCACAAAATTCTGGGCACACACTGTCAGCCAAACAATTCGAGGTACACGTGCCAGTCACGCAGCACCAGGCACACAGGAGTGGGCACGCTTGCCAAGCATACACAGCCACACAAACCATGCTGGGTCACAACACCAGACACAGAAGGAAAGACACACTCTCCAGCCACAGACACTGAAGCTGGGGACACACTGGACACACAACTCTGGGCATACAAGGTCAGGCATACCATGACCGACAAGCTGGCACACCCACTGGGAATACACACTGGCACACACTGGGGACAACACCAGACGCTGCAGGAACACAACATCGGGCACACACCAGGCACAGATGCTACACACACTCTAGGGACACAGCATCACATACACAATGCACACACGGCAAGAACCCATGCTTGTAACACATGTTGAACACACACACCAAACGCAATGCTGAGCTTCACTGTAGGGCACAAAACACTGGGACACACCATGCTGGGCACAGAAGCCAGGGTGCAATGCCAGGCACACACAAGTCCAGGCACTAATGCCAGCACACACTGTGGGAACACAACACTATGCACAAAACCTCAGACAGATGATGCCAAACACATACCACACACACACCAGCAGGCACTCCGGGCCAGGCACTCCAGGAGCACCACACTGAGCTCACAACGCTGGGTCACATACCAGCCATGTACACACCAGCCATGTAATTCCACCCACACAACACCAGGCATGCAGTGCAGAAACAGAACTCTGGAACCACAGGGCCAGGAAAACAATGCAGGCGCCCCATGCTGGACACACACAGTAAGTATACAACAATGAGCATGCAATGCCAGACACACAAAGCCAGACACACCATAGTAGGCGCAGCCTCTGGGACACCATGCAGGGCACACAGTGCTGGGCAAACATGCCAGGCACAAAATGCCAGGGAGAAAGCACTAAGCCCGTATGCCAGGCACACTCTGGGCCCACCAAGCTGGATGCACAAACCTGAGCACACAGGGCCGGACACACAACGCAGGCACCCAGGCCGGGCAGACACTCTGGGATCTCAATACTGGGCACACAGGACCAGGTACACAACACCAGGCATGCAATACTGGGCATGCCCACTAGGCACAAACAAGCAGGGACACAGCGCCAGGTACACACAGTACCTGCACACACAGTTGGCAAACAACACAGGGCATACGCTCCAGGATTACACTGCAAGGCTCACAGACGGGAGCAAACAAACCCGGCATACAATGCGGAGTATGCACAGCCAGGTGCCACACTAGGCATGCAGGGCCAGGCACATGGCAAGAACACAGGCTGGACACAGATGCTGGCTACGCGACACTGGGCAAACAAAGTCAGACACACCATGCCTGGTGCATAACACCATGCACATAACTCAATACTGGACACACAGTGACAGGCACACAACACTGGGCGCACAAAGGAAGTATGCATGCTAGGCACTCAGCAGGAACACAGGACACTAGAAGGCACACCCAGTCAGCACATACAGTTGGCTTTGAGCAACGAAGTGTGCGCAGACGCAGTGTCACCCACCAGCTTAGGGCTGACCGTGGCCAGCCGTGCTCCAGATGGCGGCCGCCCCGCGGCGCAGATCTTGGATGAAGGCGACATGGAGCGGGGCTGTCGCCAGCCACTGGGGCTCAGGGGGCTCAGGGGCACTTGCGGCAGCCACACAGCCTGAGCGCTGCTGGCTGTAACTCTGTGGGATGCACGAGGTTTGCTTCCATCAGTGCCCTCTCTGATGCACATGTGAATCGCTCTGAGTCTCTTACGATAACAAAAAATTCCGTAGGGTGTGGCACGTGTAAACCCGACTCGTATTTCTTGCTAGAGTATCTTTGGCACGGTTTCCTGGGTTACTGGGTCAGAAGTCAAAGGCAGGTGACTTTGCAATTGCCAATTATCTCCGCAGGGCTACACCAGAGTGGGTCAGGGGAAGAATCAGAGATGGGTCGTAGGATTGTATCGTCATTAGGTGCATGTGCCCAGAAAGCAGGAAACAAATCTCCCAAAAAAGCTCTCTCAGCCTGCTCTTCAAAAACCCGGCCCCTTCCCACCTCTTCCTCTGCCGGAGGAATCTTTAAGATTTGCAATTTTAACCTTTAGCCGTTAGGTGGCGCCACAAAGTAAGGTATCCATGGGCCGAGGACGCTCAGCGACCCCTTCCTCCCCTGTGAGATTTCTTCTCTTGTTGAAGCTGCAAAGGAAAATCGCAGTTCCCAGATCTGGCAAGTGTAACAACATCTTCAGCAGCTCTGAATGGTTTTTATACAATTCTTTTCTTTACCTAATAGAAGGATCAATAACTGTAGACATATGCAGATCTTGATGGTTTGACCTCAGGCCAAAGCAACCTTGCTCCCCACCCCCATCACTTTCCTGTAAGACAGAAAGAGTGGTTGGTGAATGCTTGTCAGGTGCATGGCCCAGTGGGTGAAGCTGTTGAACAGGTCCCTTGCCAGTGCCCCCAGCAGCGGCTCTTAACAGCCATGCTAATGGCCCTCTCCTCTCCAAGCACCCAGGCTTGCAGTGGTCTGGGGCAGGCCTTGGGCCGCTCCCTCCCCGGGCATTACAGCCCTATCTCTGTGCCTTCCCTGAGCCCCTGCAATTCCACCAGAGGCCTGATGACTCTCTGGGGGACCTCTTCAAATAACTTCAGTCATTCATGTGGAGCAAGAGAGCCAGACTCCTGGCAAGAAAAAGCCAGACAGGGCCTGGGCTTCAGAAGATGCCTCACAGACCCTGGCAATCGGCCTGACTTCCAGAGGCCCCTCCCTCCCTGCAGGTCCAGGACACACATCACTTTACAGGAGAGGTTTCAGTCTGCAAGGCCAGCCCAAGTCTCCCAGAGTGGATGGTCCTCCCACCTCACCCTCTCTCTCAGACCATAGGGGTCGCTGGGCCCATGCTCTGTTGCAGGCACCAAGCCTGCCCTCCAGGCTAGGGGCTCAGCATTTCTAGAATTCTTGGGGTGTGAAGGACATTCATCTGAAAAGCTTCACTGGAGGATTGCAGACTTCAGGCTCCTAAGAAATTGCCTGGTGACTCTTGGTCTGCCTTTGCCACCACCCCTCCCAACGGCATAGGCAGCACTGAGATAGGCCACTCTACAAGTGGAAGGAGCCCAGGCCGGAAAACTGGGCCACCAGAATTCAGCCTACGAACCTCAGCTTCATCCTCTGTGAAACAAAGACGGCAATTTCCCAAGCAGAGAGAAAGGTCCTGGCACTAAGCAGGTGCTGAACAAAGACACGTAGCTGTTCACTCTACCACGCCCTAGCAGGTGGGTCCCAAGCAGAGGATGCACCAGAACAGAACAAAGCCATTCAGGGAAGCAACTGACTCGCTCATTCATTCTTTCTGTGAGAGCTTATGCGATCCACTCTCTTTCCGATGGACATAGGAAGCCCCAGGCAAAGGCTGTGCACAGCCCCTTCCTTCTCTTGCTGCTTGGGGACATCTGGAAGGCTGACAAAACACACAGAACCACCTCCTGCTCTGACCAACTAACAACACTACACTTTCTGTCCAGGTAGAAAAGTGGATGAAATATGCTAAACCATTATTTACAGACTTTGAGCCACAGACAGTGCGGGAGTGTGATCACTGAAAACAAGCAGAACTTCTGGGACCCAGTGCAGGGAGGGGCTCCATGCAGCGCATGGAGGTGGCTGGAGCTGAAGAGACAGAAACCGGACAGATTGCTGGAGAAGACAGAGCTGCACGCTGAGCCCATGCCTCTTGCATGGCTTGAGTGAACAAAACCTGCTCTGCGTGGTGTGGGGGGCTGTTATATTCATGAAGGCTGCAACCAAGACCCAGGGAGGCCCTGAACTGCATCCAGCCAGGGCTAGGTCACGTCGTTAACACCTTTAATCAGAGACCGTCCTGATTCGCTGTAGTCCTGATTGGCTTTTATACTCTCCACCTCCAGCCAGGTCTTCTTTGCAGATAGATTGTAGAAGAGCATGGGTCTCTGAGAGCCCATCATCGTCTCACTTGATCTGCTTCTGTAAAGCATTTTAAATGTATGCTGTGGTCTGAATGTTTCTCATGAATGGGATTACTGCCCTTATATAAGGGGCCCCAGGGAGTCAGCAACCTCCTCCAGTATGTGAGGACACAGGGAGAAGGTGCCATCAATGAAACAGTAAGTGGGTCCTCACCAGACACCAGATGTGTCAGTGCCTCGATCTTGGACTTCTCAGCCTCCAGAACTGTGAGGAATACATTTCTGTTAAGTCTCCCAGTCTATGGTATTTTGGTTATAGAAACCCAAACAGACTAAGACGCTTTGCAAAATAATGTTTATTTTGAGCACCTACTATGTCCCAGATACTGCGACTATTATATAACTTAATTTAAACTTTTATAACAGCTCTATTATATACATAGCACCATCTCTTTTTACCTTTTTTAAAAATTGTGCAACACATGAATACATTTGTTGGAAAAAAAAAAACAAAACAGAAGTGTATTGACTGCAAAGCCAACGTCTCCTCACCCGGCCTCCACTTCCAGTCCCACTCGTGTGTCTGAGCATATCCATTTAAGAGGGGTGTGATTCTGGACAATTCTATATATTCAATCATTTGTCTGTCTTGAGGAAGTCCTGCTTGTTTCCTAATGCAGAAGGAGTTATTTATCATTCCTGGCAATGTGGCATAGAATTTCCAGTGCAGCTGGGGAGTCCAGCTGCCCCCACCCAAGCCCACCTCTTCCTGGAGTTGGGTAACTTGACCTTGAGGCTCAACATCGCTGGAACTCAGCGTCATCACCTGTCAAACAGGGTCAAAGGAGTGTCTGCCTCCAGGGCTGCTGAGTGGCCAGCAGGCGGTGGTGAGGGTGAGGGTGCAGACGGTGAGCACTTTGAAGCTGCACGGATGCCATGAGCAATGCCCAGCTCCCAGCCTCCTCCGTCTGCCACAGAAAATGTGTCTGCCCATGCCTAGGCTGTCCCCAGACCCCCACCCTATCATTGAATGAGGGATGAAGGTTCTCCATGTTGTCTCTCTGTTCCAACACTGTTTATGTACTATGGGTATCACCTCCTTCAAGAAACCAGGTTGTTGTCCAGGTCTAGGACCTGCTGGGGGAGGTGGGGAGCTCTGGAGGGTAAGCAACAGCACAGCAGGGTGGTCACCATCCCAGGCTACGGAGCCAGACCACCTGGACTCTATTTCTTACTTGGAGCCAAACAACCAGGTTCAAGTCCCTACCTGTTCACTTAAGAGCTGAGTAAATTCCGGAGGCTACCTCTTGTCTCCTTGCCACACCAAAACCCCCATTAGTAAAATCCAGACCATGGTAGCTTTCACCTCAATAGGTGATTACAAGGGTCATATTTTTATTTTGTCTACTGTTTATCTTTATTTTATATCAAATTGTCTAAGTTCCCTCTTTTTCTAGATTGCTGAGAGTTTTTGTCATGAATGTTAGTTGTCAAATTTTTTTCTGCATCATTTGATATAAACTTGTAATTTTTTTCCTTGTTAGCCTGTTAATATGGCACATTATATTGATTGATTTTAATGATTGAATCAGCCTTGCACCCCTGACACAAACTCCACTGCTTTCTGTACATTGATGGATTTGATTGCTAATATTTTATGAGGACATTTGTGTTTATACTTTTTTTTTTTTTTTTTGATATGGAGTCTTGCTCTGTCACCCAGGCTGGAGTACAGTGGCGCGATCTCGGCTCACTGCAAGCTCCGCCTCCCGGGTTCACGCCATTCTCCTGCCTCAGCCTCCCGAGTAGCTGGGACTACAGTTGCCCGCCACCATGCCCAGCTACTTTTTTGTATTTTTAGCAGAGACGGGGTTTCACCGAGTTAGCCAGGATGGTCTCGATCTCCTGACCTCGTGATCCGCCCATCTCGGCCTCCCAAAGTGCTGGGATTACAAACATGAGCCACCGCGCCCGGCCTGTGTTTATACTCTTGAGAGATATTGATCTGTATTTTTTTCTCTTTTTGTACTATCATTGTCTAGATTTGGTATCAGGTAATACTGATCTTGTAAAATAAGTTGGGAAGTGCTTCCTCCTCTTCTAATTTATGGAAGATACTTTTTAGAGTTAATGTTAATTCGGAAATTTCACAGTAAAATCATCTGGTTCTAAAGATTTATTTTTTGGGGGGGGTTTAAAATTACAAATTAAATTTTCTTAATAATAGGATTATTCAAATTCTCTCTTTCATGTTTACTGAATTATAGTAATTGTGTTTTTTGAGAAATTGGTCCATTTAAACTAAATTGTCAAGTTTATGTGTGTAGGGTTGTTCACAATATTCCCTTATTATCCTTAAGCCATCTGCATGGTCTATATTGATATCCCGTTTCATTCTTGATATTGGTAATTTATGCCTTTTTTCTCTCTTTTAAAAAATTTTTAGTAAAAGCATTTTTGTGATGGCTGCCTTAGGATCCTTGTTGGAAAATCCTAACATCGGTGCTACTTCTTTATTGGTGTCCATTGATCACTTTTACTCATTCCATTTGAGATTTTGCTAGTTCTTGGTATGATGAGGGATTGTCAATGATATCTGCACATCTGAGGTATTATGAGACCAAACCTTATTTAAATTTTTTGTTTTAGCAGGCTTCCTCTGAAGGAAGGAATGGGTAGAGAGGGTTTCACCTATTACTGCAAGGTGGGGGTCAAACTTCAGATCCCCGCTTGGGCTCCATTGGCCCCCAAGAGGAGGGGCTTCTCATCACTGCTGGGCAGGGGTAAGAGTTCCATGAAAGGCAGGGAGCGTGGCCACAGCTCCCCACTGGTCCCCACTGGCACGGCCAGAGATGGGGCCTCACTAGCACTGGTCAGCAATGGAAGTCCTGACCTCCCACTTGGCCTTCTCTGACATCACCACAGCGTGGAGGAGCAGTTGCTACAGTTTGGCAAGGGTGATAGTCTAAGCTCGCCAGGTGGCCTTTGCTACTGGGGTGGGGCTGGGGCAGTGGTTATTTCCATGGAGTTTGGCTGAAGAGGAGTGTGGTTATTGTCTAAAAATGTTCTGTCTTGCTTGGCTGCCCCTTTTCTTGTTCTGTGGCTGCAGAAAGCAGGGTTTTTTTGTGTTTGTTTGTTTGTTTGTTTTCTGGGGGATAAGGGAGTCTGTATTTTCCTATTGGCATTTTCAGGTTTCTGCAGCACTCAGTGCGAGATATATAAGGCACTAAGAAGAGCAAAGAAACGCACTATCATGTCATTCTTCAGGACACAAAGCCCTGACTGATCTGCCCTCCTTTCTCCACCTTTCAGAGTTGTCTTGTTTTGTATATAATGTTAAGGGGCTTTCGCTGCACTAAGTAGGAGGAATAGGGAAACATATGTCTACTCCATCCCATAAATGTTTCTATGTTATATTGTCAATCAGTTCAAGCTATTTTTAAATTTAAAATACTTCCTCTTTGAGTCACAGATTATTTAGAAGCACATTTTGTAGTTTTCAAATGTTTGGAGATTTTCCTGTTATCTTTCTGTTATTGCTTGGTAGCTTGAGTCCATGATGGCCACAGAACCAACTCTGTACGAGTTTTATTATTTTATATCTGCTGTGGTTCATTTAATGGCTCAGAATACAGTCTAAGTTGGTAAACGTTGTGTGAGGGCTTGAAAAACATGCGGATTCTACTGTTGTTGGGTGAATTGTTCTCTAAATGTTTAGATCCTGTCAGCTAATGGTATTGTTCTATAAATTGTTGAGAGAGGAGTGTTGAAGTCTCCCATTAAAATTTTGTTTATTTCTCCTTTCAATTTTCTATCAGTTTTCTATTCACATATGTTGCAGCTCCATTGTTGGGTGCATACATGTTTAGGATTGCTATGATTTCTTCAGGGACTGATCCTTTTACCATTAGGAAATGTTCCTTTCTGTTACTTCACTCTGAAGTCTGTCCTCTAGGATAACATATACACTTCAACTTTACTTTGATTAATGTTTATATGTAATATAGTTTTTCGATCTTTTCTTTCAACCTAACCATATTATTAGATTGAAAGTGAGTTTCTTGTAGCTGGCATATAGTTAGCTCATTTTATAATTCACTCTGTCAATTTCTGTCTTTTAATTGGTGTATTCAGACAACTTATATTTAATGTGATTACATATACATTAGGAAATAAATCTGTCATTTTATTTATTTTATTATTATTATACTTTAAGTTTTAGGGTACATGTGCACAACGTGCAGGTTTGTTTGTTTTCTGTTTGTTTCCTCCGAGTTTTTTGTTTTACTGTTTTCTTCTTTCTGCCTCCTGTGGGTTGTTTGAACGTTTTTTACAATTCTAGTTTGATTTTTCTATAGTGTTTTGAGTGGATTTCTTCGTATAAACTATTAAGTGGTTGCCCTAGGCATTACATTTCAGTGAAGATTTTTATATAGGAAATGAGAGAACTTGTAAATATATTTATGTTTCTCATCAGTCATTATAAATGAGCAAGTTGACATTCAACTTTTACTTGTGCTCCCTCGTACCTCGATTGGCAAATCATCACAGAGAGATGGCCACGTTCCCCATTTGCTGATGAAAATCTCGCCAAGGTGAGACTCAGGTTTCGTAAAGTGGTGTGTTGAGGTAAATACCACCTTGTAAGTCGCTGACGAGCAGTTTCCCTTCCCTGGCAACTCCCCAGCCTCACTGGATTCTTTATTTCATGTTTAAATGTGGAGTCCCTCCCTGTATCCTCTAGAGGAAGTGCAAGCACCAGAAGAAAGCTGAACTGTTATTTTCATGTTTAATATACCAAAATAATAGGAATCAAATGATTTCAAGGGGAATTGTTACATTAGTTCACATGGAGCTTGAAAGAAACTAGCACAAAGATGCTGCAATGCTACATCAAGCATCAAATCAGCTCTGATGTGCTAGGTCTGAAAGCAGCAAGCATATTTTGTTGAAATTAGACTAACTGCGCAGCACTTCCAGCCTTGTGCTTTGAAATCATGTTAACGATGATGAGGAGAAAGAAAAACTTGTAAAAACACTGTTTTTCTCAGTGGACAGTAAAAAAAATACCAATACCATGGTTTCCTTGTTCAAATAAATTCTGAATAAATTACAAAGGACCCATATTTTGTGGTTTCAGGAAGCATTTTCAAGGGAGCATTATCTTTGCTGCTTGCACTAGTTTTCCTGAAACAAACAAGAGACTGATGTAGCAAGATGGCAGATAGAGGAGTTCTCAAAGATTAGATTTTAAAGAGTATCATGACTCATCCTGTTGATTTTTTAAAAAATCAAATAAGTGTTTTTCCTTAATGTGTGAGAAAAGGAGTCAGCATCTGTCACTAGTAAAACGCATCCAAAAAAATAGAATGAGTGATTGGCAGAGAAGCAGGGCAAGCCTAAAAGCTTAGAAACACCCCAAATATTATGTCTTTTCTATAAATTACATACCACAAAACAAAAGTCATAAGACATATGAAGAAAAACTAACAGCATAAAATAAAAGCATCAAATGAAGTAAATCGACAATGCGGCAATGCAGTATTATTTAAATGGCAAAAATTAGAAGTACACAAAGATGTTTGTTGCAAGCTATTAGAAGTTGGAGGAAAAAAATCTGTTTATATGTAGTGTAATAGTTAATAATGAGTAAATTAAGCTGTTCTGATTCTATGTATTCTGGTTATGTATGGATGTATAACAAACGTCCCTAAATCTACCAACTTAATACAATAATGGCAGTGTATTTTGCTCAGAATTTGCTATTTGAGTGGGACATGACAGGAACAGCTTATCCCTGCTCTGTGCAACATCAATGGGGGCAGCTCTTCTGTGGCTAGAGGATTCAGCTTGAAAACTTATTTCACTAACATGAAAACCAAGTTCATTTATAGGGCTGGCAAATTGGTGCTGACTCTTTTCTGGGTGCTTAGCCAGGGCTGTACCTGGGAGCTTTGGATCTTCTCCATATGCATTTCCATGGAACTTTTGCACCTCCTCACAGCATGACACCTGAGTTCCAGAGATCAAGGCAGAAGCTTCAGGCAGCATGACTTCTGCCTCATTCTATCGGTTAGGCAAGTCATCAAGTTCAACCCAGATTTAAGGATCAGGGCATTAGGCCTCTCAATGGAAGGATCCACAAATGATTTGTGGCATTCTTTAATCTGTCACATTATGGAATATTATGCAGCTATTGAAAAGATTAAAAAGCAAATGGAAGTATAATACAGTTGATTTAATTCCATTTGTGAAAAAAATAAGGGAGCAGGCTATCCATGTATATTCATATTTAGTTGTTTGAAAATAGAAAATAGTTTGAATCATTACATACAGGAGTGGGAAAGGAAACAAAGGGGAATTATTAGCTTCTTTATGTACTTTTATATTTTGATTTATTACAATTACCTTGTATTACTTTTGTGCATTAAAAAATATATAATTCTTTTTAAAAAACTAAAATGATTCTTTTAAATTACCAAATCAAGCAGAACCAGAAATAGAATTTTTAAATATTCCATTAAAATAGCAACCGAAAAGATATTGATCTTAACAACAACAACAACAACAACGCTTATTAAAGCCTTGAGGGTAAACATTTACCTGTGAGGTTTTGAGATTCCGAAGTAAGTGTGTTGAGGTAAATACCACCCTGTAAGTCACTGACGAACACTTCTCTGGCAATTCCCCAGCCTCACTGGGTTCTTTATTTCATGTTTAAATGTGGAGTATCCCTGTATCCTCTAGTGGAAGTGCAAGCACCAGAAGAAAGCTGAACTGTGAATCCAGAACCACCACTGTATTTCTTTGAATCCTGCAAAGAGTTGGCATTTTCTAGGGCATGATGTGTGGTAGGCGGGGAGGTGGGGAAGAGAGCTTTTAATATGCAATTCATACAATTTTTGTACTTGAAAAAATAAGAATACAAAACATTTTAAATAAATTTTTATTGCAGAATAACATACATGCGGAAAGGCATACAAATTCTATTTTACCTCAAATAATGTTCACAAACTGAATATATTCATGTAATCAACACCCATTTATAGAAATAAAACATTACCAACACTTCAGGAGCCCTTCTGGCACCCTCATCCCGTGTCAAACCCATCCTAAAAAAGGTATCCACTGCTATAACATCTATCGACATAGATTACTCCTATCTATTTTGAACCTTACATAAATAGAATTATATACATCATACTCTTGCGTCTGGCATTTTGTGACAAACATTAGGCTTGGGAGATTCATCCATGTAGTTGTACACTGAAGTTGTTTATTATTTTTCAGGGATTTAAAGTATTTTATTGTGATTTTGTCAGAACATATTTACTTATCCTACCATTGATAAATATTTGGCTTGTTTCCAGTTTGGGGTTATTATGAATAATGCTGCTATTAGCATTTGTATAAACATCTTTTAGTGCATTTGCATGGGGTATATATACCTACAAATGTTATTACCTTGTCAAGTCTAGTGGACACTGCCAAAGAGTAATATTCCCAAATGCATGTATGAGAGTTTCTGTTGCTCCTTAATCTCATTAACACTGGACCACTTGGGAATGGAGGACGGAATGGCAGCTGCTGGTTTCAGTTTGAATTTCCCTGATGACTATATAACACTGATGACCTTTTCATATGTTTTGAGGGCACTTGGATGAAATTTTTTAAAAATAAAATATTCAAGACAATTGCCTATTTTTTAAATTGGGTTGGTTTTTTTTTCTGATTAATCTGTAAAAGTGCTTTAGAATTTTTAGGTTCTTCTCAGGTGTGTATTGCAAACATCTTCTCATATGCCGTTTTTTTCTGCCTCATATAGTTTTGTTTTTATGGAATAGAAATTCTTGGTTTTAATAAAGTAAAATTTTAAAGTAGTTTCCTTTGTGGTGTCTTTTTAAAGAAAGATTTGCTCACCGTAGAGTCAGGAATATACTCTGTGCTACTTTAGAAGCCTTATTGTCTTACCTTTCACAATTAGGTCTAAGTCCGTTTGAGATTGACTTTTCTGTACAATGTGAGGTGATGGTAAAGATTAATTTTTTCCACATGAATATTAAATGAGTCAGCATTTCATATTCTTTCTCCACTGTTCTATGCCACCTTGGTCTACAATTGATTATAGATGCCTTTCTCCATTGGTTTCTCATCATGATTTCATAAAATAATCAATTGGCCATCAACTAGACTTGAACTGAGACATTGACTTTTTGGATTTCAAACCTGCTGGCTTTCAGATTAGAACTTACGTCATTGGCCCGCCATTGGTTCTCAGGCCTTCAGACTCAAATTGGAGCTATATTATTGGCTCTCCTGGGTCTCCACCTTGTCAACTGCAGATCCGGGGACTTCTCAGCCTCCATAATCATGTGAGTCAATTCCTTACAATACATCGATAGGTAGATAGAGGGAGACATAGATATAGAGATATATGTATACCTACAGATATATTAATATAGAGATATAGATATCTCCTATTGGTTCTGTTTCTCTGGAGATCTACGACTAATAAACCTGAGAAAATCTTTCTTGCACACAAGAATTGGTTGGGTGTCATTTCTGAGTGAAAGCTGCTCAGAAAGAAGTTAGCATTTTCCATTGTTACCCTAACTGTGGGCAGTAGCCACTCCCTAGACTGCATATCCCTGGCTGCAGTGGTTTTTTCCCTTGTCACTGTTGGACTTCACTGCCATTCAGCATGTGCTTAACAAAGGCTTCCTTTAAAAGGTTACTGGCCAAATGCTATACTCCTTCTTCCATCCCATATTTCTAAAATGATAAAAAAGACAAAAATATGAAGCTATGTGAAAACAGCAATGGTTGCAAGTAGACTATGTAATTCTGATCAATACCCTTAAACATAATTATAAAAGCTAGATAAAATATTTCATAAAGATGTGCTTGGGACTTCCACCTCTGGGAAAGTGGAATCGATGTACTTTTCCCAATTCCTCCGACTAAGTCCAACTAAAATCCCTGGCTCTGAAAGGTGGAAAGCAACAGACATATTAGAAACCCCAGGACCAAAAGAACACATGGCGATATGTTCTCTGGGATTTCTTTCCATTTCACATATCCAAGGCTTAAAGCTAGAGAAGCTGACAACTCACAGACCATGGGTGAAAAGGGGGAAAAAAGAAAAACAAACAAACAAGAAAACAAGCAAACAACACAACACAACAAAAGACTTCTCTCTTTAGTTAAAGGTCAGGAAAGGTTCAACCTAGCAAGGTAGAAAATGTTAAAACAGTCATTATTCAACTTCCACCATACACCACAAAAGAAACTGTGGCCTCACCCATATCCACACTAGTGAGGGGTGGCAGGGAGCCTACAGATCTACTCTCACCAAGCTGCAATCAGGTGCCCCAATCCTCCTCCCCAACATCAGGGTGGTATCAGAGATAGTCAAGTCAAGAGCTGGAATTTTCATCTCCAGGAGGCGATAGTCCCTCTCCCTTTGTGGTGTCAGTGGAGGCCCCATGGAGGCCCCATGGGAAGTCTGAACTTCCACTCTCCTCTGACAGTGAGGAGGTGCCCTTCCTCCACCCTAAGGTGATGTAAAAGAGACTTGCTTGGGAGCCAAAACTTTCATTACCACCTGGGCATCATAAAGCCACTTCTCGGTGGTGTCGGCACAGGTCATGTGGGGAATGAGAGGCATTCTTATTCTGACCAGCCAGGGTGATTTTAGTGGAGGCCTGTCAGAGAGTCAGAAACCCCACTCCACTCAGCAGTAATGGGGAGTCTCTTGGGTGTTCATGGAGGTTGAGTGAGGGACCTGGACTTCTACATTCACCAGCTGCTGCAAGGCAAAGGTCTAACTTCCTCCACCAGAGTGATGTCAGAAGCAACCATCTGAAAGAGAAGACCTAAATAATACCAAGACTATCATAATATTGCACATATCCAGTTTTCAATAAAAATAGTCCCTAGTTATATGCAAGAATCAGGAAAACATAAACTTGAGTTTTAAAAAATCAGTAGATACCAACAGTTGGATGACAGAGATGTTAGGATTATCTGACAAAATTTTAATGCAGAGGCTGGGCCTGGTGGCTCACATCTGTAATCCCAGCACTTTGGGAGGCTGAGGTGGGTGGATTACTTGAGGTCAGGAGTTCAAGACCAACCTGGCCAAGAAGATGAAACCCTGTCTCTACTAAAAATACAAAAATTAGCCAGGCGTGGTGGCGCATGCCTGTAATCCCAGCTACTAGGGAAGCTGAGGCAGGATAATCACTTGAATCCAGGAGGCGGAGGTTACAGTGAGCCAAGATTGCACCATTTGCATTCCAGCCTGGATGACACAGCGAGACTCCATCTCAAAAAAAAAAAAAAAGTTTTAATGCAGGCATAATAAATATTCTTCACTGAGCAATTACAATACAATGGGACAAAAGAAAAAAGAATTAGAAAGCCTTAGCAAAAAAGTAAAAGATAGAAAGGAAAACCAAATGGAAATTTTAGAACACAAAACTAAAATAGACAAAATTTAGAAAAATCAATGGATGGACTCAACAGCAAGTACAAGTAGATAGAGGAAAGAATCAGTGAACTTGAAGGTGGAACAATGGAAATTACCTGAATGACAGAGAAAACAGACTATTAAAAAATGAGTATAGCCTCATGGACTTGTGGGACTATAACAAAAATCTAAGAGTGTGTCATCACAGTCCTGAAAGAAGAGCAGGAATATGAGAAAGCTGAAAACACAAAGAATTATGGCTGAGAATTTCCATAAACCAAAGGATTCAAGAAGGTACATGTCTTAGTCTGTGTTGCCATAAAGAAATATGGAAGGCTTGGTGATTTATAAAGAAAAAGGGATCTATTTGGCTCATGGTTCTGCAGGCTGTAGAAGAAGCATGCCATCAGCATCTGCTCCTGGTGAGACTCTCAGGCTGCTTCCATTCCTGGTGAAAGAAAAAGGGGAGCTGTATGTGCAGAGATCACATGGTAAGTGAGTAAATGAGAAAGAGATAAAGGGTGGGGCCAGGCTCCTTTTAACAACCAGCTCTCATGGGAACTAATAGAGTGAGAATTCACTCACTACCACAAGGATGGCACCAAGTCATTCATGAGGGATCTTCCCCCATGAGTCCCCCACTAGGCCCCACCTGCAACACTGGGGATCAGATTTCAAATGAGCTCTGGAGGATCAAACAAACCAAACTGTAGCTTTGAGCCAGCCCTAAACAAGACACGCAGAGAAGTACACATCAAGATGCATCATAGCCAAACTTCTAAAAACTAAAAAGAAAGAAAAAAAATATTGAAAGCAGCCAGAGAGAAATAACACATTACCCATAGGAGAAAAACAATTTGAATTATTGTCAATTTCTTATCAGAAATATTGGAGGCCAGAAAGAAATGGTAAAAGATTTTTCAAGTGCTAAAAACAAACAAACAAACAAAAGAAATAGTTTATTCAGAATTCTATATCCAGTGAAAATAGCTTTCTGATATAAGAGGAAAATCAAGATGTTCTCAGATGAAGAAAAATTAAGATAATTTTTCAAAAGTAAACTTACCCTAAAAGGATGTTGTCTTAGGCCATTCTTGCATTGCTGTAAAGTAACACCTGAGATTGGGTAATTTATAAGAAAGCAGTTTAACTGGATCACATTTATGCAGGATATACAGGAAACACAGTGCTGGCATCTGCTTCTGGGGAGGCCTCATGGCAGAAGGCAAAGTGGGAGCAGGCACTTCACATGGCAAAAGCAGGAGTGAGAGAGGGAGTTGGGAGGGCCACACACTTTTAAATGACCAGATCTCATATGAACTCAGAGTGAGAGCTCACTTATCACCAAGGGGATGGCTCAAGCTATTCATGAGGGATCTGCCTCCACGATCCAAAAACTTCTTCCCACCAGGCTCCACCTCCAACATTGGGGATTACATTTCAACATGAGATTTGGGCAGGGACAAATATCCAAACTACATCATTCTACTCCTGGCCTTTCCACAAATCCCATGTCCTCACTTTGCAAAATGCAATTATGCCTTCCCAACAGTCCCCCAAAGTCTTAACTCATTCTGGCACTAATTCAAAAGTCTAAAGTCCAAAGTCTCACCTGAGATGAGGCAATTCCCTTCCATATATGAGCCCACAAAATCAAAGGCAATTTATTTACTTCCAAGATACAATGTGTAAATAGGCATTGGGTAAACATTCCCACTCCAAAAGGGAGAAATTGGCCAAAAGAAAGGAGCTACAGGCCCCAAGCAGGTCCAAAACCCATCACGGCAGTGATTAAATCTTAAAGCTCCAAAATAGTGCCACCTCCAGGGCACACTGGTGCAAGGAGTGGGCTCCCAAGGTCTTGGGCAGCTCTACTTTTGTGGCTTTGCAGGTTTCAGTCCCCAAGGTTGCTCTCAAAGCTTGTTGAGTGCCTGTGGCTTTTCCAGGTGCAAGGTACAAACTGTCAGTGGATCTACTATTCTCAGATCTGGAGCATGGTGTCCCCTTCTCACAGCTCCACTAGGCAATGCTGCAGTGGGGATTCTGTGTGAGGCCTCCAACCCCACATTTCCCCTCCGTACTGCCCTAGTAGAGGTTCTCTGTGAGGGCTCCACCCCTATAGCAGGCTTCTGCTTGGACACACAGGCTTTTATTGTTTTTTTTTTTTTACCGAGTCCTGCACTGTCCCCTGGGCTGGAGTGCAATGCCGTGATCTCGGCTCACTGAAATCTCCACCTCCTAGGTTCACATGATTCTCCTGCCTCAGCCTCCCAAGTAGCTGGGATTACAGGTGCACATCACCATGCCCAGCTAATTTTTTTTTGTATTTTTAGTAGAGACGGGGTTTCACTACGTTGGCCAGGCCGGTCTCAAACTCCTGACCTCATGATCGATCGGCCTCGCCCTCCCAAAATGCTAGGATTACAGGTGTGAGCCACCATGCCCAGCCCACTCAGGCTTTTCCATACATCCTCTGAAATCTAGGTGGTGGCTTCCAAGAATCCACCACTCTTGCACTCTGTGCACCTGCAGGCTTAACACCACATGGAAGCCACCAAGGCTTGTGGCTTGCATTCTCCAAAATGGCAGCCTGAGCCATACCTGGGCCTCCTTGAGCCACAGCTGGTGCTGGAGCCAAAGCAGCCAGGATTCAGGGAGCAGTGCTCCAAGGCTGTGCAGACAGTAGGGGTCCTGGCCCGTGAAATCATTCTTCCTTCCTAGGCCTCTGAGCCTATGATGGGAGGGGCTGCCCCAGAGACTTCTTAAATGCCTACCAGGACTTTTTTCCATTGTCTTGACTGTCAGTGCTTACCACTTGCCTCCTTTTGATTATTCAAATATCTCTAGTAAGTGTTGTTCTGCAGACTGTTTGAATTCCTGTCCTAAAAAAGCTTTTTCTTCCTCTATCACATGGCCAGGCTGCAGATTTTCCAAACTTTTATACTCTGCATCTCTTCTAAATATAAGTTGCAATTTTAAGTCATTCATTTGCTCCCACATCTGAGCATAGGTTGTTAGAAGCAGCCAGGCCACATTTGAATGCTGTGCTGCTTAGAAATTTCTTCCACCAGATACCCTAGGTCATCATTCTCAAGTTCAAACTTCCACTGATCCCCAGGATGTAAACAGAATGCAGCCAAGCTCTTTGCTAAGGCATAATATGCATGACCTTTGCTCCATTTTTCAGTAAGTTCCTTATTCCCATCTGAGACCTTTGCAGCCTGGACTTCACTGTTCATAATTCTATTAGCATCTTGGTTGCAACCATTTAGCCAGTCTCTAAGAAGTTCTAAATTCTCTCTCATCTTCCTGTCTTCTTCTGAGCCCTCCAAACTCTTCCGTCCTCTACCTATTACCCAGTTTCAAAGTTGCTTTCACATTTTCAGATATCTTTATAGCAATGCCCCACCCCTCAGTACCAATTTTCTGTTAAGCTGTTCTTGCATCACTACAGAGGAATACCTGAGACTGGGTAATTGATATAGTTTGGCTCTGTGTCCCCACTCAAATCTTATCTCGAATCGTAATCCCCATGTGTTGAGGGAGGGACCTGGTGAGAGGTGATTGTATCATGGGGGTGGTTTCCCCCATGCTGTTCTTGTGATATTGAGTGTGTTCTCATGAGATCTGATGGTTTAAAAGTGTTTGGCAGTACCCCACCTCTTCTGCTGCCATGTAAGACATGCTTTGCTTCCCCTTCCCCTTCCACCATGATTGTAAGTTTCCTGAGGCCTCCCAGACATACAGAACTATGAGTTAATTAAACCTCTTTCCTTTATAAATTATCCAGTCTCAGGTCATTATTTACAGCAGTGTGAAAACAGGCTAATACAGTAATTTATAAGACAAAAAGATTTAGTTGGATCACATGCAGGCTATATAGGAAACAAAATACTAGAACATTCTTCTGAGGAGGGAAGCTTTTACTCATGGCAGAAGGCAAAATGGGAGCAGGCACTTCACATGGCAAAAGCAGGAGGGAGAGAGATTTGAGGGGAGTGCCACAAACTTTTAAACAACCAGATCTCATGTGAACTCAGAGCAAGAGCTCATCTATCATCAAGGGGATGGCCCAAGTCATTCATGAGGGATCTGTCCTCATGATACAAACACTTCCCACCAGGCCCCACTTTTAACATTGGGGATTACATTTAAACATGGGACTTGGGTGGGGACAAATATCCGAAGTATATTAGATGGCTAAACCAAGTTCTCTAAACAGAAAGAAATGATAAAAGGAGGAAACTGGGAACATGAGAAAGGGAGAAAGAACAGTGGAAAGAATTTTAAAAATAGATAAATATAATACATTTTCTTTCTCCTATTGAGTTTTCTAAATTATGTTTGACAGCCAAAGCAAAAATTATAACACCCTCTATAACACTATCTTATGTGGTTTTAAATCTATTATAGAAAATATTTAAGACAACTATGTTATACACAGTAGAAGATAAAGGGACTAAAAGGAATGTGAGGCTTCTATATTTCACTCCAATTGGCACTCTGGTGGGTTATGTTAATAGTGGAGAAGGTTATATATAGATGGGCAGGGAGTATGTGGGAAACCTCTGTGTTTTCCCTTCAATTTTGCTTTGAAACTAAAATTGCTCTAAAGTCTAATAAAAAATGCATCTACCAGATCAAAAGCTGCATGCCACATACTAGAAACTACATTGAATACCCTTGTAAAGACAGCATATCCACCCAGCTGCAACTGGACCTACCACTGTGCCTTAAATCAGTAACTGGCTCACTTAAGTTTGTTATTTCCTCAACACATCCATAGCATCAACCAATTTTACATCCTTCTAGTGACTATTTCACCACATGTCCTACACACCAGAGTTATTGCACAAGCCACTGCATCTTTTTCTAATTGTACCTTGTCCCTATTTACCCCAGATAAACCACAACTATTCACATGCTCCTGTCATTGGTGATGAGCTCCCAGGACTACTTCCATACCAACTGTCTCAAGTTGCATTCCTCAGGAGCAGACTCTGAGGTGAAGATTTCTATGAGTTATTTGTGGTGGAAATGCCACCAGAAGAAACCAAGATGAGGAAGCAGGGCAAGGAATGAGAAGGGGCTGAACAGGGTAAAATTTCAAGCAAAGTCCCAGAATAAGTAGCCTCAGATTGATCTCAGAGTGTGACCTAACTCTAGCCAGGCTTCTTAAATTCTCTTCTCAACTAGGCTCTGACGTGTGTATGTCTGAGTCCATCTTTGCATTGTCCAGTGTTAGCAAGAATCCTTCTTAATTGGTTTAGCCAGAACATGCCACCGTCGATATCTGATCATCCTTGATATCTGATCAGGTTCTTCCTCTTCCACCATCCCTCAGGTGATGTCTGATCACCTTGGCCTGGCTTCAGCAAGAATCCTGTGAGGTCACTTTAGCAAAAAAACAAAACAAAACAAAAACAGCAATGACAACAACAACAACAAAAAACCTCCTTAGCCCTGATTACCTCTTAGTAATTTTCTACCCTCTGATCCCTACCATGCTCCCTGGCCATAAATTCCCCCGTTTCCTTTTGCATTCAGAGATAAGCCCCATCTCTCTCCCCTACTGCAAACCCCAATTGCAGTCATCCTTATGCCTGCCATGATATGCACCCCGTGGATAAAGTCTGGGTATAAATTATATCTCAGAAACATCCCATGTAGACTCCCTTTCAAGCTTCCTAAGCTGAGGGTTGTCATGGGGGATGTCCTCTGAATATAGGAGCAGAGTAGCCTGGGGAAAGTCATGTGAAGAAGCATCACAGGTTCCTGCTATCAGGGACAAAAGTAAGCTTTGGAGAGGCCCAGTGCTGACCAATGGGATTCCAAGGAGTCTGGGTGGGACAGCAACAGGGCTGGCCTCCTCCACGGTGTCTGTCCCACCCACAGGATCATGTGAGCTCTGCAGCTCCTCTGTTCAACACACTCCTTTTCTGATCCTATCCCAACTCCCTGAAGGCAGAACACATCTTCTTGTATCCTCCCTAATGCCTAGCAGTATGAATGATCCACACTGTGCTGAAAACACTAAAGACATCTCTCTGCAAAGCTTGGATCACTTACTTAGCACCCCTGACTGTGAGCAAGAAGGCTTGCCTCAACATTGGTCCTGAGGAAGGGCTCCAAGTGCATTCCACTGGCTGTCCTAGGGCAGAGCAGTGCATGGTGTGGCTGAGAGTGAGTGGACAAATTAAGTTTCACCAGAGAATTTTTAGAAAAATGTCCCAAAGTGGTCTAGTCATCCAGTCATCCCCCACACTCACAGATACTGTTGTCCCTACACAGTGTAAGGCAGGATTCTAAATTCATTTTCAACTTGCATGGCTTTTACTTTTTTATTGTTTGTCTTATAATCTGTTAAGTGCTTTTTTGTATGCCAGGAACAGAGATGACTTCTTGAAGTAAATTATCCCCATATGGGCTTAAAGAGGAGGTATTTCTACTGTCTGCTAGAGAAAACACCCGAGGCCTGCAGGTTAGGGGCTTACTCGTGATTGCTTTGAGGGGCATAAGCAGAATGGGATGAGCCTGCAGCTTCACCCCCATCTGCACCCTCCTGCACTTTCACGTTTCTGCTGTGATTCACCCTCCCCCAGAGCCTGGCTTTAGCCTTAGCTCTGCTACACTGGAGACCCAGCTGGATGTTGCCACCAGAGGCATTTCTATATTCCTTTAAATATATCTAGCTATCCCTGCAATGGTTAATCTGTCTCATCTCCCCTGTTATTGTTACAGGACCAACAGGTTTCTTAGTCCATTGTGCATGTGCAGACCAATACACTGAGACAGCAGGGTTTGCAGCAGAGAAAGAGCTTAATGATGATTGATAGGATAGCTGAGTGAGAAGATGGGAGGGACCCTCAAATCCATCTCCCCAAGGAGGTCTAGACAGGGATTTTTAAAAGAATCATTGTGGAGGGCAAGGGGCTGGAAAATTGGGTCACTGATTGGCCAGGTAAAGGGGATGAAATCATTAAGATGTGGGAAACTGCATTCTTTGGTGAGTCATCTTCTCATGGGGCCCTTTGGACAAGCTGAGTCAGTAGTTTCATTGGTTTGCAAGACCTGAAAGAATATCTCAGATGGAAAACTTAATGTTTCACAATGCCCAGGCTGTTATCTACAGAGCAGTTACAGGGACCTATAATCTAGAATCTACATGATTCTAGGGCAACAGACGGAAAACAGCTATGAGGAAGCAGGTCAGAGAACAAGCTGACCTAGTGATTAATGCTGAGCTGTTTCTCCCCCCTTTTTTCTTGATTAATTGTATAACATTTGTAAGGACTGTTTCACTAGTCACTACCAATTCAAGGGCAGAGCTCTTTGTGCATTTCATTTCTCCATTCCCTAGAATGCTGTGTGTGTAGTATATCTGCAGTGTGGATTCACTGTTGGGATAAACTGCTCATGCTCAGTGCTTGCATATTAACAGGCAGGCATGCTGATCCTCCAATTCAGAATGTTTTTGTGTGATTTGGAGCTGTGTTCTGTTGAAAGATTTTATTTTGAGGGCTGAATATATCTAAAAGCAAGAAGACACCTTTGATATCCCAAGTTGTGTCATTATTAAAAGTAAAAATAAATTAGCATCTCCATGGCTATAGTGTTTTATATTCATATTTTTGTCTCTTCATCAAGCCATCTGCTTGCATAATTTCATTTCTATTCTACAGACACCCACAGGCAGCCCGCCACTGGAATCACACTCCCAGCTTGTCCTGCCCTAATCCTCAGGAAAGATAAATGAGAAGTCTGCAGGTCTCTTTCATTTAATCTTCATGACCATCTTTGAGGTACATTTTATGATCTAAAGTGAGACCTTCAGGGATGACTTGTGACCTGCCTGTTGTTAAGGAGCTGGAAGAAGACTGGACCATAGCCCCTGACTGCTCAGCTCTGTGGCTGTTCCGAGAGCCCACCCACTCTGCCCTCCTGGCCTCACAGGGACCTCAGCACACACGGATCCTTTGCCCCCTACTCACACACCCTGAGCTTTCTTCCCTCACTGGGTTACTATGACAGAATCTGCAAGCCCTGGAAATTCCTCTCAGAAAGTTGCTATAGAAACTCCCAGTGGGGGTGTCTGGAGGATGTGGTGTGAATCCTCGCAGCTGATGCATGCAGCCGTGTGCAATGAGCATGGCAGCTCCCAATCAAGCCCCCAACATTTCTCACCCAACATGTGCCATCCCAGAGCGCGGAGGAGGAAGCCGCTCTACTCTTTTGCTGCTAACTCCAGCCTTGAAAAGAGAGCCTTCCCTCTTCTGATCTCAGGGAAAGTGCAGGGCTTATTGAACTCACCCACCTCAGTTCAGAGACAGTGAAACTGAGGCCCAGGGTTGCCATCCATTATGCAGGGATTGCCAATAGCCAAAGACAATGGGGCACCACTGCCCCATGGAGTGGCCACATGCCACACTCCCTCCCTTGGCAGGACAGGGGTCAGGGAGCCTTGCCCCCAGCTGGGGTTTGGGTGATAACCTCTTCCCTCCTGCATCTCCTCAAAGACCTCTGGTTCTTGCCCAAAAGCTATCTGGCTCCGTCAGCTCCAAACTCAATGAAATCTTGCAGATCACCAACTTGTTGTTTTGAGAGAAAGCCAGTGGCCCCTGCTGCTCACAGCAGCTCAGGCTAACGGACACAGCCTTGGATGTGGAGGCAAAGGGCCTCAGCTCAAAGTCCAGCTCCACTACATTCTAGCTGTGTGCTCTCAGTTTCCCTTTCTGTAGCAGGGTCATTTTGATCTCCTAAGGCAGCCTTGAGGATTCAATGAGGTCTCACGTGTACTCCTCAGCTGCACTGTTCAAGAGAACGGAGAACTCACCATGCCAGGAGCACTGGAGAGCAAGGAAACAGGAGGGGCCCTAAGATGCACCTTTGTGGCTAACTCAGACCCTTGCCTGGATGCTGCCTCCTTAGAGGGGCCCCCTGGTGGGCAGGGCCAGGACAGTTGGATGGGAACTCAGGGCACTTAATTCCACATGTTGACAAATGACTGCGTTTTCACAGGGTTGCCTATGAAAATTTCTCTTTTCACACAGTTCTTAAAATAAATCTTGTTGAAAGGAGGGATTCACAGAGGAGAAGTGACAGATATATCCTGTTCTACATAAGATGACTAATATCCCACAAATGTTCACAAGAAGCATAAGCCCGAGAATGTCACAGACACAAAGGGCCTTGGAGACAGGGGCTTCGTGGCCCATATAAGGAATGGGAAGCCAAGAGCGAGTGCTCCTTTTTCAGCCAGCTAAAATCCCACTTAACACCTTCTGAGTACCTACTATGTGTGAGACTTGGTGCAGGGTACAGGGCAAGCTTAGAGATGGAAGAAAGCGGCAGTCCTCTGCTCTAAGAGGTTTATAGTGCAAGTAGGTGATTAAGACACAGGGAAATATAATACTGGGAAGAATTGGGGAAGGGGTGCCAAAAACAGATATAAGCTATGAGCTCCTGAAAATTGAAGGATTGCATTCTCTACTTTGTGGACACAGGGGAGAGGAAGATAAGTCTAAAAGACTTTTATTGGAGTTGTGGGTTTCTAAGATTGACCACAATATATTGGTATTTTTGTATTATCAGTCTATTTATAAGAACCCAGCCTTTTAAAAAATGCAAATGTGAATAAACTTTTAAGAAAAAGAAAGTCCACTTGAACATGATTTAAAAGATTAAATATTGGTACAAATGAGATATTTTTAAAATAATATATTATGAAATATTACATATTATGTTTTCAAAGTATATTTATTGACATCCAGAAATGTACCAGACCAGACTGGAGAGGACCCTGGCTATGGTCTAAATGTATCCCCCAAAATGCATGTGTTAGAAACTTAATCTCCAAAGCAGTGAGGTTGGGAGGTGGGGCCTAACGGGAGGTGTTTAGGTCAAGGTTAGAGCTGCTGTATGAAGGGCTTGCAGGTGTGGATGTGGTCTCTTCTGCTCCTCCGTCATGTGATAACACAGGGTTCCACCCCTCAGGAGGATGCAGCATTCAAGGCACTATCTTTGAAGCAGAGACTAGACTTCCACCAGGTGCCAGCACTTTGATCTTAGACTTCCCAGTCAACAGAACTGTAAGAAATAAATTTCTGTTCCTTACAAATTGTTCAGTCTCAGGCATTCTACTATAGCAGCGCTACATGGAATAAGATGCCTCTCCTCTCTAACAGAATGTAATGCTCAAAGGAGAAACAGGAATAGCTGGCAGAAAGCAGAGACCAGAGAAAACCTACAAACTGCCTGAACATTCAGTGAATTTCCCACCTCGGACATGGAACCATTAGCCTTGTGGATCAAGACGTTTAAGCATAGACGCTGACCAGTAATTGGCTGATCACTACATGATGCTGACCAAGTGGCAACCCTAGGAATCCAGCCTTAAAAATTGAAAACAAGATTTTTTTTTAATGAGGAAAAACAACTTTGGATGCATACTTTGGAAGAAACCATTCTAAAGAATTGGTACGGAAGGGTCAGTAAGTAAATCAACAAAAAATTTACAAAAAGAAACAACAACCCTAGGGGAAGGGGAGAGTGGAATCGGAATCTAGAGTTGTTGTAATATATGATCTAAACTGGTTTTCAAGAAAAAATTAGGAGACAAGCAAAAAACCCAGGAAAGTGCTACCCATATACAGGAGAAAAAGCAGTCAATAGAAATTGTTTCTGAGGTACCCTACACCGATAATAAACCAACTATTATAAATATGTTCAAAGAACGGAAGAAACGGTGTTTAAGAATAAAACAAAAGTATGATGACCATGGCTTATCAAATTAAAACTATCAATAACTATATATAAATTATAAAACGTAACAAAATAAAAATTATTGTGTTGAAAAGTGCTGTCATTGAAGTGAAAATTTCACTGAAGAGTTTCAGTAGCAGACTTTAGCTGGCAGAAGAGATAAGCAAACTTGTGGACAGATCAATATAGACCATCCAATCTGAAGAACAGAGAGAATTTTTTTAAAAAATTGAACACAGCTCCCAGAGAAGGAGAGAGAAAAAGGCAGAAAAAATATTTGAAGAAACAGTGGCTGAAAATATCCCACACATGATTTTTTAAACTAATTTACACTTCCAAGAAGTTCAACAAACTCCAACTAAAATAAATTCAAAGAGATTCACACCTTAACAAATTATAATCAAATTGTTGAAAGAGAAAATTTTGAAAGCAGCAAAAGAAAAATGACTCATGAAGTACAAGGAACCACAATAAAATTAACATTTTATTGTGATGAGATTTTCCATCAGAAACAATCAGAAGCTAGAAAGCAAAGTGCTAAAAGAAAAAGAAAAGTCAACCAAGTATTAAGTATTCAACAAAACTATCCTTCAAAAAAAAAAGTAAAATAAAGACATTACCAGATAAACAAAGACGGAAGAGAAATGACACCAGTTACTTGAATCTGTATATATAAAAAAAACTGGTAAAAATAATTACACAGGTAAATATAAAATCTGCTTAAGTATATTATTTCTTATATTCTTCTCTTATTTTAAACACTTTGCAGAGAAAAATTAGAATTGTTGGATTTTAACCTATACTTATAGATTATAATAATAGGTAAATTTCATATAAACAGTAAAATAGAACAAAGAAGGGGAGAAATAGAGTTCTATTGGATATCTATATTTTACTGGAAAAATGTTAGTATTAATCTGAAGCAGATTGTGATAAATTAAGATACATATTGTAATTCACAAATTGTGATAAGATACGTATTGTAATCCACAAATAAACCATAAAAAATCCCTTAAAATGTAGTAAAAAAAAAAAAGAAAAGAATTAAACAGTACAATAGAAGTATCTAACACGAAAGACAGTTAAAAGCAATGTATGAATTAAAAAGATATGGAACATATAAAATTAAATAGCAAAACAAGATATACATTAAATCACATAAATAATTACACCAAATGTAAATAGATTGAACATTTCAATAATAGTTTTAGAGAATGTCAAATTGGGTAAAAATAATAAGACTTAAGAGACACCTTTTCTAAGAACATCTAAGAACACAAATAGGTTTAAAGTAATAGAATGGAAATAGATAAACAATACAAATAGTAACCCTAAGAAAACTGGAGTGTCTATATTAGTATCAAACAAAATGAAATTACAGTATATCAATATTTATGGGATACAGCAGTGCTTAGGGAAATTTTCGTGGTTTTTAAATGACTTTTTTAGAAAAGAAAAAAGTAAGGTTTCATCTTAATTTACTAGAAAAGGAAGAGTAAACTAAATCTTAAACAAGCAGGAGAAAAGAAATAATAAAGATTAGAGAGGAAATCCATTAAACAGACAAAACAAAAATAGTGAATGTGAATAAAATGAAATTTTTTAAAAATTGCTAAACCTTTGCACAGACTGGTAATGAAGCAGAGAAGACACAAGTTAGCAAAATTACGAGTGAAAGAGAAGACATCTCTTCTCTTTCAGATCTTGCAGAAATGAAAATAATTATCAAAGAATACTATCATCACCTTTATGCCAATAGATTACACAACTAGATGAACAATTGCTAGCGAAACACAAATTACTAAAACTGACTCAAAAGTAAGCGGAAAATGTGAATAGTTCTAAAATAAGACCTGTATCCATCTGATCTTCAACAAAGTCAATAAAAATAAGCAATGGGGAAAGGACTCTCTATTCAATAAATGGTGCTAGGATAACTGGCTAGCCATATGCAGAAGAATGAAATTGGACCCCTACCTTTCACCAACTACAAAAATTAACTCAAGATGGATTAAAGATTTAAATGTAAGACCTCAAATTATAAAAATCCTAGAAGGAAACCTAGGAAATGCCATTTTGGCAATGGCCTTGGCAAATAAATTTTGGCTAAGTCTTCAAAAGCAATTGCAACAAAAACATTGACAAGTGAGACTAAATTAAACTAAAGAGCTTCTGCACAGCAAAAGAAACTATCAACAAGTGAGCAGACAACCTACAGAATGGGAGAAAATATTCACAAACTATACATCAGACAAAGGTCTAATACCTAGAATCTATAAGGAACTTAAACAAACCAACAAGGAAAAAACAAATAACCTCATTAAAAGAGGGGCAAAGGATATGAACAGACATTTCTCAAAAGAAGACATACAGGCAGCCAACAAACATGAAAAAATGCTCAACATCACCAATCATCAGAGAAATGTCAGCAAGGCTGCAGAGAAAAGGAAACACTCATACACTGTTGGTGGGAATGTAAATTAGTTCAGCAACTACGGAAAGCAGTTTGGAGATTTCTCAAAGAATTTAGAACTACTATTCCACTCAGCAATCCCACTACTGGGTATATAACCAAAGAAAAAATAAATCATTCTACCAAAAAGACACATGCGCCAGTATGTTCATTACAGCACTATTCACAATAGCAAAGACATGGAATCAACCTAGATGCCCATCAATGGTAGACTGGATAAAGAAAATGTTGTGTGTGTGTATATATATATATATATAAAATGGAATACTACAGAGCTATAAAAAGAATGAAGTCAGGTCCTTTGCAGCAACACAGATGCAGCTGGAGGCTATTATCCTAAGCAAATTTGTGCAAGAATGGAAAACCAAATACCACATGTTCTCACTTATACATAGAAGCTAAACATGGGGTACACATGAACATGAAGTTGAGAACAAAAGACACTAGGGATACTAGAAGGGGGTGAGAAGAAGGGGACCAAGAGCTGAAAAACTACCTATTGGGCACTATGCTCACTACTTGGATGATGGGACTATTCATACGTCAAACCTCAGCATCAACACAATATACCCATGTAACAAAACCTGCACATGTACCCCCCTGAACCTAAAATAAAAGTTGAAATTATTTTAGAAATAAAATAGTAGGCCGGGCGCGGTGGCTCATGCCTGTAATCCCAGCACTTTGGGAGGCCAAGGTGGGCAGATCATGAGGTCAGGAGATCAAGACCATCCTGGCTAACACGGTGAAACCCCGTCTCTACTAAAAATACACACACACACAAAAATTACCTGGGTGTGGTGGCGGGCGCCTGTAGTCTCAGCTACTCTGGAGGCTGAGGCAGGAGAATGGCGTGAACCCAGGAGGCGGAGCTTGCAGTGAGCCAAGATCGCGCCACTGCACTCCAGGCCTGGGCGACGGAGCGAGACTCCGTCTCAAAAAAAAAAAAAAAAAAGTAATAAAATAGTAAAGAAATTAACCTGGTATTTAAAAATCTTTCCAAAGGATAAAGGTCATGCCCACATGGCTTGAAAGAAAGTTTCAGGGAGTATACAAGTCTAAGTTGCCAGTTATCTTCTCCCAGAACTTACTCTAACTTCTACTGGTTTCATACTGCTTCTATACTTTATTCCTTTGTAGGTAATCTGTCTCTTCTTTCAGTTAGTTCTAATAGATATATAGACATAGATATGCATTCTTATTTAATATATAGTTATGAAATTGCATGTAAATATCTTAAATACATGCATATACCAATATTATAAATATATGTTGCATAAGAATTATAATTACATATTTAAGGTACTTGTATTAATATTTAATATATATAGTCATCTCTCAGTATATGCAGGGGATTGGTTCCAGGGCCCAAGCACATGCCCAAATCTGCACATACTCAACTCCTGCAGTCACCCCTGCCACGGAACTCACGTATAAGAAAAGTCTGCTCTCCCTATACAAGGGTTTCACGTTCCACAAATGCTGTATTTCTGTTTGGTTGAAAAACATCCACGTGTAAGTGGACCTGTGCCAGTTCAAACCCATGTCGTTCAAGGGTCAACTATAAATTGGTGCAGTCTCTTATTTATTCTGAAGTTTTATCTTCCCTTTAAAAAAAATTTATCCATCATTTTTAGGAGATTTACAATGAGAGATTTTCCAGACAATCTAGTTTGCCCTATTGCTGAAAATATAACTTTCATTTAAATTTGTAATCCTTCTGGAATTGGTTTTTATTTATGGTGTGGCATGGTTATTATTATTATTTTATACCTAAAACCAATTGTCCTGGAACCATTTTGGGAATAGTCTATGTTTTCCCAAGGATCTGCCTTTCTGCTTTTTTTTGTACAATGCAACAATGTTGAATTTTCCTGAGTCCCATGATCCTGAAAAACAATGACGTTTAAGAAATCCTTCCTAATTATTTTTACCTTGCTTGTCTATCCTGAAACTTTACTGAAATCATTTGTCAAGTCTAGGAGTCTTTTGGAGAAGTCTTTAGGGTTTTCTAGATATAAGATCATGTCATCAACATGACTTTCTCTTTTCCAATTTGGATGCCTTTTATTTATCTTGCCTCGTCGTTCTGGTATGACTTCCAATGCTATGTTAAACAGGAGTGATGAGGGTGGACATCCTTGTCTTGTTCCAGTTCTTAGGGTGAATGCTTCCAACTTTTCCCCATTTAGTATGATGTTAGCTGTAGGTTTGTCATAGATGACTCTTATTATTTTGAAGCATGTTCCTTTGATGCCTAGTTTGCTGAGGATTTTAATCATGAAGAGATGTTGGATTTTTTTTTTTTTTTGAGATAAGGTCTTGCTTTGGAATCCAGGCTGTAGTGCAGTGGCACAATCATAGCTCACTGCAGCCTCAAACTCCTGGATTCAGGCAATCCTCCTGCCTCAGCCTCCTCAGTAGTTGGGACCACTAATGTGTGCCACCATGCCTGGTTATTTTTATTTTAGGTAGAACAGGGATCTTTCTATGTTGCTCAGGCTGGTATTAGGGTGTTGGATTTTATTGAATGCCTTTTCTGCATCTATTGAGATGATCATATGATTTTTGTTTTTAGTTCTGTTTATGCGAAGAATCACATTTTTCGATTTGCAAATGTTGATCCATCCTTGTATCCCTGGAATAAAACCCAATCGATTATAATGAATTATCTTTTTCATGTGCTATTGCATTTGGTTTGCTAGTATTTTGCTGAGAATTTTTGCATCTCTGTTCATCAGGGATATTGGCCTGTAGTTTTCTTTTTTAGTTTTGTCCTTGCCAGATTTTGGTATCAGGGTGATACAAGTTTAGTAGAAAGAGTTAGGAAGGATTCCTCCTCCTCTATTTTTTGGAATAGTTTCAGTAAGGTTGGTACTAGCTCTGCTTTGTGCATCTGGTAAAGTTTGGCTGTTAATTTATCTGGTACTGAGCTTTTGTTTTTTGGAAGTTTTTAAATTACTGATTCAATTTCACTACTTGTTATTAATCTGTTCAGGATTTCTATGTTCATAGAAGCACTATTCACAATAGCAAGTCATGGAACCAACCTAAATGTCTATCAGTGGTTGCCTGAAAAAGAAAATGTGGCATATACACACCAAGGAATACTATGCAACCATAAAAAAGAATACAGCTGTGTCCTTTGCAACAACATGGATGCAGCTGGAAGTCATTATCCTAAGTGAACTAACTCAGAAACAGAAAACCAAATACTACATATTCTCACTCGTAAGTAGAAGCTAAAAAATGGGTACACATGGACTTAAAGATGGAAATAATAGACACTGGGGACTCCAAAAAGGGGGAGGGTGGGGAAACAAGTGTTGAAAAATTACCTATTGGGCATAATGTTCACTATTTGGGTAATGGGTACACTAGAAGCCTAATCCCTACCGGTATGCAGTATTCCCATACAGAAAATAATCACATTTACCCCCGAATCTAAAATAAAATTTAATTTTTTAAAAAAAGAATCCCTCCAACCTTAGTGTTCTGTAAAAGGGCTTACTGCAAAGAACGACCCTTTCCCAAATGATTTTGATAAGACTCATAGATGTCCCCTTGTTTATCTATGAAAGGGTCAGAAATAGGCCTTTGAAATTCCTACTCTTTGCTTCATAAATGATTCACTGTACTGCTTGTCCACAAAGATCAGTCAGAACGAAATGCTTCTAATCAAACTTCTGTTAAGCATCTCTTCTTCCTCCAGGCCCCTGAATGAGCTCTGGCCCACTCTCAGCCTGAACCATATACAACCCCCTCCTGAGAATAGGCTGACTTCTGACAAAACATCCTCTGATCAAATTTCTAGAAAGACACAAATTACCAAAACTAACTCAAAAAGAAGTAGAAAATGTGAATACTTCTAGAGCAAGCAAAGAACTTGTTTGATGGAATCTTACTTGTTCGTTTTTGCTTGGGTTGCCTGTAGTTTTGAGGTCATATCCAAAAAATCGTTACCCAGATCAATCTCAAGAAGTTTTCCCCTAGGTTTTCTTCTAGTAGTTTTACAGTTTCAGGTCTTGCCTTTAAGTCTTTAATCAATTTTTAGTTGATTTGTGTATATGGTATGAGATAAGAATCCAATGATATTCTTCTGTATGTGATTATTCAGTTTTCTCAACATCTTTCATTGAAAACGCCATTCTTTCCAATTGTACATCCTTGGCACTTTTGTTGAAGATCAATTGATCATAAATGTATGAATTAATTTCTGGGATATCTGTTGTGCTTCATTGTTCTATATGTCTGTTTTTATGCCAGTACCATACTGCTTTAATTACTATAGTTTTGAAAGTATTTTGAAATTGAGTAGTGTGATGCCTCCAGCTTATTTTTCTCATCTTGGCTATATCAGGTCTTTTGTGATTCCATATGAATTTTAGAATTGTCTTTTTCTGTGAAAAATGTCATTGAAATTTCGATACGGATTGCACTGAATATGTACATAGTTTTGGGTGTTATGGATATTTTAACAATATTAAGCTTTCTAATCCATGAACATAGGATTTATTTTCATTTATTTGTGTCCTCTTCAATTTGTCTCATCAATGTTTTATAGTTTTCCATATAGAGATCTCTCACCTCCTTGAATAAATTCATCACGAAGTATTTTTTGATGCTATTGTAAATGGGATTATTTTCTTTATTTTCTTTTTCGTATTGTCTGTTGTTTGAGTAATACTACTGCTTTTTGTATGGTGATTTTGTATCTTGCAAATTTACTAAATTTTTATTAGTTTTAAGAGTTTTTCTAGTGGAGCCTTTAAGGTTTTCTATAAGCAAGACTATGTCATCTTCAAACACAGACAATTTAACTTCTTCCTTCCTAATTTGGATGCATTTTTTTCTTTGTCTTACCCAATTGCTCTAGGTAAGACTTCCAATACTATATTGAATAGAAGTAGCAAAAAACATCATTGTCTTGTTCCTGATCACCACTGAGTATGATACTAGCTGTGGGCCCGTCATATAAGGACTTCATTATGTTGAGGTATACATGAAGGGATGTTAAGTTTTGTCAAATGCTTTTTTCTGTATCTATTGAGATGATCATATGCATTTTGTTCTTTATTCTGTTAACGTAATGTATTACCTTTATTGATTTTCATATGTTGAAACATCCTTGCTTTCCTGGGATAAATCCCACTTGGCCGTGGCATTGGACTTTTTGGAATTTGGTTTGCTATTGTTTTGTTGAAAATATCTGCAACTATGTCCATCGGGGATATTGGTCTAATTTTCTTTTTTCTTCTTCTTTTTTTTTTTTTGTTGGTGGACTTGTCTGGCTTTAGTATTGGGGAAATGCTGGACTTAAAATAAGTTTGACAGTATTCTCTCCTCTTCAGCTTTTGGAAGAGTTTGAGGATTGGCATTAATTTTTTAAATGTTTGGAGAATTCACCAGTGGAGCCATCCAGTCCTATTCTTTCTGGGGAGGATTTTCATTGCAAATTGAATCTCCTTACTCATTATTTGTCTGCTCAGATTTTATATTTCCTCATAATTCAGTCTTGGTAAGGTTGTTTGTTTCTAGAAATTATCCATTTCTTCCAGCCTATTTAATTTGTTGGCATATAATTGTTCATAGCAGTCTCTTATGATCCTTTATATTTCTGTGGTATCAGTTCTAATGATTCCTCTTTATTTTATAATTTTATTTATTTGTTCCTTCCTCATTTTGTTCTTAGTTAATATAACTAAAGGTTTGTTGGTTCTGTTTGTTTTTTAAAAACAAGTCTTAGTTTCATTAATCCTTTCCATTAGATTTTACTCAATTTCATTTATTTCTGCTCTGAATTTTATTATTGTCTTCCTTCTGCTAACTTTTTGGGTTTAGTTTGTTCTCCTTTTTCTATTTCCTTGAAGTGTAGATTGTTTGTTACATATCTTTCTTTTTCATAATGTAGTTGTTTATCATTACATACTTCCCTTTCAGACTGCCTTTGGCACATCTTACACGTTTTGATTTGTTGTGTTTCCATTTTAGTTTGTCTCAAGATCTTTTTTTATTTCTTTTTAGATTTTTACCAGAAGTTTTGTTTAATTTTGTTCAGAAATGTTATTTCACTTTGATACAAATGTTAATTTTCCAATTTTCCTCCTGTTTTTGATTTCTAGTTTTATGCCATTGTGGTCAGAAAAGATACTTGCTATAATTACAGCCTTCTTATATTTGTTAAGACTTGTTTTGTGGCATAACATGTCAACTATCCTGGAAAATTTTCTAAGTGTGTTTGAAAACAATGTGTATTCTGCTGCTTTTAAATATACAAAATATTCTGTATATGTCTGTCAGGTAAATGTCGTCCATAATGTTGTTTTAAGTCTACTGTTTCCTGTCTTGATGATCATTGTTGTAAGCAGGGGTATTGTTCTCCCTATTGCTGTGTTGCTATCTATATTTCCCTTTAATTCTGTTAATATTTGTTTTACATATTTAGGTGCTCCAATGTTAGGTGTAGAGACGTTTACAATTACTATATCCTCTTTAGGAATTGACCACCTTATCATTATGTAATGACCTTTTTGGTCTTATATAAAAGTTTTTAACTTAGCTTACTTTTTCTGCTATAAATATAGCCACTCCTGCTCTCTTTTGATTACTCCTTGCATATAATATACTTTTCCAACCCTTCACTTTCAGCCCACGTATATCCTAAAAGCAAAAACCCTGGAGCAGAAACCAACACTACAGTGAGTACCAGGGTAGGAAAACTAAACTGTCATTGATGAGTTGCTAGACGACAATCTCAGAGTTAAAGTTGCTATGGACAAACTTGAGAGATAAAAACTCAAGGGATGCCCATTCTTGGGGGAAGAGAACTCATATTTTCATGAGTTTTACCTCCAGGGGTTCTGCTAGGTTCTGCGGCTATAGCATACTATAAACATAGCCTAACCCCTAACCAGATAAACATAAAGCCTCACACAAAGGCCTATTTACTTCAGTTCTTTTTACCTACCACATGATGTCTGGCTTTCAACGAAAAAAATTATGTGGCACATGAAAAGAGAAAGAAAATATAGTTTGAAAAGACAGAGGAAAGTATCAGAACCAGACTCAGATATGGCAGGGAATTTGGAATTATCAGACTAGAAATTTAAACAACTATGATTAAAATGTGATGGCTCTAATGGAAAAAGCAGCCACCATGCAAGAACAGATAACTGATGTAATCAGAAATATGGAAACTCCATGAATCAAAAATAAATCTAGGAGTTAGAAACTCTACAACAGAGATGAAGTATGTCTTTGACAGGCTTATCAACAGAGTGGAAATGGCCAAGAACAGAACCAGTGAATTGGAGGAAATTCCAAAAGAAGCTTCCAGAACTAAAATGCAAAGAGAACCACTGAAAAAGATAGAACAAAATATCCAAAAACCATTAAACGATTACAAAAGGAGAAACATCACCAGAGAGAGAAGAAAGAGAATATTTGAAGTAGTAATGACTGAGAATTTTCCAAAACTAAAAATGGACACTAAACCATAGATCCAAAAAGTTCAGAGAACACCAAGCAGGAGAAATACCAAAAAACTGATATGTAGGCGTATCATTTTCAAATGGCAGAAAACTAAAGACAAAGAGGAAATCTTGAAAAGAAGTCAAAGGACAAAACACAGCAACAAGCACCTATGGATCAACAAGGATAAGAATTACATCAGACGTCTCCTCAGAAAACATGCAAGTGAGAAGAGTCTGAAGTAAAATACTTAAAATGTTTAAAGGAAAAAAACCCCACCAACATAGAATTCTGTACCTAGTTTACTTATTATTTATAAATGAAGGCGAAATAAAGACTTTCTCAGACAAACAAAAATTGAGGGAATTTGTCACCAGTAGACCTGCCTTGCAAGAAATGTTAAAATATATTTTTCAGCAAGAAGAAAAATAACATAGATCAGAACTCTGATCACATAAAGAATGCAAGGTCATTAGAAAATGGATAAAGATTAAATTACTAATTGCTGGTGATGTGTTGAAACACCATTGATTTTTATATGTTGAGCTTGAATCCAGAAACTGATAACCCAAACTCAGTTAATAGTTCTAAATGTGTTGTCTTCAGATTATTTTGGGTTTTTATGTAAAATAATAATAATAATAAACTTGTCTATAAATAGCAAATGTTTTTTTTTTTATTTTTTATTATACTTTAAGTTTTAGGGTACATGTGCACAACGTGCAGGTTTGTTACATATGTATACATGTGCCATGTTGGTGTGCTGCACCCATTAACTCGTCATTTAACATTAGGTATATCTCCTAATGCTATCCCTCTCCCCTCCCCCCACCCCACAACAAGCCCCAGTATTCAGCAAAGTCTCAGGATACAAAATCGATGTGCAAAAGTCACAAGCATTCTTATACACCAATAACAGACAAACAGAGAGCCAAATCATGAGTGAACTCCCATTCACAATTGCTTCAAAGAAAATAAAATACCTAGGAATCCAACTTACAAGGGATGTGAAGGACCTCTTCAAGGAGAACTACAAACCACTGCTCAATGAAATAAAAGAGGATACAAACAAATGGAAGAACATTCCATGCTCATGGGTAGGAAGAATCAACATCATCCAAATGGCCATACTGCTGAAGGTAATTTATAGATTCAATGCCATCCCCATCAAGCTACCAATGACTTTCTTCACAGAATTGGAAAAAACTACTTTAAAGTTCATACGGAACCAAAAAAGAGCCTGCATCGCCAAGTCAATCCTAAGCCAAAAGAACAAAGCTGGAGGCATCACGTTACCTGACTTCAAACTATACTACAAGGCTACAGTAACCAAAACAGCATGGTACTGGTACCAAAACAGAGATACAGACCAATGGAACAGAACAGAGCCCTCAGAAATAATGCCGCATATCTACAATTATCTGATCTTTGACAAACCTGAGAAAAACAAGAAATGGGGAAAGGATTCCCTATTTAATAAATGGTGCTGGGAAAACTGGCTAGCCATATGTAGAAAGCTGAAAGTGGATCCCTTCCTTACACCTTATACAAAAATTAGTTCAAGATGGACTAAAGACTTAAATGTTAGACCTAAAACCATAAAAACCCTAGAAGGAAACCTAGGCAATACCATTCAGGACATAGGCATGGGCAAGGACTTCATGTCTAAAACACCAAAAGCAATGGCAACAAAAGCCAAAATTGACAAATGGGATCTAATTAAATTAAAGAGCTTCTGCACAGCAGAAGAAACTACCATCAGAGTGAACAGGCAACCTACAGAATGGGAGAAAATTTTTGCAATCTACTCATCTGACAAAGGGTTAATATCCAGAATCTACAATGAACTCAAACAAATTTACAAGAAAAAAACAAACAACCCCATCAAAAAGTGGGCCAAGGATATGAACAGACACTTTATTTTTTAATCTACCTTTTTCTTTTCTTATTGCATTTGGTAAGATCTCTAGGATATTGTTGAAGGAAAATCAACATAGCAGATATTCTTGTTTTGTCCTGAATATAAAGAAAACGCTTCTGAAATTTAACCATTAAGTATAATATTTGTTTTAATTTTTATTATATAATATTAATCTCAATACATAATATAATCATGATGAAAATCTACTATTATGATAAATATTTGATCATAAATGGCTTTTTATTGCACATTTTCAAGAACTTGAAATAATCACATATTTACTTGTCATATTTTAGTGCTGTAAGTTCCACTGGAAAATTTTCTCAATTCAACCATTTCTGAAGTGTATCCTGTATTAACATATTTGTGATTTTTTCCCCCACATTACTGTAATTAAAATTAGTATTCTGTCTGTCTCAGGTTTGGGCATGAAGCTTATGTTAGCCTCATGATTTAAGCTGATTACTTTTCCTTCTCTATGTATTCTATGTAGCAATGAAATTGAAGCCATTAGTATTTGTTATTTGAAAGTTTTCTAAAGCCCACTTGAAACACCATAAGCCTAGTACAATTTGAAGGAGAACATGAGAGGTTTTCAATTGTAATTTCTGTAATGCTAATGGGATTACTCATATGCCTTCTTTTTTTCATTTCAGTGGCAAGTTTGGTACTTTACATATACTCTAGAAAATTATATATTTCATTTAATTTTTCTAATGTAATGACAAACTGTTTTGTCAAGGTTTTCTTTTATAATTTTAAAATTATGACTGTATCTGATGATATAGTCCTTCTAATATTATTTACTGGTACTTTCTTTCTTTCACTTGTTTGGTCTTGCCAGACGTATAGTTACATCTGGCCCTTTTTGAGGAAATAGCTCATGGATTGACTATCATCATGGTTTCTTTGCTTCATCTTTCATTGATACATGTTTGTTTCTGCTTTATTTACTTTGCTCTGCTTTCATTGGGATTACTTCTTTTTACAGCATTTTGATTTGCAAACTTAGTTCAATAATGGCCAGTCTTTTTTCTTTTCTAATGGATGCCCCTGAAGTTCAAAATTTTCCTCTAATTACCATTTTAGCAGCATCACTCAGGTATTGATACACAGTCACTCTTTATCATTCACTTATAAATATTTCATGATTTCAATTGATTTATATACCCCTTGAATTATTTAGCAGAGTATGTTTAATTTCCAAAGGAATAAGGCTTTTTGGCTATATTTTGGCATTGATTTTCATCTTTGAATAGTTATTAGAGACTATCATCTTATGTGTACGAAATTGATTATTTGGTATTCATTGGGGTTGGCTTTGTGGCCTAGTACTTTCCAATGTCAGTAAAAAGTTTATATAATCCCTAATTGGGTACAAACTCCTACAACATATATTCATTAATTCAAGCTTGTTAATTATGCTATTCAAATGTTCTTTATCTTTACTAACTTTTGGTCTGATTGGCTTCTTTAATACTAAAATTTTCTTCATGGTTATGGGTATGTCCATTTTTATTGTAATTTTGTACATGTTTACTTCATTAAGTTTCAGTTTAAATATTTTAAATGATTTTGAACATCATTCCTATGTTTAAGACTCATTTAACTCTTCTCATCTGTGATCTGACTATTCAAGTCCTTTGCATGTTTTAATATTGGTTTGTTGGTCTTTTTCTTATTGATTTGAAATGATTAAGAAAACAAATTACTTGTCTGCTATATAAAGGCAAATACTTTTCCCCAGTGTGTCATTTCTCTTGCTTTGTTCATACACAACACATAAAGTATATAATCAGGTCATCAACTTTCACAAAATAAAGAAGTCTGCTGGAGTTTTGATTGGGATGGTATTGCAATATTGTCTCCAATCTATGAGCATGGTATATCTTTCCATTTTTTTCACATACGATGGAAAAAAGGGAAATTGTAAGTAAAAGAACAAATTAACCAAATAGAAACTAAACATGTAAACACAATTGGCTTGTACTTTGAGAAAATGAATAAAATTAATAAGTCCTTGATAAAACTGATTGCAAAAAAAGAAATAGTAGGAAAAAAAACAGAACTAAAAAAAAGAAAGTAAGAATTTGCTGTACCCTAAAAAGGCAAATTAAATAAAATGGACAACTTTCTAGAAAAATACAACCTACCATACTTGAAACAAGATAAACATGTGAAACACAACAAAAACTTACATGCAGATTTATTAACCTTCCAGTGAAAACAGTGCGGATCTGAATGGTTTCACCCAGAGTGTTACCATGATGGTGGATAAGACATTCCGTAAGTCCATGAGTGGTAGTGTTGGCAGAAGCATTGCATACAGGGAAGGCAAATTTATATCCAGAGAAAATATGCATTTCGGTGAGGACAAAATGCTATCCCTTTATTATGGTGCTGTAACCAAGTCAGCCTTGGTGAGAGTAGTTCATGTGGCTGAGCCCTTGGAAAACCTTCATCACTGACACCATAGCCAAATTATTCATGAGCCTACTGAAGGATGACAGGGGTGGCTGGGGAAAGAAGCTGAGTGGTATCCACAAAATGGGTCATCCTATTTTCTTGATTATTAAAGTCCTCCTCTGCTCACTTAAGCCTTTGCTGAGCATTCATATGGGACATAAATATATTCATATTCTTTCCCCATGCAGAGAGGTCTATGCTCATACTCCTTTCCCAGATACCTTCGTCACCAATAGTTCAATCTTATTCTAAGTCCCTGACCATCCAGCCAACCCACAGGCTACAGCCCAGGATCTGGTATACAATTGCACATCTGGCCATTTCTTCCCATTGAGAAGATTTCCCTTCACTACTGTCCTTAATGGCTGTCCCAGAAAGGGGCATGGTGCCACAGCTGCTCGCTTTCTGGTGATGCCTACATATCCTGCAGAAACATCTGTAAACAAGGTTCTAGTCTTTTCTAGTGTGATCTCTACTGATCATAGAGAACTTCCCACGAGGTCATAGATACAGGGAGAGAGAAAGCAGTGTAGCAGGAGTGGAGACCATGGGCATTTGGCCACTTCAGCATGTAACTTGCTTGTACCTTCAGGACATGCTCGGGCCCAGTCATGTATATTTTACTTCCATTTGATGATGGAGTGCTGCTGTGCATACCCAGCTATATGGCTTTTTGTGTCCAAAAACACCCAGTTCATGATAAGCTCAGGTGGCAGAGTAACTTTATGGCCCATGGTCAAGCATTCAGTTTCTACCAAGGCCCAATAGCAGGTCGAGAGCTGTCTCTCAAAAGGAGAATCATTATATGAAAATGATGGCAGAGTCTTTGTCCAAAATCCTAACGGCCTATACTGCAACTTACCTACACTGGCCTTCCAAAGGCTCCAGACAGCCTCAACATCTGCCACTGACACCTCAAGTACCATCGGATTCACTAGACCATGTGGTCCAAGTGGCAGAGCAGCTTGCGCAGCAGCCTGCGCCTGTTGCATAGCCTTCTCCTGCTCTGGGCCCCACTCAAAACTAGCAGCGTTTTTAGTCACTAGGTAGATGGGCAGTTGGTCCAGTGGGTCCTTGAATCCATCTTGTGGATATTTCCCTGTTCCAGATGCATAATCTGGAATAAACTGACTGCACCTAAATCTAAACAGATCCATTATTTTGCCTCCAAATCTAAATAGACCCACTATTTAAATAGACCCACTATAAGAAAAGGGCACTATGCCTTTTTCTCGGTTTTAGAAGGGCCAGATGCAACAATTTATGCTTTATTCTAGAAGGGACATCTAAACACGTCCCACACCACTGGATCCCTAGAAGTTTAGTAGAATGCCCCTGAATTGTAGTCAGATTTATTTATTACCCTCTGATATGCAAATGTCTTAATAAATCTAGGGTACTTGTACTTCTTATTCACTAGTTGCACTTCTTGCTGAGTGTTTTTATGCAGTCAGTTTATCATCGATATAATGGACCGGTGTGATGTCTTCTGGAAAAGTAACATAGCCAAGTTCCTTGCAAACTAAATTATAACATAGGGATGGCATATTGATACACTCCTGAGGTAGGACAATGAAGGTGTATTGCTGGAAAGCAAACTGCTTCTGATAGTCCTTGTGGACAGGTATGGAGAAAAGGCACCTGCCAGATGATCAGCTGCATAACTAGGTACCAAGATATGTGTTAATTTGCTCAAACAATGAAACCACATCTTGCACAGTAGCTGCAACTAGAGTACCACTTGGTTAAGCTTATGATAATCCACAGTCATTCTCTGGACTCCACCTGTCTTCTGCACAGGGCAAATAGGACAGTTGAATGGAAATGTGGTGGGAATCACCAGCCCTGCACCTTTCAAGTCCTTGATGGCAGCACTAATCTCTGTAATCCTTCCAGGGTAGCAGGATTGCTTTAAATCTACTACTTTCCTCTAATGGATTCCACTTGGCCTTTCCCACTATAATGGTCCTTACTCCACGGGTCAGGGAAACAATGTGGAGATTTTGCCAGCTGCTAAGTATGTCTATTCCAATTGGGAAATAACCGCAAGATGGGTTCAACAACTCATTGGACCCACTGTGAGTTGGACATGAGCTAAATATCTACTGATTACCTGACCTCCATAAGCCTCAACTCTACCTGGAGGGCCAGTGATATTTCAGGTCTCCTGGAATAAATGTCAGTTAAAGGACAGTATGCAGCAGTCCCTGAAAGTTCTGATTATTTCTTTATTGGAAATGCACAGTTACCCTGCCAGAAGGTCCCAGGACCCTTTGGGAAGGATAACAGAAAGATTAAAAGTATAAGTTGTCAGTAATGTGCCAGGCTTCTTCCTCAAGAGGATCTAGCTTCTCCTTCATTCAAGGGATTCTGAGTCTGAAAACTGCTCAAGTCTGGGAATTTATTGAGGGGCTGTGAATCTCTGTTTTTAGGATTTGAGTTAGACTTCCATTCATTTAACCTGGAAGTTTTTTGTTTATATATATGAAGGAAGAATGTAGTGGGCTTCCTATCTACTTTACTTCTAGGAACGCATGACTAATTACCCAATGCCATGAGTCTACATGAGTCAGACTATTCTCACTGTTGCTTTGTCTCTGCTATTCGTTACAGTAACTATGCCCACCTTGTTTTCTGCAGTTGAGTTCCACAACTTGGCCCCTGACATCCTGTAATCCGTTTATTCCCACTGCATTTAAGCTTTCCAGTTGAGTAACTATGGTTCCCACTGTAAGGTCCGGCCTGCAGAGAAGAGCGGTCAGGGAGCTCTTTAAGGATGTAGGAGTCCCCTCACAAACCTATTCCTCAAAGCATTGCTGAAAAGTGTGTCTTCTAGGGCTTCCCACACAGGACCCCTTTCCTTCCCCATCAATGTCCTCACTTTAACAGTAGACACCTTATGAGGCTGAGTTCAATATTACCATAATAAGAAAAATGCAAATTAAAACTACACTGGGATACCGTTTCTCACCTATCAGATTGGCAAGTCCCAAAAGCTTAAAAATATACATTAAAGCTGTGGAAAAACTGGCACTGGCACTCCCAGTCATATAATGTGGGGGTATGAAATGCCCCCATGCCAACAGAGGGGAATTTCACAAAATCAAGAAAAATGTTTTATCTTTTCCCTAGGAATCCCATTTCTAGGAATCTATCCATAAAACACACTGCAAATATATGAAGTGACATATGTGCAGGGTTATGTATCACAGCACTATTTATGACAGCAAAAGACAACCTTGAAAGTCCATCAGTAAGGACTGATGTGACTAATCCCAATGGTTTAGAAGTTGGTGGCAAAAACTTTCCAGGAAGATTTATTTCAAGTGACCCCAACCACAACACTTTAACTATACACCCTCAGTGAGATAGATGCACTGAACTAAAAGAACTATTGTTACTCAGTAGTGTACTTTTTATTATTAATATTAGTATTGTTTTAAAACAGTTACGTGTGTGCATATATAGTATAATGAAGCAAATAGTGGTTACTGTCATCAGAAACCAAGATTTCTAACATAAGTATGAAGAAGTTAAGTAAAACTCCTATAGACTTACATTTGAATTGGAAACATTAGTACAATCTCTTTTCTTGTCTCTCCTTTTGAAAAAGTAAATGCATTTCCCAGCTCTGCCCACTCAAAACTTAAAAGTAATGCCTATGACATAAAAGCGAACACCTCTGGGACACAAATTGTGGTATGTATCATTTGCCTTAAGAAAAGAACCAGGGACCCTTGGCGAAATAAACGATTACAGGTTTGGGATAAAAACTTTACATGAATCTGGGATTTTTGTGTGCCAGAAAGCAAGTTAGCTATCAAACACTAATAGGTTTGTGTCAAAAGAACACGGGAGTGGATAAGGGGGAACAACTGTACTGAATTCACCATATACGTAAAAATCAACTCCAAGTGGATTATAAATTTAAGGCAAAAAGCAAAGCAATAAAGTTTAAAAAGAGAGTATAGGAGATTTACTTTATAACCATAAAGTAGTAAAGATTTCTTCAATGACACAATGTAGTCAGAAATGAGAAAACACGAAGAGCTAGAGTTTGTCCTGAGGATATATTCTGGTCCCTGCTGATCTACAGCAGTGTTTTTCTAACTTTATATGTCTTTACCCAGTGCACATACCTTCAAATACACACACACACACACACACACACACACACACATGCATGAACATGCACCCACACGTTTATATCTAAAACTGAATTTCACAAAACAACCCTGTCTGTGAGGCAGCCAAACATTTTATTTTTCTGTTATATTATTCTTGTCTGTTTTTAAAATCCTGTTTGTAATCTATTAAAATAAGCATGAACTACTAAGAGTTTGCAACATTCTGTCTGAAAATCATTAGTCTAGCCAGGCGTGGTGGCTCAAGCCTGTAATCCTAGCTGCTTGGGAGGCTGAGTTGGGAACATCGCTTGAGTCCATGAGTTGGAGACAAGCTGTGCAATAAACAAAAAATCCTTAGTCTAAATCTAAAGCAAGAGTTATAGCATACAACTCAGGTGGAGAGGCATAGAGAGCCTGCACAGCAAGAGGAGAGAGGGGCTGAATGGAACCCAGCTCCTCAGTGGGTGCACCAGGTGACAACTCCTCTGCAGAGCGGGTTGCAGGTCTATATAGCTCTCTCAGGGGTGCTGCAGGATAGAGTACTGAAAAAAAGTTCTTCGAAAATCCTCTCCACAAAAACATGCTTTAAACTCAGGCCTAAAAGTTCCCACAAAATTCCAAAGAACACGAGCTCATCCAAATGACTGAATTTGTGAAGGAAAAAAAGCCATCACGAACACACGTCAGCAGAAACCACAAACTTCAGAAGCTGATACATAAAGCCTGAAGATATTGGAATTATGCCGCAGAGCATGAAATACACACATTTAATGTTTGAGGTCATAAAGAGGGGGTGAAAAGTATGCTGAAGAAAGACAAGACTGTAAAAACAGAGCACATTTGAAAGTAACCAAGGAGCATTCCTAAAAATGGGAACTCTCATCATAGAAATTAGATTTAGACAACAGATTAGGCCGGGCACTGTGGCTCATGCCTGTAATCCCAGCACTTTGGGAGGCTGAGGCAGGCAGATCACGAGGTCAGGAGATCGAGGCCATCCTGGCCAACATGGTGAAACCCTGGCTCTACCAAAAATACAAAAATTAGTTGGACATGGTGGCGCATGCTTGTATTCCTGGCTACTCAGGAAGCTGAGGCAGGAGAATCGCTCGAACCGGGGAGTTGGAGGTAGCAGTGTGCTGGGATCGCGCCACTGAACTCCAGCCTGGTGACAGAGAGAGACTCCATCTCAAAAAAAAAAAAAAAAAAAAAAGAAGGGAAATCAGTATCAAAGAAATATTTGCACTCCCATGTTTATTGTAATACTATCTATAATAGCCAAGATATGGAATCAAACTAAGTGTCCATCAACAGATGAATGGAAAATGAAAATGTGGTAGATAGACACAACGGAATACTATTCAGCCATAAAACAGCATGAAATCACGTGCAGCAATGCAGATGGAACTGGAGGGCATTACGTGAACTAAGTCAGAACAGAAAGACAAAAATACTGCAGGTTCCCACTCGTAGGTGGGACCTAAAAAAACTGATCTCATGGACACAGTGAATTGAATAGAATGGTGGTTACTAGAAGTTGTAAAGGGTGCTGAGGAGGCAGAGGGTGAAGAGGTGTTGCTTAACAGGTACAAAAATACAGCTCAATAGAAGACATACGTTCTATGTTTGATAACACAATAAGGTGGCTGGTGTTAATGACAATTTATTGTATATTTAAAAATAGCTAGAAGAAAAGATTTGAAATGTTCCCAACACAAAGAAATGATAGATGTTTGAGGTGATGGATATCCCCGTTATCCAGATTCAATCATTCTACATTGTATGCTTGTACCAAAATATCACATCAACTTCATAAATATGTACAGCTGTTATGTCCATAAAATTTAAAAACAAAAAACAAGGAAGAGGGGAAGGATAATATACCTCCCAATGTGAAACAGGCACTACAGTCAAATTTTGTAATATGAGACTTAGTAAAAGGGTTGTATAAAAGCTACGGGCAGTATTTGTAGGGAAACCACAAGGAATAGGGCAGCACCACAGGGTGGCGATGCCATGATCACCACGGCATTTAGGGGGCCATGATCTCATGCAGATCGGAGGAGCAAAAGAAGGAGTGGTTATCAAAACCCAGGTAAGAGAGGTCTGTGCAGAGACAGCTGTAATGGATGCAGCCCGCCGGGGCACAGCACAGGGAAGGAAACAGGGGAATAAACTCCATCCTCATTCTCCTTCCTCCCTTTGATCTCATTCCAGGACTCCCATGAGCTATACCCAAGCAGAATCCAGTGGGCAACAGAGCTTTTGATGCAGCCCATGAGGGCACAGACAAGGCTGAGCACATGGAGAGTGGGTGGGGGAATGCCACATGCACAATTCACCTCATTTGCCTTTTGACTCATAACTCACGGTAACCCAATAGCTGATGAGCATGCATTCCTTTACAGCTAATGAATTCAGAAGAAATGATCGAATTAGAATATTTGCTTTCTCAAACCCCTAATGAAGTAATGTATGCAGGCAATGGTCATCATTGGCAGCTGGAACTATTATTTGATAGGAAATTTTATAATGGATAGATCATCCTGATAACATCTGAACCCACAGATCAATATTAACATCAAAAAAGGAGATAGACAATAGGTATCTCCTGATGCAACATAATAGCAAGCAAATGCACTAAACATACAGCGTTCCTGCCACAAATATTGAGCCTGAATCTAATTAAGACCATGTTTTACTACCAGTTTATAGGAAATACAAGGGACAGAGGAACGTGTTCAACACTCCAGGGCTGCAATCAGCAATATCTAGACTGTGGGATGTTCCACAGGGCAAAGGATCCAGTTTTATTAACAGACACCTTGCAAGATATAAAAATAGGGAAGGGGAAACCTACAGATAGATTTGAGACATAACCAATCTATGTCTGGACCTTTTGTGAAACCTAATTCCAAAAAACCGGCTATAAAAACGTTTTTGATGCGAAATGAGCAGTTTGAATGCTGACTGGATAACTCGGTGATATTGAAGAATTGTAGACTTTCAGGTATAAGTAACAGTATTATGGTTATGTTTTTTAAATTTTTATTTTTTTAATTTAATTTTATTTTTTGAGATGGAGTTTTGCTCTTGTTGCCCAGGCTGGAGTGCAATGGCACGATCTCAGCTCACTGCAACCTCTGTCTCCCAGGTTCAACCGATTCTCCTGCCTCAGCCTCACCAGTAGCTGGGATTAAGGCGTTAGTCACCACGCCCAGCTAATTTCTGTATTTTTAGTAGAGGTGGGGTTTCACCATGTTGGTCAGGCTGCTCTTGAACTCCTGACCTCAGGTGATCCACCTGCCTCGGCCTCCCAAAGTGCTGGGATTATAGGCAAGAGCTACCATGCCCAGCGGTTATGTTTTCTTTTTTCTTTTCTTTTCTTTTTTTTTTTTTTGAGACAGAGTCTCCCTCTGTCGCCCAGGCTGGAGTGCAGTGGCACAATCTCGGCTCACTGCAAGCTCCGCCTCCCGGGTTCACACCATTCTTCTGCCTCAGCCTCCCGAGTAGCTGGGACTACAGGCGCCTGCCACCACGCCCAGCTAATTCTTTTTTGTATTTTTAGTAGAGATGGGGTTTCACTGTGTTAGCCAGGATGGTCTCGATCTCCTGACCTCGTGATCTGCCCACCTCGGCCTCCCAAAGTGCTGGGATTACAGGTTCGAGCCACCGCGCCCGGCCCCCGGCAGTTATGTTTTCTAAAAAAGAATCAATGTGTTTCGGAGACAAGTACTGTAGGATTTATGTATGATGTCTACTAATTGACTAAAAATAACGCAGTGGGGAGAGTGTGGAGTGGGTGAAGAAATGAATGAAACAAGATGGACCATGTGTTGGCAATTTTGAAGCTAGGTTATTAGTACACTAGATTACTAGTATACTAGTCTCTCTACTGTGTATATTTTATTTTTTCCCTAACAAAATATGTAGGAAAAAATTGCATGCAGAGGGTATGAACTGTCTGTTACATAATCTCATGACCCATAATCAGCATTCAGGGACAGAGGGAAAGCAGGGGTCCCTGGGAGTTGGAGATGTCTACTCTGGAAGAACAAAGGCCTCAAGTGTTTCCAACACTATGCTCATCACAGGTTCCCAGTCCTTGCAAAGCTGTTCTCATCTCAGAGGCCCCTCAAGGAAACAGAGAATCCCCAGTGAGAGAATGAGACTAACCGGGATTAAGCTTCTCTGTAAAATCGAGAGGTCATAGTTAGGGGACTGAATATGAAAATGCCCATTCAGTCACTGAATTTGGCAATAGGATAGGAAGCAGAGCAGGAGGGTATATTACTTCAATTGTGAAGCAAATGTATTATTCATTGGCACAAGAAAGGCATTTGGGAAGGTGATCAAATGCATATGCTTTATAAAGTCACATGTTCCAAAAACTTTGAAGAGCAGGTATTTTCCGCTTTTTGAAACTATTTTATAACAGTATAAACAGCTGAAAGGAATGAGCTCAGTCTAATGTGTACCCACTTTCATACACTAACTTAGCGAGAGAAGGTTGAATTCATTTATTTACTTATTTTGTAAAGTCAATAAATTTTTATTCAAGGAATTTCATGTTTTGATTTCTTCCACTGCCCATCAAGGTCACTTTAGATCCTCTGAAGAGCTGGAGTCAAAATTTATTTTCAAAAATTACCTTCAAGTTAGCCCTTTCAAATGAAACTGACATTTATTTTAATCCAGTTGTCCTGTCAACCCATAATTCTTTTATTTTGGCTTCTGTCATCTCCTTTTAATATGGATATACTGACGAAGACTTCAAAATTCACCAGTAGTCTTTGGGATCTGATTTCTTCCACCAATTTACTTTAGGGTCATTTTTAGTGTAGGTGGATCTGCCTGGTTCTCAATTTGACACCCTCTCTAAACATGAATGAGTTCCAATCATATTCGTTCCTAAGTGATCAAATTCAAGAATAGTACAGATGTGTGGAATATGCCAATACCTAAGGTAAAAAAGTAAATTATCAGGTCTTTACTAAGACAGTTACTGAACTAAAGACAGTTTAGTAACTGTCTTTTTCATACTTCAGCAACTGTCTTGTGGTTCCTTCCCACAGATGTAACAATAGTCCTGTAAGTAAAGTAAAATCACAGAGTTACTCTATGAGGCATTTCCAACAACGTGCAGGCTACAGGAAAAGACCTATCGGGATAGACCTCAACGGAATGTTGAATTTAAAAAGCAAGTCACCAAATATCACTTAAGTAAAATTTATAAATATACTAAACAGCAAACTACATCAATGTTTCTCTTTTTCGGTTTTAGGAATCTCTTACTCTCCTAAAATTATTGAAGTTCCAAAGAGATTTATTTCATTTGGGTTGCATTTATTAATTTTTTCTATATAAGAAATTAAAGCTAAAAAAGTTTTGAAACACAAGAATGCAAGTATTCATTTCCTTAGGCATCAGAGCATTTACACCTTTAGGTAGCTCCACTGTATCCTCATGAAAGAATGAGAGTAAAAAAATTTCATATAATGTCTTAGTATTATTATGTAAATATATTTTATCTTATTTCCCCCCAAAAGACTGAAACCATTTTATCTTGCTTTCACCCTTTTGTGATCCAGGGATCACACTTTGAGAACCAATTCACATATGGTTTAGAGATATATTTTATATAACACGTTTAGTAAAATCATAAAAACATGTCTTGGCAGGGCACCCTTTATAAGTAAAGGCTAAGTTATGCTGCAATAACAAATAATGCTCCACACCCCTGCCCCCTCGCTTTTTTTCCCATCCTATTATGTTACATATCCATCAGCCACACCATGGCACCAAATCCTCTTCACTCTGGAATCTGGTAGATAAAGCAGACACTCTCAGAGTTTGCCAGGCTCATGGCACACGGAAAAGAAAAAGTGAAACTACTTCTGCTGAAAGGGACAAGGATCATTTATGCCCACATTTCCCTGGCCAAAGCAATTCACACAGCCAATCCTAATGGCAGCAAGGTGGAGAAACTACTCCTCCCCCAGGAAAGGGAAGCAAATACTTTTCTTCTTTTTTTTTTTTTGAGACAGAGTTTCGCTGTCGCCCAGGCTAGAGTGCAGTGGTGCGATCTCGGCTCACTGCAAGCTCCACCTCCCAGGTTCATGCCATTCTCCTGCCTCAGCCTCCCAAGTAGCTGGGACTACAGGCACCCGCCACCACGCCCGGCTAATTTTTTGTATTTTCAGTAGAGACGAGGTTTCACCATGTCAGCCAGGATGGTCTCGATTTCCTGACCTCGTGATCCGCCCACCTCGGCCTCCCAAAGTGCTGGGATTACAGGCATGAGCCTCAAGAAGGGCAGCAAACACTTTTCACAAAAAGTTAAGTCTTCCCCACACCAATGTCAAGGTTAGCTTTGGGTAGATAAGGAGATAGGATGGGGTAATGACAATTTTTAAAGTAACAGTAATAAAATAATAGTAAGAGTAAAAGAAATCATTTTAAAAAACAGAATTCTGAACCAAAGCAAACAAATAAAAAAATGGTACAAACCAGAGGTGTTCTCTTTGTGACTGCAACTGACTTGACCATACTCCTCAAAATGATTAAATTAGGCATCATTGGCTCAGCCATAGACATTATGACCCAATGGTAATGAGGCACAGACTGTGCATGGCAATATAGCTTAGAGGAAAAGAAAAGATCATTGTCTTTTTGATTATTTTATTTTTCAGATGGCATATACTCTGTCGCCCAGGCTGGACTGCAGTGCAACTTCTGCCTCCCGGGTTCGAGCAATTCTCCTACCTCGGCACCCCAAGTAGCTGGGACTACAAGCATGCACCACCACACTCGGCTAATTTTTGTATTTTTAGTAGAGACGGGGTTTCACCATGTTGGCCAGGCTGGTCTCGAACTCCTGACCTCAGGTGATCCACCTACCTTGGCCTCCCAAAGTGCTGGGATTACAGGCATGAGCCACTGTGCTCGGCCAGATCATTGTCTTTGACTCTACACTTCCTGTCTTCGGTTTCTAACCATGGGTCGTTAGCCACATCACTCAAGGTATCTATGCATTGAAAGGGGGATTATAATGATACTTGCCTTATAAGGTTGTTGATAGGTAAGTCTTATAAAAGACTCGGTCTGTTGAAGTGCTCAGAATAGTGCTTAACTTAGAGGAAGTCCTACTTAGCCCAACTTCTGAAGCAAGACATAGCAGTTAAAGTTGTGACCTTATTCATGTATGGAGAGGTGAGAATTTAGGTAACACTTACATGAGGGTCTAATATTAATAGGTGTCCAATTCCAGCCTTGAATGAGAAAAGTAGAATTACTCAACCTGTTGGAATAACTAAGATTTCCCCGAATTTTTGTATCTGTGATATAGAGGTATCTTTTTCTGAGAGTAGCACTTTGGAAAAGACAGATACGATTTGTGACAAAATTATGGGGGAGGCATTATGACATTTTTTTCAAACATGTTGGAAACCAAACCATTAGCTCCCAAACTCCAAGGCCATGGGTGACAGATGAGGTTGCTGAGAGGTTTTGCTGGTTAAACAGAATAGTGGGAGCTCTGCTTCTTGTTAGAGTGTAAAAGGTTGTAAAAAGCTGTTGCTCGCAATATAACAATGAGGAAATCTTGATTTATTCCAATCATCACACGTGACAATCAGTAGAGACCTGAAAATGCATAGAAGTCTAAACGCACAACATTCAAGGGAGGGACGAGCCTGTCCAAAGCAATAAAAACCTGCAACTGCTTTTATCTCTGGGGTGTGGTGGGAAGAACAAGCCAGCCATAAGCAGGGAGGACTCGGCTCTTGGCTGAGACAAAAAGAAACCAAAGAAATCTAGAAGGACCCTGTAGGCCAGGCGTGATGGATTCAAACCCAGAAGCGCCCCCAAAGTACACTCATCTACGTGCCCCATAAATCTTTTCGTTCAGACATTTCATCTCAAATACAGAGTGATGGCTGGGCACCTGGGACAGGGTAGGATGGCAGACAGAAGGAGAGGTCCTGTGGAGTCGGAAGCCAGGGCAGGCTGCAACATGGATTTCTTCCAAGGTACGGGAAGCTGGAAATGAGCGAGAAAGCTTAGGGAGACCTCAGAGTCTTAGCTCTCTATTCCTAATGAAAGGAGGGCCCTGGCTGCTACCTTTGAAATATATGAAACCTGTGGTAAACTGAAATTAATTAAATCTACAACCCAGACCAAAACCAGCTCAACTCCAGATTGAGGGGAAAATAGAATTACACTGTTGTAAGTTTCTTACACTTTTTTAATGAAGTTTCACAATACTATTCACAAATAGATTGTGATAAGTTAAAAGTACATGACCTAGAGAGACAACAGAAAAAAATCTCTAGATACTCTGAAATTAAATAATACACCTTTAAATAGTCTATGGTCAAGAAGGAGATCCAAGGAAATTTCAAAAAGTACACATAGAATTGAATAAGAATAAAAAGACAATAGATCAAAATATGTGGGATGTAGCTAATGCAGAGCTGAGGGGGATCTTATAACCCTAAACGTTTATGTTAGAAAAGAAGAAAGGACCCAAAACAGTAAGTTTTTCCCCTCAAAAAACTAGAAAAAGATTAGCCAAAGAAACCCAAAGCAAGCAGAAGGAAATCATAAAGGTGAGAGCAGAAATCAACTAAACGGAAAACAGGAAAGTAGAAAAAATAAAACAAAAAGCTGCTTCTTCAAAAATATCAATGTCACTCTAGCAAGACTGGCAAAATTAAAACAGAAGAGACACAAATCAACAGTATCAGTAATGAAACTAACCACAAAGCCCACAGCCATTAAAATGGCAGAAAGGGAATATTATAATCAACTTTATGCTCATAAATTTGACAATGTAGAAAAAATGAATCAGTTGCTCAAAAACCAAAAATTACCAAAATGCAACCAACACGAAACAGATAATCTAAGTGGTTCTAGTAAAGAAAACTATTTAAAAATGGAATTCATAATTTAAAAGCTCCTAAAAAACAACTTGCAGCTCCACTTCATTTCCCTGGAGAATTCTACCAAATATTTAAAGAACTGACAGAAATTTTACACAATTTCTTCTAGAAAATAGAAGAGAAAGGAACACTTCATACTTCATTTTATAAGGCGGATACCAAAACAAGACAGAAACAGTACCAAAGAAGAAAAATATAGACAAACGTTTTTCATAAACTTTGACACAAAAGCCATCAACAAAATATTAGCAAATTAAATACAAAAATGTACAAAAACATTTTTAAATAGTGATCAAGTGTGATTCATTCCAGGAATGTAAGGTGGGTTTGACATTTGCAATCAATTAATGTAATCCACCATGCTAACAGGCTAAAGAAGGAAATGACACAAAAATGAATTTGACAAAATTTAGTACTGACACATGCTAGAAACTCCCTAAATTAGGAATACAGAAGAACTAAGTGACCTCGATAAAAAACACCTACAAAATCCTACAGCTGACATTGTACTTAATGGTGATAAACCGAATGTTTTCTTTCTAAGATCAGGAGCAAAACAAGGATTCCGCCTCTCAACACTTGTATTTAACATAATATTGGAAGTTTTATCTGCTGCAATAATGCAAGGAGAGAAAAGCAAAAACATGCAGAAGAGAAAGGAAAAGATAAGGCTACCTCCAATTGCAGATGACATGATCATCTTCATAGAATATTCCAAGGAATATACAAAAATAAAGGTCTAGAACTAAAAGTCACTTCAGCAAAGTAACAGAATACAACATCAACACAAAAAATATTAATCACATTGTGCCCAGAGTTGGTTCCTTCCGGATGGTTCTTTGTCTCGCTGACTTCAGGAATGAAGCCACGCCTACCTTCACAGTGAGTGTTACAGCTCTTAAAGATGTTATGTCCGAAGTTTGTTCCTTCAGATGTTTCTGCCTGACAGTGGGTTCGTGGTCTCACTAACTTCAAAAACGAAGCCGTGGACCTCCTCACGGAGTGTTACAGCTCTTAAAGGTGGTGCGGACCCAAAGCGTGAGCAGTAGCAAGATTTATCGTGAAGAGCGAAATAACAAACTACGCACGGGACAGAAGAGGACCCCAGCGCGTTGCTGCTGCTGGCTGGGGGTGGCCAGCTTTTATTCCCTTATTTGACCCCGCCCACGTCCTGCTGATTGGTCCATTTTACAGAGCGCTAATTGGTCCATTTTACAGAGTGCTGATTGGTCCATTTTACAGAGTGCTAATTGGTGTGTTTGCAATCCTTTAGCTAGACACAGAGCACTGATTGGTGCGTTTTTACAGAGTGCTGATTGGTGCATTTAAAATCCTTCAGCTAGACACAAAAAATCTCCAAGTCGCCACTCGACCCAGGAAGTCCAGCTGACTTCACCTCTCAATATTTCTATATACTAAAAATGAGTATGCAGAAACCAAAATTAAAAACACAATACCATTTACAACTACTCCAAAGAAAATGAAGTACTTAGATATAAACCCAACAAAAAGTGTACAGTATCTGAATGCTGAACATGACAAAATACTAATGAAAGAAATCAGAGACCTAAATAAGTGGAGAGAGGTACTATGTTCATTTAAAGACTCAACATGGTGAGTACACTTTCTCTCCAAATTGACCTATAGGTTTAATATAATTCCCTCCAAAATCTAAGCAAGTTTTTGTAGATGTTGACAAGTTTATTCTAAAGATTATATGGACAAGCAGGGACCCTAGAGTAGACAAAAAATAATCTTGGAAGATAAGAATAAAGTGACAGAAAACACTGTACCCAATACTAAGACTTACTACATAGCTACAGTAATGGAGAAAGTGTAGTATTGGTAAAGAAGCAAACATGTAAATCAGTGGTACAAAATAGTGAACTCATAAATAGACCCATATAAATATCCTGAAATGATTTTTGACATAAAGGCAAAAGCAACTCAATGGAAGAAGTAGATCTTTTGGAGCAATTGGAATCTCAACCAAAACCTCACACCTTATATATAAAAAGAAAAACCTCAAAATGGATCACAGACTTAAATTTATAACTGTATAACTTTTAGAAAAAAAAGCAGGAGGGGTGTTTGAGATCTAGGGCTAGGAAAGACTTTTTAGGCACAAAAAGCACGATCCTTTAAAGGAAAAAAAGATAAAAACTGGACCTCATCAAAATTAAAAACTTTTACTCTGCACAAGACCCTGTAAAAACAATGAAAATGCAGACTACATACTGTGAGAAAGTATTTACAAAACACATACTCAAAAAAGTATTACCCTGTAGACCATGTAAAGAATTCTCGAAACACAACAGTAAAAAAGCAAAAATCCAGTTAGAAATAAGCCAAATATATCAATAGACATTTCACTGAAAAGAATATACAGATGGCAAATAAGCACATAAAAATGTTTAGTTTCATTGTTTACCAGAGGAATGCAAATTAAAACCACAATGAGATATCACTGTATAGCTATCAGAATGGCTAAAACAAAAATGTAACAGCATAAAATGCTGGCAAGCATGCAGAAAAACTGAATCAGTTACTCATTGTTGGAAGGACTGTAAATTAGTACAGTCACTCTAGGAAACAGTTTGGCAGCTTCTTATACAATAACTATACAATTAGTATACGATCCAGCAATTGCACTCTTGGGCATTTATTCCAGGGAAACGATAACTGAGGTTCACATAAAAATCAGTACACAAGTGTTTTTAGCAACTTTATTCATAATAACAAGAAAAACAAAATCTAGGAAGCAATGTCCTTCAGTAGGTCTGTGGCTTTAAAAAAATGTGATATGTGAATACCATGGAATAATATTCAGCAATAAAAAAGAAGAAACTATTGATATATGTGACAATTTAGATAAATCTCCAGAGAGTTACAGTGAGTGAAGAAAAAAGCCAATTCAAAAATGTTACATACTGTATGATTCCATTTATATAGCATTATTGAGATTTTAAAAAAATAACTGAGGCAGAGAACAGATTAGTGATTGCCAGGATTAGAAATGGGATCAGTGTGGAAGGGAAGTGAGTATTGTAATAAAAGGGCAAAGTGAGGGATCCCTGTGGTGGCACTCTTCTGTATCTTGGCTGAAGTGGTGGATACATAAAACCACACATGTAATAGAATTGCATAGAGCTGAATACACACACCTGAACTCACCTAAGTGAGTACTATAAAACTGAAGAAACTGGAATAAGATCAGTGGATTGTATCAATGTCAATTTCCTGGCTGCCATGGTATAGTTTTGCAAGATTATTGTATTTGAGAGAACCTAGGTAAAGAGTACACAGGATCTTTCTGTATTATCTTTGACAAATATACATAAATCTATCTCAGTATTGAGCTGCATGGGAATTATCTCAAGACAAAATGTTTAATAAGAATATATGTTGTAATTGGCAGAATACAGAGCATTTTTAGTGGAGTGAAATCATTCCGTAGGATACTACAACAGTGGGCACATGTCATTATGCATTTTTCGCAACCTATAGAATATACAGCGCCAAGAGCGAACCCTAGTGTAAACTATGACTTGGAGTGGTGATGACGCATCAAGGTAGGGCCATCAATTATAACAACTATACCACTAAGGTGCAGGAGAATGATAAAGGGGGGAATTGTGCCTGTGGTGAAGATAGGGGAGGAGGGGTAGATAGGTACTCTGTATTTCCTGCTCAGTTTTGTTGTGAACCTAAAACTGGTCTAAAAAATAAGTTCTATTTCTTAAGTCATGTTGTAATTTCAAGAGAAATATTTAAAAATATAGATATAGCTAAAAACTCAATGAAAAAGACAGTAATAAAAATACACCATCCAGAAAAGTCAGAAAACTAACTAATGAAGGATAAAATGTCAGATGACACAAATCGTGACCAAATAGCAAGATGGTTGATGTACACTCATTTGCATCAAAAATTTCATTAAAAGGAAATAGATTAAGCACTTCTTGAAAAATACATCATAAAACAGGGTAAGCTGACCCAACGATATGGTGTTTTCAAGAGACCTGATTTAAATTCAAGGACACAGAAATGTTGAAAGAAAAAAAAAAATGAAAAAATACACTTTGCAAACACTAACCACAAGAAACCCAGTGTTTCTATGTTAATATCAGATAGGAAAGTTGTGTCATATGGCTTAATAGAAAGCCACAAAATATTGCTGAACAAAGTTGGTAAGAAAACATGATCTTCATACATTCCTATTTCCTTTCCTTCTTAAAAGTTTTCCTTGAGTTCTTTGAACATACATATGACAGTTTCTTTGGGGTCTTTGTCAAGTTTAACATAAAGAGGGAGAAATCCCAGGCTAACACACCCCAAATTTCCACTGCTATTACTTGAAAGCAGTCTTTCTTGAATAAACTCTTATAAATTTGTTGTACATCTCTGGCCAGTTTCAGAGTCCTGAAATGGATGTTTTTGACAAAAGTTTTGTTCAGTTTTATCATTGCTTTTTGGGAGAGAATTTGCCTTCCCCCTCACTCCACCATTCTGTAAGACTCTGGTCCAGGTTTGGGTGCACAGCCAACACTGTGACTTGCTCCAGGGCAGCTGATGCAAACGAATGGGAGAACTCAGCAGCCCCTGACCTGCATTCCAACAGGCACATTCACCAGCGCAGTTTGGGAACCAAGAGGACCCAAGCAGCCTATAAAAGTCCAACTCTCAAGGCAGTAATAATAAATGGTTTGACCCTAATGAGGATTGCAGGAACTTCTGTAGATGAGCTATACAACCTTCCCTGGATTTGAAATCTGTGCTTCATTTACCATTTTTGTGAAACCTAGTATATAAATATCCACAACCTTTCTTTACTTTGATGATGCAAGGAGGTGCTGCAGGAAAATGCAGTCTACTTTTTGAACAATGGTATTGACGGCCAGGTGTGGTGGCTCATACCTATAATCCTAGCAGTTCAGGAGGCCAAAGCAGGAGCATCACTTGAGGCCAGGAGTTCAAGAACAGCCTGGGCAACATAGCAAAATCTCGTCTCTACAAAAAGTTACATTAGCTGGGCATGGTGGTAAGTGCCTGTAGTCCTACATACTCAGGTCACTGAGGCAGGAGGCTCATTTGAGCCCAGGGATTGGAGGCTCCTGTGACCTATGATTGTGCCACTACACTCCAGCCTGGGTGACAGAAGGAGACTCTGTCTCTAAAAAATAAATAAATAAATAGTTATCGAGTATGTCATGTTATTTTAAGGGCATTTTTAGCAACATAAAGAAATGCTCAGCCAGGCGGGGTGGCTCACACCTGTAATCCCAGCATTTTGGGAGGCCAAGGCGAGTGGATCACTTGAGGCCAGGAGTTTGAGTCCTGTCTAGCTAACATGGTGAAACCCCATCTCTACTAAAAATACAAAAATTAGCCAGACATGGTGGTGCATGGTGGTGCATGGTGGCATGTGACTGCAATCCCAGCTACTTGGCTACTTGGGAGACTGAGGCATGAGAATCACTTGAACCCAGTGGGTGGAGAGCCGAGACACACCATGGCACTCCAGCCTGGGTGACAGAGTGAGACTCTGTCTCATTATAAAAAAGAAAAAGAAAACCTCAGTTTGAACTTCATGAGACCACTAAAGAGATTTAAGTTTTACAAATTATTTATTAGAAGTCTTTCTAAATTTTGAGAGAAATCATAGTTCATTAATATATTAGTTAATATATCTTATTAAATTCAGGTTTAATTGTGTTACAGTTCAGATTTCTACTGTTAACTCTGTGGTACATCATAGATCATTTTATATCCTTAATAATCTAGAATAAATTGAGTGGGTAATATATTTATGGCTACTTGGGATGGGGGATTGGAGCCTACTTTAGCCATTTCAAATGGTCAGAAAAATTTAAGGTTGAGTGGTTAGTGTATCATTATGATTGTGATTTATTTGATCCTAAATGATTACTTGGGTACTCAGCCTCAATTGTAGCATTCTTTCTAGGAATAAAATATGATTTACCATCCAATTTTAACAATGCAGTTTCTGAAAGAAATGCACAGTAAAAACAAAACAAAACTGGAGTGCCTTTAATTTTTTGATAAACTATATTTATTAATTTTTCTCCATATTAAACTGGATATGCTTATTCTACATAACAAATATAACATAAACAGAGATGGTGGTTTCTCTTAATACCCTATCTTGACTCTTTGGATGGATGCAAAGTTTCTGCATCATGGTAAGGACTGGAAAGGCAATATGCTTGCTTCCAGTTTCACCCCCAAGATATAGCAGCTGGAATCTCACACTCATCTTTACAACAACAACAAAAATGCTGAACAAACAACCAAGGAATGATTTCCTTAACCCATCAGAGAACTGAGAACTCAGGCCAAGCCACTAAACTAAAATGTACAGAGACACAGGCTACCAGGGGGAGAAACAGGACCCTCACATTTATTTACCAGGGGCAGACAATAACAGATACCATAAGAGTCATTAGGGTACTACTGTAGGCATGTGAGATGCCTGGGGGCTGCGGACACACGGTAGTTGCTACCCTCTGTTAGGTCCCCCCTCAACACCCAACAAGGAAGCCCACCAAGTACTCATGGGGATGACTGGGGAGGTTCCTGGGAAAGCTTTCCTCATCCTCATAATACTGACTAAGGAATGAGAGGGCTGCAACTGATAAAATTCTACCTAGAAATATCTCGTCTATCTCCCCTATGATACAAAAGCCAGTCTGCAAGGGAAACAGCAAGAAAAATTGTAGCTTGAGGCTCTCATAAAAATCCACCTCAGATGGGAGAGGGGAACAAGAAAATAAATAAAGCTCTACCCTAAATAGAGGAGCAGAAATACTGCTAGACATCACATTCCAAGTGGAGATGAGGCTGTAACAATTGTGCAAGGCATACTCCCAAGATCCAGATTCATGTGCCTGAAACTGAAGCTAGGGAGGTAGACACTGCCCTAACTGAAACGCAAAGAGTAAAAAATACTAAAGACAATCCAACAAAACAAGTGTTTCAAGAGCTGTGCAACAGTATCACTCTCACATACAGATGATTGGAATCCCAGAAGAGCTGAAAAATGGAGCAGGAAAGAAGACACATTTGAAGAAGTAAAAATTGGGCAATTGTGATTTTTCAAAATTAGTGGCAGACCCCAAACCACTGACCCGTGAAGCTCAGAAAATATCAAGCAGAATAAATACCCAAAAAAAGAGTCACACCGTATTCAAAGAACTGAAAACCAAAGACAAACGGAAATCATGAAGGCTCTACTTCAATTTTAGTTTCCGTCATTTTCACATAGTTTAAAAAAATATTATAGTGTTATGCACACAAGGAAGGTACCAATTCCAGGGCAGCTGAAAGGTCTGGATCTTGGACTTAAATAGACAATTTTCTATTTGGCAAACATTGTGCTCTGCGACCTTCATTCACCACACTTTTATAGACACAATTATGTTAACTTTTTGAACTTTTTCCTCCTTGATTTGTTCAAATTACTGATTTCACACACTCTCAATCTCTTCCAAAAGCTTTTTGTGTCACTGAATGATCAAAAATAAAGTCAATTTTTTAATGTTTTTGAGACACTAGCAAAAGTTTGTTAAACCATACTCTCAGTTTTTCTCAAGAGTATGCATTCCTGACAGTGATTTTCTCCATTTTAGCAGTGTTTGCTATTTGGATAGGCTGCCACTTCCCAAATCATTCACTCATGGTTCCTTTTTGCTTAACAGTTATTTTCTGAATGTATCTCTCTCTTCTCATGTTTTATTATAGGCAACAAGATGAGTCTGGGTTGTGCCTTCAACACTTAGTTTGGAAATGTCTTCAGCTAAATGACAAAGATTGTTGTGTATGTTATACATTTCATATAACTGCAGGGCACAATTTTACTAAGCTCTCTGCCAATACATGACATGGATCCCCTCTCTTTAGTTTTCAATAGCATTTCTTTTTATTTTGAGATGGAGTCTCGCTCTGTCGCCCAGGCTGGAGTGCAGGGGCGCGATCTTGGCTCACTGCAAGTATGTTTGTGGTGACATGGCTACTCTCTAAGAGAATTTATGGTTTCTCTACCAAGTCTTTTACTTCCTTCTGAGTTCTCACTACCAGAACCCTTAAAATATGCATCTTTACTGTCTGTGGAAGGCAATATAGGCCTTTTCTATCATGCTTCTCAAAAAGGTTTCAGCCTCTGCTCACTGCCCAATTCCAAATCTATGTTCACATTTTTAGGAATTTATTATAACGGGACACCACTTCCAAGTACTGAATTCTATATTCTTCTCCTTTTTTTTTTTTTCTTTTTGGAGACAAAGTCTCACTCTGTCACCCAGGCTGGAGTGCAGTGGTGCAGTCTTGTTTCACAGCAGCCTCTATCTCCCGGGCTCAGGCGATCTCCCACCTCAAGCCTCCTGAGCAAACGGGCCTACAGGCACATGACAACATGCCCTGCTAATTTTTGTATTTTTTGTAGCAACGAGGTCGCGCCATGTTGCTCAGGATAGTCTCGAACTCCTGGGCTCAAGTGATCTTCCTGTCTCAGCCTCCAAAAGTTCTGGGAATACAGGTGTGAGTCACCGCGCCCAGGCTGTATTCATTTTTTTCTGTTGCCATCTCGACATATTCACAGATGTATCACTAGATTGGAGGGTCAGAATCATGGGGAACCAACATTCCGCCTTCCATACTGTCACTCTTGCTAGGATCCAAGTCAGAGCTCTGAATATACCATTATAATTAGCCAAAGCCTAATCCTCAGCTGAAGTGATGCAGCATTTCAATATGGCAGGTAATGCTGGCGGAAGAGGAGCTCATGGAAACAGACTAGATCTACTCAACAGGATCTCAAACTGGAACACTAGAGGAAGGAGTGGAGAAACCCTCTCAGGGATTTTCCAAAGAGGGTGAATTACACTGTTTATTTGCTTTTTCGTTGTTCTGGTTAGGTCAATTTAATGATGCAAGATTGACTGTTATGGATAATTACATTTTATATTACAGACTACAATGTGCTAATTAAAGTATTAATTGTTAATTAATCAAAGCATTATAGAGCCTATGAAATTATATAGTGTTCTAAAATTTGCAGAGTGCTTATATAGGACAGATATGAGACTAGCATATGTAAGTATGGCTGGAACAGTATTTAAAATACTGAAATACGTTCTTTCTAAACATTTCGCTTCATTTCACAGAAGGGCACCTAAGGCAGGTAGAAGAATGAGGTAGTTCCTGCATTTTTCCACCTTGCTGCTCCCTCCAAAACCCACATGCATGCACACACACGCACACACACATGCACACAATTGCTGCAAACCACTGCATTTACAGGATTTTTTTACACCTCAGGTGGGCCTGTTAGTTTCTAATAAACCTACTTGCCATCTATTTTTGGATCTCATCACCCTAATGAAAGGATCACAGAATGCTTCACAGCCAATTACCTGGTGCAAGATAAATGCATGTATTTATTCATTCTCCATAATGATGATTAAGAGGGAGTTCATTTCACTGTAGTCTTGCAGGTGTTTAAAATATAAATGAACTGACTGCAATAAGAAGTACCCAAAACCTCATCTAAGGAAAATGCCATCCTAGATAATGCTCTCTTGTCCAATCCTATTAACATGAAATCACTTTTCTATTCCTTCAAATCTCACTAACAGGATGAAATAAAGCAGATGCCAGACAGATACCCCTCAAAGGAGACTGGCTCTCTCTTTTGCATCTGAAAAGCCCAAACCCCAAATCTATTCTCTGTCCTGGGTTTTCCTTTTCCTTAATGCTTTGTTTCCCTAATGCAGTTTCATTAGACTGTATTTGATATTTATTTCTCCAGAGCAGAAGTAGTGTATTCCCACAGAAAAGATTTGTCTAAATGCATCTACTATTGAGGCTCTCTACTGGGAGAAAAATTTTAAGCAGTGATGTGTGTTTATGGATATACATGTTTGTAATCTTATCTTCGTGGAGGCCTGTTGAGAATTCCTGAGGCACTTACTGAAAGACTTCCTTTCCTAACATCATTATTGCTTATTTGCTCCAGATGGATGTCCTGGGAATGAGCAGCTTGGAGACCCATGCACCATGTGTCACCCCCAGGTGACTGGTCTCCTTGTCCAGGCTATCAGACACGGGTGAACAGCATGCTCAGCTGGGCCTATCACATTCCACACGGCAGAGCCTTAACATAGCCAGGTGCAAAAACGTACATTTTAATGGAAATGGAAACCACACTTATGCTTAGCCTTGGTTGTTAGTGTTTTGAGGAGACAGGATTTAAGTCTTTCCCAGTAGGGACATGACAAGCACTGCCTTTGGGGGTTGGTGAGGCTTCAGCAGGGCTGCTCCCCACCTGTGCACCACTCTGGAAACATTCCTCACATCCAGCCCATAGACTCTGACTCTGGCCTGTTTGCACCCAGGTTCCAGAATGCATGAGGAAACTCTGAGAGAGGAACGTGATGGAAAAGTAATAAATTTAGCACTTACTTAAACTGTGATTTGATCTAGCAAAAATATTTCCCAAATGTTGGTGACCATGTTTTGGCCAAAGGAAGTGCTGTGGGAGGGTCTTATCTTCATTCTCTCCTCTCCGCAAAACATGGCAAATAATTGGCTTTGCAATCAAATGCACCAACGAGGAGAGAACACAGCAGGGGAATAGGGTCAAGGTGTAGGTGTAACTCGTGAATATTATATTTTTCACCTTTTATTTTATGACTATGTTACAAAATATTAACAAAATATAAGATATCTATTTTTGAATGCTTACAAATGTGTGTATATATTTCAGATATATAAATATATATGTATACACAATGTATGCTATTAAATATATATTTAATAGTATTATTTAAATTGTAATTGATCCTTGAGCAACATGGGGGTTGGAGCACTGACCCTCTGCTTAGTTGAAAATCCACATATACCTTCTAACTCTCCAAAAACTTTGCTAATAGCCTACTGTTGACCATAGCCTTACTGATAATGTAAATAATCAATTACCCCATATTTTGTATGTCATATGTATTATATGCAATATTTTTACAATAAAGTAAGTTAGAAAAAAATGTTATAAGATAATCTTAAGGAAGAAAAAATATATTTACTGTTCATTACAAGAAAGTGGATCATCATAAAGGTCTTCATCTTCATTGTATTCACGTTGAGTAGGCTAAGGAGGAGGAGGAAGAGGAGGGATTGGTCTTGCTGTCTCAGGAGTGGCAGAGGCAGAAGAAAATCCATGTAAAAGTGGAACTCTACTGAAAATCCGTGTAAAAGAATTTTTCTACCCATGAGAGAAAAGGAAGAATCAATATCGTGAAAACGGCCATACTGCCCAAGGTAATTTACAGATTCAATGCCATCCCCATCAAGCTACCAATGCCTTTCTTCACAGAATTGGAAAAAACTACTTTAAAGTTCATATGGAACCAAAAAAGAGCCCGCATCGCCAAGTCAATCCTAAGCCAAAAGAACAAAGCTGGAGGCATCACACTACCTGACTTCAAACTATACTACCAGGCTACAGTAACCAAAACAGCATGGTACTGGTACCAAAACAGAGATATAGATCAATGGAACAGAACAGAGCCCTCAGAAATAATGCCGCATATCTACAACTATCTGATCTTTGACAAACCTGAGAAAAACAAGCAATGGGGAAAGGATTCCCTATTTAATAAATGGTGCTGGGAAAACTGGCTAGCCATATGTAGAAAGCTGAAACTGGATCCCTTCCTTACACCTTATACAAAAATCAATTCAAGATGCATTAAAGACTTAAACGTTAGACCTAAACCCATAAAAACCCTAGAAGAAAACCTAGGCATTACCATTCAGGACATAGGCATGGGCAAGGACTTCATGTCTAAAACACCAAAAGCAATGGCAACAAAAGCCAAAATTGACAAATGGGATCTAATTAAACTAAAGAGCTTCTGCACAGCAAAAGAAACTACCATCAGAGTGAACAGGCAACCTACAAAATGGGAGAAAATTTTCGCAACCTACTCATCTGACAAAGGGCTAATATCCAGAATCTACAATGAACTCAAACAAATTTACAAGAAAAAAACAAACAACCCCATCCAAAAGTGGGCGAAGGACATGAACAGAGACTTCTCAAAAGAAGACATTTATGCAGCCAAAAAACACATGAAAAAATGCTCACCATCACTGGCCATCAGAGAAATGCAAATCAAAACCACAATGAGATACCATCTCACACCAGTTAGAATGGCAATCATTAAAAAGTCAGGAAACAACAGGTGCTGGAGAGGATGTGGAGAAATAGGAACACTTTTACACTGTTGGTGGGACTGTAAACCAGTTCAGCCATTGTGGAAGTCAGTGTGGTGATTCCTCAGAGATCTAGAACTAGAAATACCATTTGACCCAGCAATCCCATTACTGGGTATATACCCAAAGGACTATATATCATGCTGCTATAAAGACACATGCACACGTATGTTTATTGTGGCATTATTCACAATAGCAAAGACTTGGAACCAAGCCAAATGTCCAACAATGATAGACTGGATTAAGAAAATGTGGCACATATACACCATGGAATACTATGCAGCCATAAAAAATGATGAGTTCATGTCCTTTGTAGGGACATGGATGAAACTGGAAGTCATCATTCTCAGTAAACTATCGCAAGAACAAAAAACCAAACACCGCATATTCTCACTCATAGGTGGGAATTGAACAATGAGATCACATGGACACAGGAAGGGGAACATCACACTCTGGGGACTGTTGTGGGGTAGGGGGAGGGGGGAGGGATAGCACTGGGAGATATACCTAATGCTAGATGACGAGTTAGTGGGTGCAGCACACCAGCATGGCACATGTATATGTATGTAACTAACCTGCACAATGTGCACATGTACCCTAAAACTTAAAGTATAATAATATAAAAAAAAAAGAATTTTTGTTCATGGGTCATGTTGTTCAACGGTCAACTGTAGTTATTACATTTTTATTTAAACACAAAATAGTTTAACATTCAGTTAAATAATTCTAACACAAGTGAAAGTGATTAAGGGCAGTACCTGCAGAATTTTTTTTTTTTTTTATAATCTCAACGTTTACTTTACATTCAGGTGGTACATGCACAAGTTTGTTACTGGGTATATTTTGTGATGCTGAGGTTTGGGATATGAATGATCCCCTCCCCCAGGTACTGAGTATAGTCCCCAGTGCATAGTTTTTCAATCCTTGCTCCCTCCCTTCCCTCCTGCCTCTAGGAGTCCACAGTGTCTATCCTTCCAGTCTTTATGTCCATAAGTACCCAATGTTGGGCTCCCACTTATAAGTGAGAACATGTGGTATTTGGCTTTCTGTTCCTCCTGCAGACATTTTTGTTTTGTTTACACAACTGATTTGCACAACAGTTCTCTGTTCTTGGCAAGAAGAAGTCCCTGTGATCTGGCCAGCAGCATCCTCAGCCTTCTACATTGAATCATCGCTTCACCTCTACCTCAACATCACATGAATTCTCAACACTTGGTAATTCCCAAGCTTATCCAGGAACTTTCATGCTTACTGATCCTCTCACTGATAAGACCTTTTCCTCCTTGCCTAATATCAAATTGCCATTCTCCTTTCAAAGACCTGTTTGGGGGTCAGTTTCTCGCAACTTGATGCTCCAACAAGTCTCCTTCAGGGCTGCTCCCTGTTCTACCACATGTCCTGCAAACGTCTACTCCACTGAGCACAACGCATTTTGAATGTGTAGTCACTCATCTGTCTCTACCACCAGAAGTCTGGTTCAGAGCCTGGTACACAAAAAGTGCCCTGTGGATATTTGTGTCAATCAATCCATGGGCCCAGGGTGACTTACTTGTAGGACAAAGCAAGGAGCTCCTGCTTTGGGACCTGAATTTATCACCTCTGCCAAGTGGGGCCTTTGCTGCTGACTTTCTGGTTTCTTCTCATTTAGACCCAAGGCATTGTCTGGTCTTTTCCTAAAGCTAGTCACCTGAGGTGGCTGCAGGCGAGCCAGAGGCATCCCATAAGCTCTGTAACTCTACAGGCTCAAGTGTCTTGCTCCTATCTGGGCATTGCAATGTCAGGACTAGAAGCAGTGCATGAAACAGGCCTCATCACTGCTTGCCAAGTGCAGATCTCAACTATGAAGTAGTTATCAATATTAATATAATTAATTAACATATGGGCACCTCTTGAAAAATTGGCAGATCTGGGACTTCACACTGCTGGGAAGAAGGGACAGCTTAGAAGAGCGTGCTCTGTGATCCCTCCTCTGGATGCTGCTCCTGACTCTCCCCCTCCATCGTCCTCTGCCCACAGGCCCATGCTAGCCTCCGGCATCTTCCAGGTACAATGATGGATGTGCCTAGATGGATGTTGGAGCAAGAACACCAACACTCCCTCAGGCTTCGCCAAAGCCACCCTAAAACTTGAATGCCTTCTGCATTCTCAAGCCACTTCACACTTGTCCCAAAAAATCTATGTGGCTGCACCCAGAACCCACCCCCTGCCAGGATCCCCATGGGCCAGCATGCCTACCACTCCACCCACTGAGCAGCCCAGGCAAGTGGTCTGCTCTCCGGAGTGTACCTCAGTAGCTGCCACTCTCGGCCTGCTAGCTTGCCACTCTTCTTTCCATTGCCTTCCCTCCCCCTGCCTTCTGGGTACCCAGACTTCCTGAGCTCTGCCCCCACTCAGCTCATATCAGTCTCGCTGTTCATCTTTCCCCAGTCCTCATTCAAGTGGAACTGAGCATCTCATTCTAAGAACCCTTTTGATTTTAGTATCTCCATAGCTTCAAAAAAGACCTGAACACCAGAACACCGCTGAGCAGCAGGGATGCTTCCCAGGGTGCTATTATCATCCCCAGTTTGCACATGGGGAAACTGAGGCAGAGAACGCTAAATAACCTCCCCAAAGTCAAATAGCTGGCAGGTGGCCAAGCTAGCACCCAGGTGATTGGCTGCTGGTATGGCAAGAATGAGGAAATAGGAGGGCTTCTCCCTGGCTCTGCTGGAAATCCCAACTTCCCCAGGAGTGTGGAGCTGAGTGGTTCCATATCTCTAACATTCTTGTCTTTGTGCATAAGGGATTTTTAGCTTCCCAGTGAGTGATCAACAAGGGAAAGTTGTGGGATACTGCTTATTGACTTCTTCCTGAAGTCAAGGTACCAAGAGGGTGACAGAACAAAGCTGAGAGCCGAGAGTAGACATTTTTCCCAAGTTACTTAGAATCCATGTCAGCAAATGCGTGCAGACTATGGAGGGGTCCACAGAAGAGCTGAGCCTCCTCCTAGCAGCCAACACCAGCTTGCCGGCGATGTGAGCGGCTGCCTTGGAAGTGGACCCCCTGCCCCAGCCCAGCCTTCAGATGATGCAGTGCCAGCTGACAGCCCAACTACAACCCCATGGGAGACCCTGAGCTAGAGGGTTCCAGCCAAGCCACATGTGGATCCTGACCCAGAGGAAGTATGTAAGATAATAAATGGTTGTTTTAAGCTGCTGAATTTTGGGGTAATTTGTTACACCAAGATAGATAACTATACTATGTATTTGCATGTATTATCTCCTATATTATGGTTTAGTCTCTTTAAAATGATGACTCAAATATATGATGTTGCCTCTAGTACAGTGGCTGAAATCTGATAGATCTTCCAGAAATGTTAATTGCATCCATGAATAACTGAATGAATTTGTGATCAACTTCAGGGCTGATTTTATTCATCAAACACTTATTCAGAACCTAATTGAAGTCAGGCATTGACCTAGGTGCTGGGGACCTGTCTGAGTTGGGGACCGCTGGGAGCCCATTCTGGGACGAGGCTCTGAGCATGCTCATAGTCATCCTACCCAAGGCTGGGGAGGCTGAGTGCTCACCTACCCACTCCCCACCAGCTTCTCTGGCTGAGGGCTGCTTCTGGAACCTCACATTCTGGCTTGCCTTGTGTGTGGTTCAAGTATACACCCAACACCAGCACACAGCATTCAGGCAAACAACCTCAGGTGTGTGTGGGAAGCAGCCTTTGGACAGGCAGGGCACCAGCAGCATCTGCTGTGGCATGAAATGTAAAACCAGGGCTCACGATACAAAAGAATTATAATTATAATGAAATGTAAAAGAGAAAGAGCCAAAGTATGTTTCTATACCTGTGGATGTGGTCACTGCCTAGTGGACTGTGGAAGGTGTCACAGGAAGTTATATTTGAAATGGTGCTGCGGAGTGAGCAAAAATTTGCTGCTGGCCGGGCACAGTGGCTCACGCCTGTAATCCCAGCACTTTGGGAGGCCGAGGCGGGTGGATCACCTGAGGGCAGGAGTCCGAGACCAGCCTGGCCAACATGGTGAAACTCTGTCCCTACTAAAAATACAAAAAAACAGCTGGGCGTGGTGGCGGGCACCTGAAATCCCAGCTACTTGGAAGGCTGAGGCAGGAGAATCGCTTGAACCCGGGAGGTGGAGGTTGCAGTGAGCCGAGATCACACCATTGCACTCCAGCCTGGGCGACAAGAACTAAACTCTGTCTCCAAAAAAAAAAAAAAAAAAAAGAAAGAAAAGAAAATTTGCTGGGAAGGCAAATGGGGAAGATGTGCGAGGATGAAAGAGCTGCACATACCAAGGCATCCAAGTGTGAGCACTTGCAGTGTATCAGGAAACGGGAAATGTCCGCCTGTACCTGGGGCCTCAGTCACACAGGAGCCAGGAACACATGAAAAGCTTGCAGCCAATACCTCATTCGCTTTGTAGGTATTTCCTGGTAGCAGAACCACAGCCACTAGCAGGCAAGCTGGACCCTCTGTGAGGATTAGAGTCTGCGCTTTTGAGGCTCCCAACCTCCCAGCATTTGAATTATCCCTAACACTCCCAACCGTGCCAGGAAGCCGCATCTTGTACCACATGAGATCCTGGCCACTCAAGTAAATTCACCCACGGGCCCGCCCCTGCTGGAGAGAGGGAGAATCGGGGTCTTCACTGTTTGTTTGTGGCTGTTGCACAACTGACACCGTTTTCTATATTTGGAGCTGTTATGGACTAAATGTTTGTGTCCCCTCAAAGTTGACTTGTTGGAGCTCTAATCCCCAATGTTATCAGGAGGGAGGACCTTTGGGAAGTGATTAGGTGAATCACTAAAGTCCTGAGAGTGGGGCTGTCAGGATAGGATTAGTGCCTTTGTAGGGAGAGACTGCTCTTGCTCTCTCTCTCTCTGCCATGTAAGATTCAGTGAGAAGGCAGAGGTCTGCATCCAAGAAGGCCCACACCAGAAGTGGACCCTGGTCCGCCCCATTCCCAACCCCTAGCCTCTAGAACTGTGAGAAATACATGTCTATTCTTTAAGCCCTCTAGTCCATGGTGTTCTGTTATGGTAGTTTGAGCAGACTAAGACAGAGACTCTGCGGAAATTCTAGTCTCGGAGAGGCAGGGGTTTGCTTTCTATGGCAGAAACCAAGAGGGTTCAGACATTCCTGCATTTAGCCCCAGAAGCCAGGTCACAGGCCGTGAACTGGGCTAGGTCCATGAGATGTGAGTCTGCAGAGAACATTAATGTGCAGGGGCAGTTTTGAGGTGACACTGATGCCTGGGGACCTGAAGCATCATCCTGGCTCCCCTGCTAGAGTGAGGACGCCTGGGGAATTGCATAATAAATGCAGACCAAGCCCACTCACAGGGGCCTTTGCAGGAATTACACTGATAGGACATGTAAAGTATTCCTGGTAGCAGTCCTCATTCAACGCATGTCCATTCTCATGGTTTCTTTCTTTTTTTTTTTTTTTTTTGAGATGGAGTCTTGCTCTGTTGCCCAGGCTGGAGTGCGGTGGCGCAATCTCTACTCACTGCAAGCTCCTCCTTCCAGGTTCACGCCATTCTCCTGCCTCAGCCTCCGGAGTAGCTGGGACTACAGGCGCCCACTACCACACCCAGCTAATTTTTTGCATTTTTAGTAGAGACAGGGTTTCACCATGTTAGCCAAGATTGTTTCGATATCCTGACCTCATGATCCGCCTGCCTCGGCCTCCCAAAGTGCTGGGATTACAGGCGTGAGCCACCACGCCAGGCCATTCTCATGGTTTCATTGTCTGCTAGTGACTTGCGGGCTTCTCAAAAGAGATCCCTTCTCTTGCATAAGGGTGAGTGGCTTTGATCTAACCCAGTTCTTCTAAACTGAAGATTTGCTTTCTCTCCATGTTGACATCCACGAGCAAATGTCACATCCCCTGATAGCCCTTCTGCCAGTGGGCACAGAAATGTCTCTTTGAGCTTCCACATTCACTGTGGGCTTCACGCTAGGTGGAGTGAATTGTTATCGCCTTACATCTATAGATGAGATCGTTTCTTATTTGGGGTTTTATAGGTACAGCAGAAGAAAATCATTGTGGGCATTATTATTGTGATTTGAAAGTCTAATGGATTTATTTATTTTGTTGATGATTTTGCCTCAGGGATTTAAAAACATGGTAATTTTATGTGTCTTTGTTTTTTTTTAACAGTTGTTTTGTTTTTACAGATTTTTTACAGGTTTTTTTTGTTTTGTTTTGTTTTACAGTTCCCATAGCAGTAAAATATTCACTCCATAGTGAATTTTTTTTATAAGTTTTCAACTGCAGGTGGAAATAGATTACATCTATTTGTACTCTAAAGTGCTGGCAATAAAGTTTACTCTCAATAATATCTTTTTTTATGTGCCTAACATTAGCTGTAAAGCATAAATGAAAGAAACTAGTAGGACATGAATCCCAAAGTTTCCAAAAAATGTAGCTCTATGTGTATACAACAGAAGTTACTTTGTAAGCTCCCTTCCACCAATGGCGGAAAGGAAATTCCAAGGAACGTAGGTCTCCCTCGCACACACATGCACACATGCACGTATGTGTGTGTCTTGTCCCAGCTGCCACCAAGTGTGGCTATTTTGGATGGCTCCTTTGTGCCATGACCTAGGGGTGGCTGGGGTTGGGTGTCTGTCCCATCATCTCCTGTCTGTCATCCCTGAGGCTGCATTGTCAGGGTGAACGTCAGTGTGTGCAGGGCGAGGCTCAGTCACCCCTTGTTCCTGGGTGCAGGGCCCCTCCAGTACAGCATCCTCCCAGCTATTTCAGGCCACTCCTAGGGGTCTGGAAGGAGCCCTCTGCAGCCTGTGGCACTCTGCGGCCAGAGGGAACATGGGAGGACTCAGGTGCCTGACTCCTGACAAGGGGGAAGTAGTTTACTGCCTCCCAGGCGACGCTGGAGTGGGAAGGAACTCTGTGATACTGTGTGTGTCCGTCAGTCCAAGTGGCAGGATAGCCAGAGCCTTCTCCACACTGGGAGAAGGGAGGGCACTCAGAGGAAGTGGGGTTAGCTCCACCTTTCCGCCCCGCCTCTCCACTGTCTCCACCCTGTCCTCGCTGCTAGGGTTCAGGCACTGGGGAGAGCCCTGCACGTTTTCCTGGATCTCCTGACTCCACTTCTTGCTTTTTCCTCTGACATTCTTTCATCCCTTCCCCAGCCCAGGAAAACATCATCTGTTTTTCAGGGTGAAGAAAACAAACTCAGTATGAAGGCATATTGTTTCTCAGGGCCCAGCTTTTGAAATTCAAAATGCTTTCCTTTCAGACTATTGCTTCAAACTTGAATCTCGAAAGTGTAATGCTGATAAAATTTAAAGTAGACTCTGAAATGCCAAGTCTCTCTCTACGCTCTACCGTGCATGTTATTTGCAGGAGGTGCTGGCTGATGCCTCAGTGGGGCAAGGCGGGACAGTTTGGACACATTGTGAAAAAGAAATCTGTTGTTTCTGGGTATCAACAATCAACATACTACCAACTGCAGAGGTAAATATTGAAATGCCATTTGGAAGGGGCTTTTTGTCTCTCTCAGATTTATTGGTAGCACTAATAACAAATAGAGTTTTGAATTGCTGAAAATCACAGGCTGAATTACTTTGAGAGACCAGGTTTCATCCTGAAGTTTTGGAGCAGCTCTCCAGCGTGGCCGGTCCTGACTGTACAGTCATGTCGGTGGCTTTAGGGGGACTTTTTTAGAAGCATGAGGCTGGGTAGGCTGGTTGGAGGGAAATGGAAGGACCTGAAGAAGTTTAGTATGAGTGTTCTCTTTGTATGGTCTCTGTTCTCTTCCTGCTGCAGAGAGGCACAGTGGAGGGCAAAGGGCTTTGCCTGGGTCCCCCTTTCTCTGGGTACCCTCCACGCAGGGCTCCCAGAGACTACTGTGGACACTGGGGGAAGACAGTGGGTTCACCTGGACCCAGTTCTTCCTAACTTCCTCACACTGCCCACATACAGCCCTTCAGCCCTCCAACTCCCTTCAAATTTAGACATCAAGATTTATCTCTTTCTTCTATTCCTTAAGAGCTAAGCTGATACAACAGTTCAACCCGAAGCATTTCCACATTGTCTCACACTGCTCTGGGCTGGGGTTGCATCTTAATCGCGGAGTGAGTGGAGCCTCCTTGCTTCACCTATGGGATGAATTTCTGTGGCAGGCGAGGGTGGGGGATATTGTGGGCTCTGCCCTCAAGCCACACACCAGAGCTGTTCTGGGCTCTCAGGCTGGCTCTCAATGGTGAAAATCACCGAGCTTCTCCCTACGGCAAGGAAAGAAGTACTCAAAGTGTATGCTGATGAGCTGGGCTGGAAGGCGCCCGGGCTCACCAGTATTTGGAGGGAACATATAGGAAGAAGAAACATGTTGGTGAAGTTGTGAAATTTAAAGTGTATCTCAAGCATTTATAATATTAAAAACATAACAAACACACACCTGGGTCCATCATGTGAATTTTCGGGGGCAGAACATCACTACCTCTGTGGTGCACTGTACCTACCTATCTTTTTAATGAGGCAGCCTCACTCACCAATCTGGTTGTTATACAGCACTCCACCCCCAATTCAGTCTTGAGGGATTTCCCTTGGTTACTTGGGCCCCAGGGCTTTTGACATCGACCCAGGATATCCTTATGGACAGTCTCCATGCTCGTTCCTATGGCAGGAAATGCCACTTTCAGAAGACCTGCTGTGCGCCACCTACCCAGAGAACCCCAGGCCATTCTGCACAGCAAGGACCCTCTGCGGAAGGACAGACAAATGCAAATCCCCAAATACAGTGCCCAGAATGAGTGCTGGACACTTTTCCTGCAGTCTCAAGGGCTAGGTGAACCGCTAGGTTCTAAACAAGACGTTGGAATTAGGAGTTTTATGTAGTCCAGAGATCTAAGCAGATGAAAAGTTCAAACATTCTCGACTGACACAACGTTAGATTTTGGAAGGGACTGCAGAGATCTTTGACCCTGACTCTCTCTCTCAGTGTTGAGAACTGGCTGCCATAACAAAATATCATAGAGTAGGGGTCTTAAAAAACAGAAATCCAGGCCAGGCACAGTGGCTTACACCTGTAATCCCAGCACTTTGGGAGGCCAAAGCGGGTGGATCACCTGAGGTCAGGAGTTTGAGACCAGCCTGGCCATTATGGTGAAACCCCATCTCTACTGAAAATACAAAAATTACCTAGGCATGGTGGTGGGCGCCTGTAATCCAAGTACTCAGGAGGCTAAGGCAGGAGAATCACTTGAACCCAGGAGGCGGAGGCTGCAGTGAGCCAAGATCGTGCCATTGCACTCCAGCCTGGGTGACAAGAGCGAAACTCTATCTCAACAACAACAACAACAACAACAACAACAACAACAAAACAAACAAACAACACAGAAATCCAGGTGCTCAACCTGGAGGCTGAAAGTCCAAGATCAAGGGTTCAGTAGGGCTGTTTTCTCCTGAGGCCTCTCCTTGGCTTGTGATGATCGCATCCTTGCTGTGTCCTCTCGCGGCCTTCTCCCTGTGCATTTGCAGCCCTGTTGTCTTTTCCTTTTCTTATAAGGACATCAGTCCTATTGTGTTAGAGCCCCACCTTATGACCTCATATAACCTTAATTAACCTCTTTAAAGGCCCTATCTCCAAATACTGTCACACTGCAGGTTAGTACTTCAACATAAGAATGTGGGGAAGGGGGCACAACTCAGGCCATAACAACTCACTCCACTGCATCATGACTTAGAACAAGACATTATTACACCATCTGCTGGGTCCAAAATAATCAAGGTCTGAGTAGAATAGATTAGACTGTGCAGGGCAAAATATCCAGGATTGAAGTCAGACACATCAGGGCAGAGGCCTGACTGTGAAACCCACTGGCTGTGACCAAGCAAGTCACTTGACTTCTCTGAGCCTCTCTTTCTTCATTTGGAAAACAGGGAGAGTAACATATATCCTGCATGGATGGGAGTGTTGGAACTAGTGTTTGGAAAGTGACTACTCAAAACAGAATGGCTATTCTTATGAGTCACCATCATTCTGATATTCCATGGGATTCCAAGGTCTAGTGAAGCCCTTGGCCCCCTTCTGAGATGCATTTTTCTGGTGAGTTGCTGCACATTGTGCTATGGAACTGTGCAACCCTGGATACAACACTAGGCTTGACACCTGAGCCACCAGCCAGACACAGGGGCCTGATTCAAGGCCTACCACCCTCTGTGAGGACTTTCCATGGGCTCCTGAATAGGTATGTGACTTCCCCTGAAGACCAGATCCCCTGCTGATCACACACCCTGTGTTTCTCCATATGTACCAATATTTTCACATAAAACTTTTCACCTTATAGTCACTTGAACAAGGCTCATTCTGTGCCTTACAGCCTGGAAAAATAAATAAATAAGTAAATAAAAGCCTTCTATCACATAACAGGGCTACATGAGGGAATTGCTCAAAGTTATAAACTACAATGTAGTTACTGTGGAGACACTTTGAAATGCTGTATTAGTCCATTCTCATGCTACTATGAAGAAATACCCAAGACTGGGTAATTTATAAAGAAAGTGGTTTAATTGACTCACAGTTCCACATGGCTGGGGATGCCTCAGGAAACTTATAATCATGGCGGAAGGCGCCTCTTCACAGGGTGGCAAGAGAGAGAATGAGTCAGCACAGGAAAGACTAGCATTTCTAAAACCATCATATCTCCTGAGAATTCACTCACTATCATAAGAACAGCATGGGGGAACCGCCCCCATAATCCAATCACTTCCCACCAGGTCTCTCCCTAAATACCTGGGGATTACAATTCAAGATGAGGTTTGGGGGGGGACACGAAGTCTAACCATATCAAATGCCTATCCCTGGAGGAATGCTCTAGGATCTAGGGTCAGGCAAAGGAGGCCAAGTAGCATCAGATGGTGGGGCAAAGTGCTGAATATGTGAAAATGGTATTCTTGGCTTTGGACCAAGGTGCGCCACCTGTTCTGTCACTACATCATCACAGCTCATGAGATACAGTCATCACAGGCTAAGAAGAGGTTGGATGTGGATAGGACCTGAGCAGCCATGTTACTTGCTCCAAAACCCTCATAGAGGCCTAAAGAGGTACAATAATTGTTCCAAAGTTACACTCTTATTTACTGGCAGTGCCAAGGCTAAACTTTAAATCTTATGACCTCTAGCCCAATATTTTTTTCCACCTTTAATCATAGATTCTTAAAAATTGTATTTTGCATGTGAATATTCAGTTGTCCCAACAACATTTGTTGAAAAGACTATTCCTCCCCCGTGGGATAGTCTTAAGACCTTTGTTGAAAGTTAGTTGACCATAGATATCTGAGTTTATTTCTACTCTCAATTCCATTGCATTGATAAATATGTATATCGTTGTGCCAGTATCACATTGTCTTAGTTACTCTTGATTTGTAGTAAGTTTGGAAATCAGGAAGTGTGACTTCTCCTACTTTATTCTCCTTTTTCAAGATTGTTTTGACTGTTCTGGTTCCTTGCAGTTCCATATGAATTTAAGAATTAGCTTATTATTTCTGCAAAATAGGCTGTTGGGATTTTGATTGGGAATGAATTGAATCTGTAGATCAGTTTGGGGAGTACCACTATTATAATAGTCAATGGGTCAAAAAGTAAATAAAAAGAAAAATTAGGAAACACTTTGATATGAATGAAAAAGAAGGCAAAGCATATCAAAAGTTATATGACACAGTAAAAGCAGTATCATATAACACAGGGAAACTTAGAGCTGCAAATGTCTATATTAAGAAAAAAGTTATCAAATCAGTAACCTAAACTTACATTTTAAGACACTGAAAAAAGAGGAGCAAGCTAAACCTAAAGCAAGCATAAGGCAGTTGTGTTAATCCATTTTGCATTGCTCTACAGAATACCTGAGGATGGGTAATTTTTTAAGAAAATTACTTGACTCACAGTTCTGCAGGCTGTGAAGTAGGACACCAGCATGGCTTCTGGTGAGCGCCTCAGGAAGCTTATAATCATGGAGGAAGCAAAGAGGAAGTAGGCACATCCCATGATGAGAGAGAGCAAGAGAGAGGAGGGAGGTCCCAGACTCTTTTTAACAATCAGATCTCCTGGTAACTCATTACCACAGGGAGGGCATCAAGCCATTTATGAGGGATCTGACCCCATGGCCCAAACACCTCCCACTAGGTCCCACCTCCAACACTGGGGGTCATTTCACATGTGAAATGTCAATCACATTTCAACACGTGATTTGCAGGGGACAACTATCCAAACCATATCAGGAGGAAATAATAAGAATTAGAGTGGAAATTAATAAAATACAGAAAAGAAAAACAATAGAGAAAATAAATGAAACCAAACCCTAATTCTTTCAAAGTATCAACAAAATTGACAAAACTTTAGCTAGATTGATCAGAATTTTTAAAAAGAGAAGACTTAAATTGATAGAATCAGAAACAAAAAAGAGGACATTACTACTGACCTTATAGAAATAAAAATGAATTACAAAAGAATATCATGAAAAAATTGTATGCCAACAAATTAGATAACATTAGTGAAATAAACAAATTTCCTGAAAGACACAAACTGCAAAAACTGACTCAAGAAGAAGTTGACAATCTTAATAGACCTATAACAAGGGAAAATATTAAATTAGTAATTAAAAATCTTCCCACAAAGAAAGCCCAGGCCCAGATGGCTTTACACTGAGCTATACATTATTATTCTTTTAAATTATACTTTAAGTTCTTGGATACATGTGCAGAACGTGCAGGTTTGTTACATAGGTATACATGTGCCATGGTGGTTTCTTGCACCTATCAACCCGTTATCTACATTAGGTATTTGTCCTAACGCTATCCCTCCCCTTGCTCCCCACCCATCAACAGGCCCCGGTGTGTGATGTTCCCCTACCTGTGTTAATGTGTTCTCATTGTTCAATTCCCACTTATAAGTGAGAACATGCAGTGTTTGGTTTTCTGTTCCTGTGTTAGTTTGTTGAGAATGATGGTTTCCAGCTTCATCCATGTCCCTGCAAAGGACATGAACTCATTCTTTTTTATGGCTGCATAGTATTCCATGGTGTATATGTACCACATTTTCTTTATCCAGTCTATCACTGATGGGCATTTGGGTTGGTTCCAAGTCTTTGCTATTGTAAATGGTGCTGCAATAAACATACGTGTGCATGTGTCTTTATAGTAGCTATCCCATACTTTGTTCAGATATCCTTAATTTTCACATAATGTTCTTTTTATATTCCAAGATCCCATTCAGGATAGCACATTATGTGCAGCTGTCATGTTTTCTTAGGCTTCTCTTGGCTGTGATTGTTAATCAGAATTTTCTTAGTTTTAAAATTAGCAGGGTGTGGTGGCAGGTGCCTGTAATCCCAGCTTCTTGGGAGGCTGAGGCAGGAGAATTGCTTGAAACCAGGAGGTAGAGGTTGCAGTAAGCAGAGATGACACACTGCACTCCAGCCTGGGTGACAGAATGAGACTGCGTCTCTCTTAGTTTTGATGACTTTGATCATTTTGAGGAGTACAAGTCAGGTATTTAGTATAAATAATGTGCTTCAACTGAAATGATTATATTGTAGTTACATGAATTTGGGAGGAAAACCACGTAGGTAACAGGTCATTCTCATCACACCATATCATATCAATTCATCACATACTGTCAAAATGACTTATCACTGTTGATATCGATGTATATCACCTGAGGTAGTGTTTGTCAGATTAATCCAGAAGTTTGAAAAAAAATTTAAGAGCCGTAAAAAGGTTATATCATTTAATAGTTCTGCTTTTAGAATTCTAAGTAAATTTTGAATGTATGAAGATTTCTATGCAGTGATGAGCAACATCATGTTACCTCTACAAATATTAGTTTGAGGGATAAATCCATAAATATTTATATATCAGTGAGTGAGTAAATAAATCATGAGACATTAGAATATTGAACAGACACTAAAATTGTGGGACAACTGTTTTTATCATATGAGAAAATGCTTGAGAATTACATTAAATAAAAGTAAATACAGTAAATAATATACAAATTTTGACCCAATTACATGTCCAGATATGAATATATTTTAAATTATTTGTCCCAAGATCTGTTATGAATATTGAATCTAAAAATTCATATTTTCCATTATTTTTACAATTATCCCTTTGAATATTGTTTCTCTTTCATTTTTGCTATTCCCCTTTTCTTCAAGTAGACATGTTAGATTTATTCATTCTGTCCTTGGTGCTTCTTAATCTTTTGTTCACTTCTTTATCTTCTTATACTGCATTTGAGTAATTTCCTGTTCCCTATCCTCCAGTTTATTATTTCTCTCTTCAATTGTGTCAAATCTGCTTTTTAAATACTAATTGAGTTTTACAGTCTTTGTCAGTTCTAATATTCCTAGGGAACTCTAATGCTATATATTGTTTCTGCTGTCTTTCATTCACTGTGGATTATTTCCTCAAATGTGGTATAACTTTGACATGTAAATTTTTCTCCTGTAAGATCTACTACATAACTGTTCTATGATTTTCTCCTGCTTAGAGATTTTGGCTATAACTGGCATGGAATCTATTTTTATATTAGTTTTTTTAGATTATGAGCTTTGGAAAGACACAGTTATTGCAAATTTGATCTCCACAAATCCATGCAATGCAAGTTCTGGCTTTGAATATGTGTGTTGAACTTTTTCTCTTACCCAGAGTCCAAGCAGAGATAGGTAAGTTTTCTGGTTGATTTTCTAAGTTAATGACTATATTTCTTTACTAAGCCACTCTTTTCTAGAGGTACAGTTCTTTTTTGGTCTACCATTCATACAGAATTCTCAGTTCTAGTACTCAAACCTGCCTCCTGTGGGGCCTAGAATTTTCTGTAATCCCCCATGCTTGACAGCTGGGGTGGGGCATTCTGGCTGGCCAAGCAGACCCAGAACATGAGCTCTCTGCTGCGGGAAACCCACCTAAATCCTTATAAGTGGTCTACTCCCAGAAAAATGTGGTCTCAACATTAGAAGAAAAAATGTGAAACCTATCTACAGCATTCTATGCTTCCTTTTTGGTTTTTAAGCTGCCTTATTGATTCTATCACACAAGGATTTCTTCTTCCTTGTTGAAAGCTCACCTATGCATTTAAAACATGTCTGTTCTATTTTATACAGTATTTACAGAGCTTTGTAAGAATTTTTAAGTTGTACAGAGCAAAATATTACTGGAATCAGAAATATTTTCTGTACCATTTAGTATATTTAATTTTAAAACTGTCTTCTGGGATAGACATTGTTTATATGTCATAGTTAAGGACAGTGAAACATTTTGCCTTTTGTCATCCAAGCTAGCATACAGCAAAGGTAGAACTGAATTCAGATCTTCTCTTTAGACTGCAGGGTTACTTCTGCTGTATCACAGATCTATATCACAGTTCTATGAAATTAAGAGAATCTTAGCATTTTTTTCAGGCTAAATACATGAGATATAGGAGATCAAATCTCCATTTATTCAACAAATATTTTCTCTGTGTCTACTTAATGCAAATATAGAGATAGAGGGATAGATAGATAGATACACTTATAGGTGAGTATATGGATACATCTATCATGAGGTATCACTTGGGGGCCAAAGAAAGGGAAGGAGATGTGTTGCCAAGGACAAACCTTTTCAGAGAGTTAGAAAAGAAAGTTAACTCCCAAGTACGTTTTGTGTAACTCTAGGCCTGTGTAGGAGAAATAGCAAGTAGATTACCTAATATTCAGTCTTCCCTGCTGGTGAAGCCAATGTGCCCAGTTAAGTAAACAACTTACTTTTCCCAGCTTCCCTTGCAGGAATAACTTGGCGACTCTATTATGGCCAAGACATTTTACATGAAGCTTGTAGGGAAACTTTATTAGAAGAGGGCTGTGGCCATTGGAATAACAGCCACCCAACCCACATCCTAATGCCTAGAACCTGAGAATGTATTACTTCATATGGTAAAAATGACTTTGCAAATGTGATTAAGGGTAAAGACCTTGATATAGGGAGGTTTTCTTGAATTATGCAGGTGGCCCCAACTAGTTACATGTGTTCTTAAAAGTGGAGAACCTTTTCTGGCTCTGTTCAAAGAGAGAGATGTGATGATGGAAGCACTCAGAAAAATGTAGTGTGAGGACTCACCCTACTGCTGGCTATGATGATGAGAGATGGGAGCCATGAGCCAAGGAATGCAGGTGGCTCTAGAAGCTAGAAATGGCAAGGAAACAGATGTTCCCCCAGGACCTCTAGAAAGAAAGGCAGCCCCTTTGTTCTATTGATTTAGCTCAATGAGATCGGTGTCAGACTTCTGACATTAAGAACTCTCAAATAATAACTTTGCATTGTTCAAAGTGACTACATTTTTGGTAAGCTATTATGGCAATAGCAGAAATCTCATACTGGGGCAGACTTTGCTGGAACATCCATTTTTGGACTTTCCCCTTCCCTTTCTTTCTGTTTGGAATATGGACAGGATGTGGCCTCTAGCTTGTGTGTGTGAGGATGAGGATGAGGATTAGGATGGGAGAGGAGACAGTCAGAAGGTACCTTGGTTCCTGCTGACTTTCTAGAGTGTAGGCTGCCTATCTCCTGACCAACCCTATTTTGTTGGTATTCTGTCACATGCATTTTAACCCACTTCACGACTCACAGCAAACCTGACTTAGAGTAGAAGACCTAGGGCTGAGTCCTGGCTGTATCATTTAGAACTTTGACCTGCATGGCCTTGGGTAAGTCATATAATCTCTTTCGGCCTCAGTTTCCTCATCTATAAAATGGAGCATCCAAAATAGCCCCCAGGAAGCTTGTGAAGATGAGATGAAGTACCTTGAGAAAGCATCCAGCACAGGACATGGCACACAGCAGGGGTTCCTCAGATGTTTCTTCGTTTTCTCTCTAAATATAACCTACACAAATTTTATTGTCACGAATCCACATCTGTAAATATTTAAGAGAGTTGGCACAGATGAATGCCTAATCCCCAGGGCAGAAGATTTGCCTTTGTTCAGCCCCAGCTCAGTTCCACTGAGTACAATATTCCAACTCCATCCTGCAGCCAGAACTCTGCAGACCCAGCACCATCATCGCTGAGGCTCACAACAACACGGGTGAGCAAGCCCAGGCTGCTGTGATGACATCAGGGGCTCTGGGATGATTGCTGGGTCAAGTTGGAGGAACACTCCCCTCCACCTCTCATGAATGTTGGGATATCATCTGAAAATTGGTGTTAGGCAAGGTCTTCCTTCGTAAGGTGATTAATCACTCCTGGAACAGTTAGTGGAGAGGATATGGCTTCTCAGTAGAAAGCTAAAAACGAGTAAGCTAGAGAGATTAAGCTCAAATGAACACGAACAAAAGCTAGAAGTATTGGTTTCCAAAACTTGGATGTCCAGGAGCACAGCTGGGTCAAGACACCCAGTAACATCCCTGGGCTCTGACTCCTGCACTGCTCACAGGTTCTTTCCATGCTGTAGAAGCTCTAGCTCCATATACACCTTCCCAACCCTAGGAGAGGAGGGCTTTTGAATAGTTTTGGTAAAAAGATAAGTTTTGAGTGGATTCTGATCATCCTGATATGGATTACATGCATATTCCTGAACCATGCTCATCATCTGGGTTGGGGCACTCTGGCTTGCCAAGCAGACCCAGAACATGAGATATCTGCTTGGGAAACCCACCTAAATCCTTATAAGTGGTCTACTCCCAGAAAAGAATGATCCTAACATCAGAAGAAGGCAGGAAAAGGTGATGGGCAGATGGAAACAAGGCATGTTCACTGGAGGGTCCTGGGAATATGAAGAGAAGTGTTCATGTCCTTTACTCTCAGATATTCTCTCCTGAGCCTTGTTTTGAAAACCCAAGGTTTTTATGCACATATTCCCCAGAGGTGGAACTAAAATGATACCACTTACAGGAGGTCACTAAGGAACTGGGATGGGAGGGAGCCACCCTTTATTAAAGAGACTTCCTGGAAATGAGGTCTACTTGGGTAGGACTTTAAGGTAAGAACAGAAAGGGTTGAGAAAGCAGTGGGTTGTCTCCCACCAGAAAAGCCAACCTTACCACCAAGGCCCTGATGGAGGCACAGTTGTCCAAGGCTCTTCACCTTCCTGATGGGCTGTCTTACTTTCGGCAAAGCTGAGAGTTTAGTCTTAACCAATCTTCGGTCATCCTTCCATACACGGTGTCCCCAGTTTCCTCATACATCAGATGGAGATGGTAATAGTGCCCACCACTCTGGGGGATTCAGAACCAAATGAGATCATAGATGTCAAGCACAAGTGCTGAGTAGACACCAAGCAAATGTGTGACATCATCCTCGTCATTGCTTCTACTGCTCCTCAGTGAGTCATTTTCTTTGTCTTCGGGCTTGAAAAGATATGCAGCACAGTTAGCACTTTAAAATAATTTGATTTATACGGATTTGAAATTGATCAATATTTTGAATTTGGGACCTAAATTTGAGGCTGTTCATCCCACTGAACCAACAAACAAAAAAGGAGATACTGTGGTCACAAGTGTGATGGATCATAATTGCAAAGGAGGCCTCGCAATGGGCCAGGGAGGTAGTAATCTCTGCAAAAAAGAAACGCTAACTTCACCTTCCAGATAAAATGGAATAACAGGAAATACATTTACTCTCATGCCTGAGACAGCCAAGAAAAAAAAACAGAAAAAATATACAAAATAACAGTTTTTAAGTCCCCAGACATTAGGCAACAAAAGACAGTGATTCCTGAGAGAGAGAAAACGGTGAACTCCACAGTTGCCTTGACATTGTCTCCACGCTATGGCATAGAAAAGTGGAACTCAGGCAGAACCCTAAAGAGTCCCTGAGTTGAAGAGACAGCTGAGATTCCAGGACAACAAGGCAGATAGCGTGCACAGAACAGAGCTGCACAGGGAGAAAACTCCAGAGATCAGCATAGAGTCCTTGTTGAGTGTTCAGCAGTACTGATCAAGGCATGCATGTGCATAAACTACCGGAGGTTGGGTGTGATGTTTCATTATATGTGTCAACTTAAATGGGCCATGGGTACCCAGATGGAACATTGTCGTGGGCGTGTCTGTGAGGGTGTTTCTGGGTGAGATTAGCATTTGGATTGGTAGAGTCAGTGAAGTAGATTGCCCTCCTCAAGGTGGGGGTGCATTATCTAATCCACTGAGGGTCCAAAAGAATAAAAGGCAGAGGAAAGAATTTGTCCCATTTTTCTTGCCTTACTGCTTGAGCTGAGACATATCATTCTGACTTCTCCTGCCCTCCCACGGGTTTACACCACTGACTCCCCCCGGTTCTCAGGCCTTTGGACTTAGACTGAATTGCACCGTCTACTTTCCCATAGGGCTCCAGCTTGCAGACTGCAGATCCTGAAACTCTTCCACCTGCATAGTCACATGAGCCAATTCCTCATAATTAGCAAATAAATATATATATTTATCTATCATGATGATATATATATAACACATATGTTAATGTTAACATTTTATATAATATATTCATGTTAATATATTATATAATTATATTAATATAATTATATATTATATTATAATCATATATTAATGTTAATATATCAATATATTAATATAATATTTATTATAATATATAGAGAGAATATATCCTATATATATCTATTTTGGTTCTGTTTCTCTGGCGAACCTGACTAATACTCTAAGAAAAGAACTCCCCAAAATTAAACAGTGCCTAGCACTCATACCAGGCCAAAATTTGTGGCCAAACTGGTAGATAATTTATGAGACCTTGTGTAAATGCTATGACTTGAAAGTATGTGTCCCTCCAAAATTCATGTGTTGGAACTGAAACCCCAAGGTGATGATATTAAGAGACTGGGCCTTAAGGTGTTAAGTCATGATGGTGTCACCTGCATGAATGGATTAGTGCTCTTATAAACGAGGTTGAAGGGAGCACCCTAGTGCCTTTGGCCCTTCCATCCCTTCTGCCTTCTGCACCATGTGAAGACACTGTGAGAAGATACCCTCACCAAACACTAAGTCAGCCAGTGCCTTGATTTTGAACTTCCCAGACTTCAGAAAATAAATTTTGTGTGAATGTTCGTGTGAAAAATGAATTTCTATTCTCTATAAATTACCCACTCTCATGTATTGTGTTACGGCTGCACAAATGGACTGAGCCACTAGAATACTCAGAAGGGTCTTGCCTCAGTAGCAGAGAATAAGTAGCCATAGACTGAACATGAGGTCCTGTATAAAAATCTTAAAAGCACATGCAAAAGGATCAAATTGCTTCGATGTAACTTAGTGGCAAACAAAGCTCAAGAATATTTACAGCAAAACAAAAAAATCCATCACTCAACAAGATAAATTAACATTGTTGGGCAACCAATGAAAAATTATCAAGCATACAAAGAAGCAGAAAATATGAGGTAACACGAGAAGAAAAAGTAACCAATCACACCAACACAGAACTGATACAAATATTAGAATTAGCATACAAGAATATTAAAATTGTTATTGCAACTCTATTCCCCATGTTCAAAAGGTTAAATAGAAATGTGATCCAAATCAGACTTGAAAAATGAAAACTACAAGAATGAGATAAAAAATATAATGCACTGAATAGCATTAAGTAGACATTGCAGAGAAACAGACTTGCGAATTTGAAGACATAGCTGTAGAAACTACCCAAGAAGGAACACAGAGAGAATTAAAACAGACTCAATACATACATGAAAAGAGCATAGGTAATCTGTATAACAAAACATTCAGAGCCCTAACGTGTGTAATCAGTGTTAATAAAAGGGGCAGGGCAGATAAATATCTGAAGAAATAATAGCCAAAAACTTTCCAAATTTGATGAAAATTATAAACCCAATTATTGAAGATACTTAACAAACTTTGTGCACAAGAAGCATGAAAAAAATCACATGAAGGCACCATAATCACCATAACCAAATTGCTCAAAATTCCTGAGAAAGAGAAACATCCAGGGGGGAAGAAAAAGATTTATTATGCACACAGGAACACAAATAGGGATGACAGCAAGTTTCTCATAAAACAAAAACCAAGACCAGCAGGAAGACAGTGGAACAATATATTTAAAGCAGTGAAAGAAAACCTTAGAATCTTATACCCAGAAAAAAAAATACGTTTCAAAATGAGAAAAAATAAAGACATTTTTAGACATGCAAAGCCAAAATAATTCATCACCATGAGGCCCACATAACAAGAAATGCTCTAGAAAGTCCATCAGGCAGAAGGAAGTTAGTATGTATCTACACACAGGAGTGAAGGGAACCAAAAATGGTAACCACCTTGGATAAATGCACAAGGTTATTTCCTTGTATTTAAATCTCTTGAAAAGATGATTGATTTTTAAACAATATATATTGATTTTTTAAACAATAATAACAATGTAATGTGGAGTTTATAAAATATGTAAAATCACATGTATGATAAGGATAGCACAAAAGCTGAGACACCTAAAAATATACTGTCGTAAGGTACTTATGCTATATTTGAAGTGAAATAACATCATTTGAGGACTGCGATAAATTAGACGTGTATACTATAAACCTTAAAAAGACCACTAAGCAACAAAATGAGGAGTTATAGCAAATAAGCCAACAGGTATTAAAATCAAATTATAAGTGATACTCATCTTACCCCAAAGCAGGCAGAAAATAGGTGAAAAGGGAAACAACATACAGAAAAGACAAATAGAAATGAATAGCAATATTTAAAGCTAGCAAGTCAATAATTACAGCAATTTTAAAGAGTTTAAAAACTTTAATTAAAAGTCAGTATTATCAGATAATCCAAGCCTCAACTGTACGTTGTCTTCAAAAAGGATAATTTTAAATATAAATCAACAAAATACATAAAAGAAAAAAACAGAAAATTATATAATGTATTAAAATTAATCTAAAGAAAGCTACAGTTGCTAGATTAATAACAGAATAAGTCAATTTTGGACTGCAGAATATTCTGACCAAAAGTAACATTAATTCACAATGATAAAGGGTTCAATTTATCAAGAGAACATAAAAATTCTAAAAATGTATACATCCACTAACAGTGTTTCAAAATATTTGAAGCAAATACTGATAAAACTGTAAGGAGAAATAAACAAATTACTAATTATAGGCAAATATTTCAATAACCCTTTCTCAATAATTAATAAAACAGGTAGACAGGAAGTCAGCAAAGATAGAGAAGACTGACAAAAATGTCAACTCACTTGACCTAGTTGACATTTATGGAACACTCCAACACTCCAACCTCCAACAACAGAATATATATTTTTTCCACATGCGACAGGACATTTACAAAGGTCAATAATATTCAGGGCCCCAAAACAAATCTTATTAAATTTAAAAGAATTTAAGTCATACAAAATATGTTCTCTAACCACAAAGCAATTAAACTAAAAATCAATAATAGAAAGAGCTCTGGAAAAATCAATTCCCAAACATTTAGAAACTAAGTAGCACACTGCTAAAGAACACAAATCAAGGAAAAACTCTAAAGGGAAATGAGAAAGTATAAATTGAATGAAAAAATGAAAATACAGCAGGTCAAATTTGTGGGCTTCCACTACAGCTAAATTAGAAAAGGAAATTGTCTCAAATCAATGACCTTAGAGTGCATTTTAGGAAACCAGGGAAAAAAAGCAAATGAAATGGAAAGTACATGGAAGAACTGAAATTATCAAAAGATAAAGGTGTCACTCAGTGAAACAGAAAAACAAAGCAATAGAAATAAGTCAATAAAATTAAAAAGTTTGGGCCGGGCGCTGTGGCTCACGCCTGTAATCCCAGCACTTTGGGAGGCCAAGGCGGGCGGATCACGAGGTCAGGAGATCGAGACCATCCTGGCTAACAGTGAAACCCCGTCTAAAATATAATTTTTTGTACTAAAAATACAAAAAATTGGCAGGGCGTGGTGGCAGGCACCTGTAGTCCCAGCTACTTGGGAGGCTGAGGCAGGAGAATGGCGTAAGTAAACCCAGGAGGCGGAGCTTGCAGTGAACCGAGATCGTGCCACTGCACTCCAGCCTGGGCGACAGAGTGAGACTCCATCTCAAAAAAAAAAAAAATAAAATAAAATAAAATAAAAATAATAAAAATAAATAAATAAAAAGTTTGTTCTTTGAGAAGCTTAATAAAGCTGTAAACCACTAGCCAGACAAATCAGGAAAACAGGGAGAAGACATAAATTACAGTGTCAGGAATGAGAGATAGAATGTCACTACAGATCTATAGATATGCAAAATAATTATGAAATATTAGAATAATTTTATATTAATAAATTTGACAAGTTAGATGAAATGGATAATATTTTTAAAATATACAAACTAGAGTGTTAAGAGGAAATTGATAATATGAATTATCTATCTACTAAAGAAACTAATATTGTACTTGACGTCCTTAAAACAAACAAAATAAACAGAAAACATCTTCCAAGGTTAAATGCCTTCACAGAGGATGGTAAACAATTCTACACAAACTCTTACAGAAAATTGAAGAAGAGGGAATATTTCCCAATTGATTCTATGAGACTAGAAGTACTCTGATGCCAAAACCGGGTGAAGACATTACAAGAAAAGAAAACTACAGATCAAGTTATTTCATAAACACAGAAAAATCTTTGAGAAAATGTGAGCGAGCCAAACTTAGCACTATATAATAGAGATTATATCCCTGGCCAATTTGGATATATCCTAGCAATGCGAGGTTGATTTAACATCTGAAAATCACTTAATTAATATACCATGTATTTCAGTCTTTTCATTCCTATGAATTTATTCCCCAAGTTAAATAAAAGCATACATCCACATAAAGAAATGAGCAGATATGTTTATAGAAGCCATATTTTTAATACCTCAAACTCAGAAACATCCCAGATTCCCCTCAACAGATGAATAGATAAACAGTCTGTGCTGTATTCATACAATGCAATACTACTCAGCCACAAAAGCAATGAACAGACGATCCATGCAGCAGCACAGATGAATCTCAAATAATTACGACAGGTGAAGGAAGCAGAATTTTATTTAAGTTCTACAAAATGCAACCAATACATAGTTATAGCAGATCAGTGGCTACCTAGGTATAGGGGCAGTGGTATTGGAGTGATTCAAAGAGGACATAAAGAAATATTGGAGAATGTCATATATTCATTATCTTGATTGTGATGATAGCTTAATAGGTGTATACTATTGATACAGGAGCAGGGCAGGGAAGTTCTGGGTAGAGAAGGGGGGACAGTCCCTGGGGAGGCCACCACCCTCAGGCCTGTCCCCACGGACCTAAGTGAGGACAGGCACTCCTGTTTTTGCGCCCAAATGTTGCATTTTCCAAGACCACTGTGGCCGCCACACACCCCATCCTGTGTCTATAAAAACTCCGAGACCCTAGCGGGCACAGACACAAGCAGCTGGGCGTTGAGAGGAACACACTGGCAGAAGAACACACCGACAGATGCCGGCAGGCCATTAACAGCACAGCGACACGGTCACGGAGGGAAATTCAGCCCAGGGAGGTCAGAGGAAAGCCCGGCCATGGAGCGGCTGGACTCCAGGGAAAGACCACCTTCCCACTCCATCCCCCTTCTGTCTACTCATCCGTCTGCTGAGAGCTACCTTAACCACTCAATAAAACCTTGCACTCGTTCTTCAAGCCCACATGTGATCTGATTTTTCTGATACACTAGGGCAAGAACCTGGGATACAGAAAGCTCTCTATCTTGCGATAAGGCAGAGGGTCTAATTGATCTGATTAACACAAGCTGCCTGCGGACGACTAAGCTGAAAGAGCACATTGTAACACACATCAACTGGGGCTTCGGGAGCTGTGAACACTCAACCCCAGAGGCTGCTGTGGGATCAGAGCCCCAGCTCCCCGCGACCTGCCTGTCTGCATGCTCCCCCTAGGGGTTTGAGCTGCCCTGCGAGGGGGGATAAGGGAAAACTCCTACCGTTTCACTATATTAAAACTTACCAAACTGTACATATTAAATGTTGTGTACACTATTGCACTTCAACTATATTGCGATAAAGCTATTTTATAAAGAAAATAATAAAAACAAATTTTAAAAAGAAGCTATAAACCATTTGAATCAGAAGCTAAAAATAAACTATAGAAAAATGGCTTCTGCTTCTACTTAGGATATAGAAAGTCAGCACAGATATAAAAAGTACAAGGCGAGAAACCAAACAACCTACAAAACCATAGAGCGCTAAGAATGCGAAGAAACTTAAATAAATGAAAATCCAGATATTGGCAAGCCCCTCTTAAGAAACAGGAGACACAATATTGTTAAGGTTTAATATTGTTAATGTGTCAAATATCCCTAAATTGATATATAGATTAATGATTCCAGAAATCTTTTAAAAAGAAATTGACTAGATAATATTCAAATTTATATAAAAATGCAATGGCCTTTTATAAAAATAAACAAGAAAAATAACCAAAATGAAAAAAAATTGGAGGCCTTACTCCACCTGATGTCAAGACATCATATAATGCAACAGTAATCAAGACAGTGCAGTATTGGCATGGAGACAGACTAATAGATAAATGTACAGAACAGAGAGGCTAGATTTCATTTTGACAACAGTTTCAAGTCAGTTTCATTAAAGAGTGTTGAAACAATAGGAGAGCCATTTGCAATAAAACAAACATCAACCATTACTTCAAAACATAAACACAACTCCCAAATGAATAAAAAACCTAAGCTGAAACCTAAAACTATAAAATTTGTTAAAAAAAAAAAACAACAGTAGAAAAGCTATGTGACCTTCGGGGTACGAAATGATTTCTTAGATAGAACACAACAATGGTAAATTATTTTTAAAAATTGAATTTTATCAAAATAAAAAATTGCCATACAAAGGTAACCATTAAGAAACTTTAACAACAGAAAAAAAGCAAGCTATAACCTGAAAGAAAATATTTACAACAAACATATCAGACAAATGATTTGTATTCAGAAGAAAGAGTTCTTACAAAACAAAAACTAAAGACAAGCTAATATTAAGTGAGGAAAATATCTGAATAAGCATTCACACAAAAGAAATATAAATAGCCAACAAGTACATGAAAATATGCTCAACGGTATTAGTCTTCAGGGAAATCAAATTAAAATCACAATAAGATACCATCCATGCCCATTGTAATCACCAAAGTATTAAAAAATCTTTGACAGTACCAAGAGTTAGCAAGAATATAAACAAATTGGCATGCTCTTTGGAAAACAATCTGATAGTTTCCTAAAAATTAAACATACACTTACCATATAAGTCAATGTTCCGGTTATTTATCCAAAAGAAACGAAAACATATGGCCACACGAAGACTTGTAGACATGTACATAGCAGCTTTATTTATAACGGCCAACCGCTGGAATCAAGTCAAATGACTATCAACAAGTGAATGGATTTATAAATTGTGGTATATCTATACAATGGAATACTACTCAGCAACTCACACAACAACTGAATGAATCTCAGAACAATTATGCTGAGTGGAAAAGCAAGGTAAAAGTGCATATTGTGTGATTACATTTATATAACTTCTGGAAAATGCAAACTAACATGTAGTGACTGAATGAGATCATGGTTGCTTTGGGATAGCGGTGGAGAGAGAATTTTGGGTAAAATGGAAATGTTTGTTATCCTGTTTGTGGTAATGGCTTTATAGGCATATATGCAAGTCAAAACTGATCAAACAGATCCCTTCAGGTATGTTCACTTTAGTGTACTTCAATTATTCTTCAATAAAAAATTCTACTAATAAAAATAACACAGAAAGCCCCCAATGGTCAAGCCTAGAACAACTTGAGAAACAAAATAAACAAAGTAGTTTTAGATTATAACCCTAAGTTTAAAATAAATATCCATATATCCATACAGACATAGATAAATGATTAAATAAGTTAATGGGAAAGAAGAGAAATATATTATGTGCAGAAGAATTTCAAACAGCTTAGGTAGATACTTTACCCATTAGGAGGTAGAGTATAACGCCTTACTCCCTAAGTGTGGGCTGTGCATAGTAAATTTCTTCCAAAGAATAAAGTATGGAGAAGTTAAAAAAAAAAAGTAAATTTACAATGGACAGCCTGGGCACGGTGGCTCACGCCTGTAATCCCAGCACTTTGGGAGGCTGAGACGGGCAGATCACGAGGTCAGGAGATTGAGACCAACCTGGCTAACACGGTGACACCCCGTCTCTACTAAAAACACACAAAAAAATTAGCTGGGCATGGTGGCGGGCGCCTGTAGTCCCAGCTACTTGGGAGGCTGAGCAAGGAGAATGGTGTGAACCTGGAGGCAGAGCTTGCAGTGAGCTGAGATGGCGCCACTGCCCTCCAGCCTGGGTGATAGAGTGAGACTCCGTCTCAAAAAAAAAAAAAAAAAAAAAGTAAATTAACAATGGAGAAACCTATCAAACATTATCTCCAAGTGATTAAGGTCAACATCAACAGTGATAAATTGTGTTGAATGTACCCTTGATCTATCTAGCAAGATAGATCAAGAACAAAACAAAACAAAACAAAACAAAACAAAACAAAAATTTACAGCCTGGGCAACATGGTGAAGCCCTGTCTCTACAAAAGATTAAAAATATTAGCCAGACATGCTGGTATGTCCCTGCAGTCCCAGCTACTTGGGAGGCTGACATGGGAGAATTGCTTGAGAACAGGTGGTCGAGGTTGCAGTGAGCCAAGATCATACCACCACACTCCAGCCTGGGTGACAGAATGAGATTTTGCCTAAAAAAAAAAAAAATAAAAATTACTAATGCTAATATCACTAACAGAAAAAATGCAACATCACTACAGGTCCTATGGACATAAGATAATAAGAAAACATAATAAACTTTTTTTTGCAAATAAATTAAAAAACAAAGATGAAATTCTTTGTAAAGTACAGCTGAACAAAATGGACACAGCAATATATTAATATATAAAGTCTGCATGTATCTGTTAAAGAAATGGGATACTTAAATAAAGACGATGAAGTATTCACAAAGTCATTGAGAGAATAGATGAGGCTAGTATAACCCTGACATAAAACCAAGCAGGGACATTGCAAGAAATGAAAATTAGATACAAAATACAATGAAGAATGACAAAAAATCCTTAATAAAACCTTAAGAAATCAACCCTATCAAATATAAAAATACATCATGAACATGTGGGGTGTACCCAGGAATGCATTATTGGTTTATCTATTAAAAAATCAATGTATTTCACTACATTAACAGATTAAAGGAAGAAAACATCATAAATCATCATAATAGATACAGAGAAAGCATTTGACAGTAATTTGCACCTATTCATAGTATAATATTATCAGCAAAGTAAAAACAGAAGAAAAATTCCCCAATTTAATAAAGGATCTCTAGAAAAAACCTACAGCTAACATATGCAATGGTGAGAAAACAAATGGTGCCTTCATAAAAGCTGAAACCAGGCAAAATATATGCTTACCACTTCATCTTCATATTGTACTAGATGTCCTAGCCAGTACATTAAGACATGAAAAAGAAATAACAGCATAAATACTGGAAATAAGAAAAGTAAACATGCCTTGACTCACAGATGACATGATTACTTATGTATTAATAGAAAATCCTAAGAGATCCACAACAAGAAAAAAAAATCAATTAATGAGTAAATTTAGCAAGGTGGCAATACACAAAGTCAATATATGAAATTGAGTGTATTTTTTCATCCTACCAAAAATAATTTGAAAAATTAGCATTTATATACCACTTACAATAGTTAAGGATAGTTAAATACTTAAGGATAAATTTAATAAAATATGTGTAAGACCTGTAAACTGAAAACTATATAACACTTTTAGGGAAATTAAAGAAGACGTCAATACATGTATTATGTATATATCATGTTAATGGGTTGGAGGATTCAATATGTTTAGGATTACAATATATTTAGTATGTTCAAAGTGATCTATAGAATCAAAGATGGTGCCAATAAAAATCCCAGCAGATATTTTAGTAGAAATGAACAAGCTGATTCTAAAATGTACAGAAATACAAAGATTAAGGATGAGTAAAAATATATCTTGAATAAGAAAAAAGAATGTTCCATAGTGTTGAAAATGTTTTACATCTTGATAGGGGTACGGGTTATATGCATGTGTGCATTTGACAAAACTCATTGAATCATAAATTTATGATCTGTATTTGTACTGTAAACAAATGGCATCACAAAAAGAAATAACAAAAAATAAGTCCTCAGATAGTTTAATAAGCACATTACATAAAATGTTCAATAAGTATTAATTTCCATCTTGTTCACATTACCTCCCAAGGTAATATGAGCAAGGCCTCATCTCCAAATACCAGAGAAACAGAGGCCATTCTTCCTGGAGTAGACATGGATGCAATGCTAATATCTCCTTTCAGGCACAGGTGGACTGCAGGTTCGATTCCCTTGGAAATTAGGCCAAATTCAGCTAGCTCGCCAGCCAGTGGCCATCTCACAGATGGGGAGCAAAAGCAATATGCAACCCAACCTCACTCAGTTTCCTCTTTCTCATCTCTTGTCAAACCCAACTGGAAGCCAGAGAAGAAGGGAGGCTTTTGATGCAGATTGTCCTCCCACGGCCCAGAGCAGGGTGGAGAAAGGTAGAGAGACAGAGGAGTGAAGTGCAAAAAGGCAATTTGTCACTTCAGGCCACAGGTCTCTAGTCAAAGGAGAGCCACATCTGGACTTGATGAAAAGGTGTACTCTTCTGTGCATAGAAAGAAGACAGAACTGAGTATTTGGTGACAGAAGGGCAGATGGTGATAGTCATCAGGGAAGTTCGCCTGGTAAGAAGTCACAGCTGTCTGACTTGGTTTGGCCAATAGAATGTGAGTGGAAATGGCCTTGAGCCATTGCGAGGTTCATGATGCTCTCTTCTGCCTTCTGCAGCAGTGGTGGAGATGTGTAGAAAGGAACTCATGTGGGCCCTGAGTGCCTATGAGGAGCATAGATGCTCCTAGTGATCAGTGATGGATATGTAACAAGAGCCAGAAATATACGTTTGTTTTGTTTTGTTTTTAACTATCTGAGGTTTTCAGTCTCTTTTGTTGTGCCTTATAACCTAACCTATCCTGACCGATATCTTCCCTAACTCATTTTATGCATCTAGTATGACTTTGATACCAAAAGCAGAGAAGAAGATCATGAGAAAGAACCATAGGCCAATCTTATTTACAAATATAAATGCTATTATCCTAAGGAGAACATTAGTAAAGAAGGTATAAAATAGTATGCATTAGCATTAGAAAATAGTATGCAATAACATTATAAAAATTATTAAATATTAAAGGAGAAAAACTATTTCAGTGAATGCAGAGAAAGTATTTTTAAAATTGTCAACACCAGAAAACATATCAGTAGTGTTCTGGGGACAGGATGGGGGAAGAGTAGGGAGAAGCTGGAGGAAGGAATGACTTAGGGGTACAGGGAAACTTAGGGGGCGATGGAAATGTTCATTGCCTGGATTGTGGTGATGGTTTCTTGAGTGTACATGTATGTCAAAATCCATCAATCTGTACATTTTAAGTATGTTTGGTTTATCGCATGTCAATTATACAGTAAAACTTGTTTTTTTTGTTTGTTTGTTTTGTTTTGTTTTTTGAGACAGTCTTGCTCTGTCGCGCAGGCTGGAGTGCAGTGGCATGATCTCGGCTCACCGCAACCTCCACCTCCCAGGTTCAAGTGATTCTCCTGCCTAAGCCTCCTGAATAGCTGGGACTACAGGTGCCTGCCACCATCTCTGGTTAATTTTTGCATTTTTAGTGGAGGCAGGGATTCACCATGTTAGCCAGGCTGGTCTCAAACTCCTGACTTCAAGTGATCCACCCACCCCGGCCTCCCAAAGTGTCGGGATTACAGGTGTGAGCCACTGGCCCAGCCAGTAAAACTGTTTTTAAAGGTCAATGTGCATGCATGATACTCTTAGTAAGAAAGAAATGGAAGGGATTTACATCAAGCTGCAACCATCTTTATTTTTCCTTTTCTTCCTTTCACTTCTTCACATAGTTTCTGAAACCGCACTGGGCTATTCTTTCTTGATGGCTTGTCTCCATTCTTTCTGACATTGGTATTTGGGATACGATAAGTATATTTGGTTTATTTTATTAGTTGCTCTCTCTTTACCTGGGGATTTAGGGAGGTTCCAAATCGATACTGCTGGCTTCTTCTCAGACTCTTCTATTCAGCTGGTGATTTTCATCGGGGGCACAGTATCAGTATTATTTAATGTAGTTCATCACTGATGACTTCCTTAAAATACTGCTCCTTAACCATACTTTCTTTTTATCAAGGAGTCAAAGACAAACCTGTCAGTGTCATCTATGCATGACCTCTTTTGCTATGAAGACAACTGAAATGCAGTCATGTCTCCAGCCCTCCCAACACATTGAAGATGATGAGAAAATGTCTTGTCCTCTCACCCCTAGATTTCACCCCCATGAAACTATTTATTTCCATTCCATGTGTAGCAGGTTAAACTGTCCCTCCTCTCCTGCTAAGAGATATGTCCAAGTCCTACCCTTCAGTACCTGTGAATATCACCTTTTTGGGAGTAGGGTCTTTGCCCATAAAATTATGTTATAGTTTTTGAGATTAAAATCATCTGGATGACCTGGGATAGGTCCCTAATCTGATGGCCAGTGTTCTTGTAAGAGAAAGAAAAGGAAAGAACACAGAGAGAAAGGATGAAAGGGTGGGCACAGAGATTAGAATGATGCATCTAGATGCTAAGCATATTTAGTCCTCTCTGGCTGCCATAACAAAATATCACAGAATGGGTAGCTTAAACAACTGAAGTTTATTTTCTCAGAGTTCTGGAGGCTGGAAGTCCTAGATCACGGTGCCAACATAGGTTCTGCCGAGGGCTCTTTCTGGCTTCTACACAGCTGCCTTCTCACTGTGTGCTCACATGGCCTTTCCTTGGTGTGTGCAGAGACAGAGAGAGAGAGAGAGAGAGAGAGAGAGAGAGAGAGAGAGAGAGAGAGAGAGACAGAGAGAAAGATATCAAGTGTTCTGGAGGCTCTTGTTTCAGCAGCGTTAATCCCACCAGACCAAGGCCTCACTCTCATGACCTAATCGATTCCAAAGGTCTCATCTTCAAATACCATCACATTTGGGGCTAGGGTTCAACATATGCATTTTTTGGGAAAACAAACATTCCATCCATAACACCAAAGAATGCCCAAGACTGCCAGCAGCCACAAAAACCTAGGAGAGAGGCATGGAATGGATGCTCTCTTAGAATCTCCAGAAAAGGTCAACCTTCTTGATTCTGGACTTCTGGCCTCCAGAACTGAAAAAATAAATATCTGTTGTTTTAAGCCACCTAATATTTGGTACTTTATTATGGCAGTCTTAGAAAGCTAATACATTTTTCACAGTCTATTGCAATATGCTCGCCATAATTAATGAATTTCATTGAAAATGATCATAATTTTGCATATACTTGGAAAAGTTATAATTTTTTAAAGTCACAGTCCCCATTTCACTTATTCATTTCATGATGTAGTACACGTGATACATAAATACATTTTATGTAGTACACAAAATAATATTCCTTGACTATACTTCCTACCACTGCACAGATTTCATCATCATTATATCCCAAGGCTTGCTAGTAGATAGAAAATTGTATTTCAAAAGGGGAAGGGACATGTAAAAATATTTTCGCAAATAAGTACATTCAGCCTTCAACAAATGTTTTGTGGTTTTTCATTTTGTTATTTTTTTTTTATTTTTTAGAGTCAGAGTCTCACTCTGTCACCCAAGCTGGAATGCAATGGTGCAATCACAGCTCACCATAGCCTTGAACACCTGGGTTAAGCGATCCAACTGCTTCAGCCTCCCAGAACTAATAGGGATCTCCAACCTCAAATGGTATCTACAGAAGCCTTCAGCTAACCACATACTTAATGATGAAAGGTTGAATTTGTGCCCCTAAGGCCAGAAACAAGGCAAGAATGTCTACGCCCATCTCTTCTCTTCATTCTTTCATTAGAAGTTTTAGCCAGTGTAATTAAGCAAGAAAAATAAATAAATGGCATATGGATGGGTAAAAAGAAGAAAACAGCTTTCATTCACTGAACACAAGGTTATCTACACAGAAAAATCCAATGGAGTGTATGAAAAAGCTCCTAGAACTAATAAGGTTGCAGAATATAAGGTCAGCAGACAATAATCAATCATATTTATATATACTAGTAATGAATGGTAGAAATGGAAAAAAATTTTTAATTGACTACATCTACAAAGGAAATAGAAATAAATCTACCTAACCATGTACAGAATCTGAATGTTTAATTATAAAACATTAACGAGAAAAATCAAAGAAAACCTAAATAAATGGAGAGACCTATACCATGTATACTTGTTGGGAGACCCTATATAATTAAGATATTAATGGCTGGGCATGGTGGATCACACCTGTAATCCCACTATTTTGGGAGGCAGAGGCGGGCAGATCACCTGAGGTCAGGAATTCAAGACCAGCCTGGCCAACATGGTAAAACCCCATCTCTACTAAAAATACAAAAATTAGCCAGGTGTGGTGGTGCACACCTGTAATCTCAGCTACTCAGGAGGCTGAGGCAGGAGAATCGCTTGAACCCGGGAGGCAGAGGTTGCAGTGAGCCAAGATCCCACCACTACACTCCAGCCTGGAAGACAGAGTGAGCCTCCCTCTCAAAAAAAAAAAAAAGAAAAAAAAAAAGAAAAAAAAAAGTCTTCATTTTCCCCAAAGTGAGCCACAGATCTAAATCTATTTTCATCAAAACCCTGGAAAGAGTTTTTATAGGTACACATAGGCTTGATTCTAAGTTATTCAGAAAGGCAAAGGAACTAGCCCAGCCACATTTTTTTGAAAAGGAACAAACTGGAGTACTCACAATATCTGATTTAAAAAATCAATAAAAACCACAGTAGTCAAGACAGCATGCAGTTGCTGAAGGGATAGACAAATACATCAATACAACACAAAACAAAATCCAGCAACAAACCCAACAGACCCACATGATTGATTTTTGACAACTGAACAAAGTGCAAATATTACTAAATGCACAAAGGATAGCTTTTTCAACAAATGGTGCTAGAAATCTAGATATCTGCATGACCCCAAAAATGTTCCTGGACCCAATCCTCACACCTAATATAAAAATTAACTCAAAATGGGTTAGAGATATACATGTAAATTGCAAAACTATACAGTTTTTCAAAGAAAACACAGAAGATGTTTGTTGCCTGGAATTAAGCAAAGAGTACTTAGATGTGTCACCGAAAGCACAAGCCACATAATTTTTTTAAATTCTAAATTGGACTTCATAAAAATGCAAAATGTTTGCTGTGAAAGAAAACTTCTCTTAATATGATGAAAAGTCAAGCTAAAGAGCTGAAGAAAATGTTTGTAAATCACATATCTGATAACTGACTTATATAAAGAATATGTGTAAAGAACCCCAAAACTCAACAGTAAGAATATTTTAAAATCCCATCAAAATGGAAAAAAAATTACTTGAACAGAAAGTTAATGAAAAAGAATACAAGAATGGTGAATCCATCCATAAAAAGAGGCTCCATATCATAAGCTATTAGGAAATTGCATATTAAAACCACAAGAAAAGTGAGAATTATGGTTTGGGCTCTGACTGTAAAGAGCTTGGATGTTGTTGCAGCTGTCTTTACAATCAGAGAAACTGGAAAAATGGGAAAACAATGACTTTTTTTGGACCCATCAGAGAATTGAGTTGTAGGACAAATTGTCATCCAGAAATCTGAAGAGACAGGTGAAACCAGACAGTCACAGCTGAAATCTGCTTACCTGAAGAAGCTGCTAGGGCTATAAACTGATAGGAACACTTAAATGGTAATTTTGACAAATTACTGGAGTCTGGGCATGGACTAGCTTGAGAGTGAGAAACGCCTGGTGGCTCAGTCTCGGGAGGGCCCTCATACCTTCAGGAACATGACCTCCATCAACATCACCAGGTTTCACAGTGGCAAGCCAAAGAAGAGTCCCTCCTGGCTCTGGAAGAAAGAGGAAAAAAGCAATCCTTGTGAAGTGTATCCAGAGCATTCTCCATGTGACAGGGTTACTCTTAATGGGAAAAAACCTTTATCAGCATCTTTTCCCAGAGCTGTGGAAAAGGAAATTCCTCTCAACCCAGCCCCACAGCCTGGATGTCTCTGTCTCACCTAAGGGGGCAGCGGGAAGGAGGAATGCTGGGCCAGAAGAAACACTTATGAGAGTCACAGGCCCACTAACAGGCTGAGACAGGGACACAGGCTCACTAACAGATTGAGATTTCACTGGAAGATTATACAACACTTCCCCTTACCCATACCTTACCACCACACCAACAGGGCCCCACTGTAATCACAATGGCTTACAAATAAAGAACTATACAACACAGACTGTCTCTAAGGAGGAGTACACAGGGAGGCCCAAATTCAAGAGAGGAGACAGAAACAAGGACACTAGAGCAATGTGAAGCCTCTGATCCTTACAGCCACACCAGACCTTAAACATACATACCTATGTTTAAATATTAATATATGTGTGTATTATATATATATGTGTGTGTGTATGTGTATTTATGTATGTGTGTATTATATATACCTCTTTGGTGAACACTGGCTGATACAGGCTGTAATGGAAAAAAGTAGACAACCTGCAGCTGAGCACCATGGCTCATGCTTGTAATCTCAGCACTTTAGGAGGCTGAGGTGGGTAGATCACCTGAGGTCAGGAGTTTGAAACCAGCCTGGCCAACATGGCAAAATCCCATCTCTACTAAAAATACAAAAATTAACTGGGCTTAGTGGTGTGCACCTGTAATCCTAGCTACTCAGGAGGCTGACAGGAGAATGGCTTGAACCCAGGAGGCAGAGGTTGCAGTGAGCCGAGATCATGCCATCGCACTCCTGCCTGCATGACAGAGCAAGACTCCATCTCAAAAAAATAAAAAATAAAAAATAAATGAATAAATAAAAATAAATAAATTTTTTTAAAAAGTAGACAACCTGCAAGAATACATGGGTAATGTAAGCAGAAAGATGTAAATTCTAAGAAAAAAAATGCTAAAAATCAAAAGCACTGTGACAGACAATGAAGGATGCCTTTGATGGGCTTGTCACACAACTTGACATGGCTGAGGAAGAGAATCAGTGAGCTTGAATATAGGTCCACAGAAACTTCCCAAACTGAAATGGGAAAATAATAATAAATGGAAAAAGAAGTACAGACATCCAAGATCTGTGGATAACTTCAACAGTTTTAACATATGTGTAATTATTTGACCAAAATAGAAGAGAGAACATAGTAGAATAAATGTTTGAAGTAATAATAGCTGAGAACGTTCCAACATGAATGACAGACACCAAGCTGTAAAGCTGTGTAGGTCAGACAAAAACAAACAGGATTAAAGAAACAAAAAATGAAACTAGGCATATAATTTTCAAACTGCAGAATACCGAAGCAAAAACCAACAAAAAAAAGGACAGAAAAAGTGAAAATCTTGAAAAAAGCTGAATTGGGGGTATGAGTGCAGTGGCTTGCCTATAGAAAAATAGGACAAGAAACACAGGGAATTTCTCATCAGAAACCATCCAAGCAAGTAAAGAGTGGAGTGAGATATTTAAAGGTTTGAAAGACAAAAAATAACCAACTAAGAATCTATATCTAGAAAAATTATTCTTAAAAAATGAAGGAGAGGCCGGGCACGGGGGCTCACGCCTGTAATCCCAGCACTTTGGGAGGCCGAGGCAGGCGCATTTTGAGGTCAGGAGATTGAGACCATCCTGGCTGACACGGTGAAACCCCGTCTCTACTAAAAATACAAAAAATTAGCCGGGCGTGGTGGCGGGCGCCTGTAGTCCCAGCTACTTGGGAGGCTGAGGCAGGAGAATGACGTGAACCCGGGAGGCGGAGCTTGCAGTGAGCCGAGGTCGCGCCACTGCACTCCAGCCTGGGCGACAGAGCGAGACTCTGTCTCAAAAAAAAAAAAAAAAAAAAGAAGAAGAAAAATAGGGACTTACTTGCTGAGGTAATTCACCATCAGACCTGTCCTTCAAGAAATGTTAAAAGATTTTCTCCAGACAGAAGGAAGATGATGTAGGTCAGAAACTTGGATCTATATTAAGAAAGGAAGTGTTGGAGAAGCAATAAATGGAGGTAAAATGAAATCTTTTATTTTTATTTTCATTAATAATTTAAAGGATAACTTCTTATTTAAAGCAAAAATAGTAACAGGTCATTGTAGCATATGGATAAGAGAAAAGACTAACAGCAATGCTACGAGGAATGGGAGGGAGGATTGGGAACACACTCTTATAAGATATCTACGTTACATGTGAAACAATACCATGATTTGAAGGTGAACACACATTAGTAAAAGAAGAAAATCTATATTAGAAACTCTAGGCTGGACATGATGGCTCAGACCTGTAATCCCAGCACTTTGGGAGGCCAAGGCAGGCAGATTGCTTGAGCTAACGAGCTTGAGACCAGCCTGGACAACATGGTGAAATCCTGTCTCTACAAAAATTGCAAAGATTAGCTGGGCATGGTAAGCTACTCAGGGGGCTAAGCTGGGAGGATGGCTTGAACCCAGGAGGCAGAGGATGCAGTGAGCCGAGATGGCACCACCGCACTCCAGCCTAGGCGATAGAGCCAGACTTTGTCTTAAAAAAAAAGCAAAGCAAAGAAAAAAGAAACTCTAGAATGGCCACTAAAAAATTCTTTAAAAAGTATAATTGATACTCTTTAAGAGAAGATAAAATAGAACCACACAAAATGCTCAATTAAAATCAGAGAAGGCAGAAAAAGCCGCCACTGGCAACCAGTAGGAAACAGTTACAAATATGATTGATATTCATCCAAATAGATCAACAATTGTGTTAAATGTGAATGGTCTAAATACACCAATTAAAAGACACAGATTGCTAGAGTAGATAACAAAACAAGACCCCACTATATCTTGTTGACATTAAATATAAAGTATCTGTTTGGTTAAAAGTAAAGGGATGAAGAAAGATATACCATGTTAACCCTGATCAAAAGAAAACTGGAGTAGCTGCATTAATTTCAGATAAAAGGGACTTGAGAAAAAGGAAAATTATCAGGGATGTGAGGGGAGGGATAGGTAAGAAACTCATAATCATAAAGGGGCTAATTCTCCAAGAATACATAATAACCCTAAATATGCATGTGCCTAAGAATAAAATGTCAAAATAAGTGAGGAAAAAATGATAAACCTGAAAGAAAAAATGGTCCAATCCACTATCATAGGATACTTCAACATTTCTCTATCCATGATTGATAAGATCAGATAGGCAAAAAATCGGTGAGGATATAATTGACCTAAACAGCATTATCAACTTTATTTAATTGATATTTGTAGATCTAGCAATAGCACAATACACATTCTTCTCAAGCTGGCATGGAATAATCACCAACATTGGCCACATTCTGATCTATAAAACACACCTTATCAAATTAAAGAAAAATAGAAATTAAACAAAGTATGTCTTCATACCACAATGGAAGTAACCTAGAAATCAAGAACAGAATGATAGCTGGAAAGTCCCAAATTATTGGAAACTAAACAACACATTTTTAAAAAACATTTGGGTCAAAGAGGAATCTCAAGAATAACTAAAAACATTGATCTAAATAAAAATTAAAGTACAACTTTTCTAAATTTGTGGGATGCAGTAAAAGCGGGGATATTTATAGCAGTAAATGTATACATTTGAAAAGAAGAAAAATCTAAAATCAACAACCTAAATTGTCACCTTGGATAATAGAGAAAGAAGAGCAATTTAAGCCTAAAACAAGCAGAACAAAGAGGAATAATAAAAATTAGAGAATGAAATTGAAAATAGAAAACAATAGAAAAAAATCAACAAAACAAAGAAAAAGCTGAAAAGATGATTAAAATTAATAAACCTGTCCAGGTTAACCAAGAAAAAAAGACATTGGGCATAGTTTGCCAATATCAAAAAATGAAAGAGGCGTCATCTCTACTAATTTCATAGATGTTAAAAGAATAATAAAGGTTTATGATGAACAACTTTACACCCACAAGTTTGAATATTAGATAAAAAGGACCGATTCCTTGAATGATACAACTACATTTTACAGAAAAGCAAACAGATCACCTAATAGCTCTGTATCCACAAAGAATCAATAATTAATGAAGTCTCAAAAAAATCACCAGATTCAGATGGTTTCACCAGGGAATTTTACCAAACATTTATGGAAGAATTGATATAGGTTCTTTACAATTTCTTACAGAAAATACAAGTAAATATTACTTCTTAACTCATTTTATGAGGCCAGCATTACCGGCATACCAAAATAAATTAAAGACATTACAAAAAAGAAAACTATAGCCAAATATTTCTCATGAACATAGATGCAAAAGTCTTCAACAAAATATTAGCATATTGAATACAATGGTGTATAAAAACAATTATATACCATGCCCAAGTAGAATTTGACCCAAGTATGCAAGACCGGTTCCTTGAAAATCAATTGAAAATCAATGTAACCCATCATATCAACAAGCTAAAGAAAATAAAATCACATGACCGTATCAATAGATGCAGAAAACGAATTTGGCAAAATCCAACATTCATTCATGATAAAAACTCTGCAAACTAGGAATAGAGAGAACTTCCTAATCTTGATAAAGAAGAACTAAAAAAATCCTACTGCTAACATCATATTTAGTGGTAAGAAACTGGATACTTCCCCTAAATTCAGGACAGGACTGTTTAAGAGAATGAAAAGACAAGCTTCCACTGGAAGAAAATACCTGCAAAACACGTATCAGATAAAGTACTTCTATCCAAAATACACAAAGAACTCTTAAAACTCAACCATAAGAAAACAACCTTTTTTTTTTAATGGGCAAAAGATGTGAACAAACATCTCACCAAAGAAGATATACAGGTGCATATGAAAAGTTGCTCCACATAATTTTTCAGTAGAAAATTGAAAATTAACAACGATATAGCACTATATGCCTACTAGAATGTCTAAAATTATAGATGATAGACGGATGGATGGATGGATGGACAGATAGATAGATAAAGATAGCCAATATCAAGTGCTGGTGAGGATGAAGGAAAGGGATTCATATTTGCTGACAGTTATAAAAATGCTATAGCCACTCTAGAAAACTGTTTGGTTCTTATAAAGTTAAACAAATTTACCATAAGATCTAGCAATTGCACTCCTAGATATTTAGTCAACTAATTTAAAAAATTTGTCCGTACAAAACGCTGCATGCAAATGTTTATAGAATGTTTATTCACAGTCGCCAAAAACTGGAAACCACGCAAATATTCTCCAGTGGGTGACTAAACAAAATGTGGTACAAATAATGAGACTCCCCTCAACAATAAAAAGGACTATTACTATACACAATAACATGGATGAATCTCCAAGGTATAATGATGAGGGAATAAAGTCAGTTTCAAAATGTTACATATTGCGTAATTCCATGTATACGACACACTCACAAAGACAAAACCGTAGCAATGGAGAACCTATCAGTGGTTACCAAAAGTTAGGGTTGGCGGGGGCGCTGTTATAAAAGGGCAGAACTAGGGAGCTCTTTATTGCGCTAGTGGTTACATGAATCCAAACAAGGGTTCAAGATCACAGGATTATATATCAAATAACCAATTTTACTGAATATCAATTTTAAAAGTCAAATAAATTATTAAACACTATTAAACATATACAATGTTTAAAGTCAAGCAAAAAGTCCTAAACTAAAAGTAAAATAATGATTGTTTAGAAGTACACCAGGATGGTATGGGTCATCTGCAATATAACGTCCTGTTTGGGATAAGGAAGCGTGACTACATCTACAGGGTGACGTGAGAAGGGCCCAGAGCAGCGAGCAGGTCTTGCCATCAGGGAGGGGAACCATCTGAAGGGGTGGCGTGAAAAAGTCTTTAGAGGAAGGCAAAAAATGGGAAAAGGTCAGAGAACCTTTTTGGGAGGTAAAAGGACCAGCTTTGGATTAGGCGTGATGCACAGGCCCCAGCGCAGGGCGTAGAAACTGCAGCCTGGACAGCCTGGGTGGGAGAAAGTTTGGGATGTTTAGGAAGGAAGGGTGCGGCAGCCAGGGGGAAGAAACGAGACAGGTGGCCGCAGATGGCGCGAGTCAGGCAGCAGGAAAAGGCAGGCTGTTTAAGCAGCCTTTTCCTGCAGTCCAGGCGGAGAGTGCAGAAGGAGCACCCCGAGGGGCAAGCATGGGAGAGCCGGAGCGGGCTCGCGGGCGCGCGGGCGCTGTACGTCCCCTCCTCGGCTCGCGGCCGCGAGCACGCGCTCTCCGTGCCCGGCCCCGGAGGGGCGGGGGCGGGGCACAGGCGCGGCGCGCGCACGTCCGCGCGGGGCGGGGGCGGGGCGCGAACGCGACCGGTGACGTCAGAGGAGGGCGCGCGCCCGGAGGCAGCAGGCGGAGCCGGGAGGCGGGCGTTGTGCGCGGCCGCGGGCGGAAGCGGAGGGGCGCGAGGGGCGGAGCGGAGCGCGGGAGGAGGCGGGGGAGGAGAGCCCACCGGGACCGCGAGCGGCAGCTGGGGAGGGGGCCGCGGAGCCCGAGCGGGAGCAAAACAGCTGATCTGGTTTTCCTTTAAAGCGAGAGAAAATGGAAGTCGGGTAGCGGCGACTGCGGCGCTGCGGGCTGGCGGAGCGGAGCGGCGCGGCGCGGCAGGTAAGACGGCGCTGGCCGCGGTGCTGCCGGCGGGCGGCGGGGCCGGGCCCGCGGACCAGGCAGGTGCGCTCTCCGGGCGCGGGGCCGGCGCCGTCTCCTTCCCGAGCTCCGTGGCGAGGCAGGTGGGCGTTGAGGCCGGGCGACCGCGGGGCCGGGGCGCGGGGACGCGGGGGGCGCGGGCCCCGGCTGGGCTCGCCGGCGCGTCTGCATTGCGGGCTCCGCTCCGGACCCCGCGGGCTCCCGGGCCACCGGCTCCGGCCCGGCGTGGCGCGCCTCTCTCGGGCAGGGCGCGGCGCTACCGCTGGGTCGGGGCTGCTGCCTCCGCTCAGCCCTTTGGCTGTCCGCACTGGAACGTGATGCCAGGCGTGGGGCGACCGACCCCTCGGTCCGTGCGCGCGCGTCGGGGGTCCCGCGGCTCTTGCAGACGGCCGGGCAGGGCCCGGCCCCGAGCCGCGCGCGAGGCCGCTCGCCGGGCACCGGAGCTGTGACTGCGTGGGTCCCCGCGGCCCGGCGCACCGCCGTCCCGCTCGCTCTGCTGGGTCTCGCTGGACAGCAGGCAAACCATTAAGGCAATTTGGCTGTGAACCCAGAGGCCTTCCCTAGTATCTCCTCACTGGAGGGGAAAAAATTGCATCTGCGGTGCTTTAAGTGCTCCTTTAAATTTGGGAGATGTCAGTGATGTCATCATTAACTAAAACTTTCCTTCATTGGACACAACCGCTCAAGTGTACCCTCCTCCCTCCCGGTGAAGCTATTGCAGCCCTTTGAGAATCTCTGTAATAAAATGGATTTGCCTCTGCTCTGTAAACTCAGCTACCTCACACAAGTGCAAATGACTTTTATTTCTGTCTATTGGCTTGAGAATGTATAGATTTAAGAGTAGCTGAAGGGAAACTTGTGAGACCCCGATCAGGGAAACGCTTCATCCACAGCACAAGGATCCAGGGGAAAGTCATGTATGACATGCACATGGTTACCGCCAGGTGATACCTTTGTAAATGGAAGTGGGCTGTAAGAGGAACAATTTTTAAAAATATGATGAGGCAGATAATGTGTCCAGGAAAAGGTTGACAGCGGGGCCTAAATCTTTACAGGTCTTAATTGCTTCAGGAAAATCTGCAGGTGTCCTTCACCATCCTCCTCCTCCTCCTCCAGGGTGTGCCCGGAGAAGCCTGCCCTGGGCGAAGGCGGGGAGGCAGGTTCACTAGGGTCCTCCCAGCAGCCGTGTGTCCCACCAGCTTCAAAGGCCTCTTCAAGACCCAAAGAGGGTTCACGAGAACAGAGGTAGATCTGCACGGCACACTCAGTTCTGGATAAACATTCCCCACTAAATGGGATCAACACTCCATTATTTTATTGTGAGTGTGCCATTAGTACCAATTCTTATGGGAACAAAACTAAGCAAGTTCCCAAGGCAATCTGAGTATCTACTCAAGCCTATCATATCGAAAGGATATCCAATAAGGGACAAAAGTATTGACATTTTTGTATTTAATAATTAATGACACCTCCTAATTGGTTAAAATAAGCATGCCTTAAATTGTTAGTGTGATTTTATTGGATCTGTAAGGAATTTAATACCATATGCCACTCAAAAGTTGGGACCTGGTTAGGAACTTCAATCTCTTGAACCCTGTATTGGTGTGAAAAGAATGGGAAAACAGTGGTTACTTAGGCCTTTAGTGTTCAGGCTGATAATGGGTGGAAATCGCCGCTTTACGAAGTATTGCCACGTGCGGGTCTCACTTGGGCCTGGATCATAGATGGCAGGTTTTCCCTTAGAAAGTAACTCCTGAGGCCCCCAAGCTTGGTGGAGAAGGAGAGGGGACACCTTTCTCTGAGCAAGTGTGTGTAATTCTTGGCCTCTGACCTCCTGATGGTGCCGCATTTATTCCCAATGGTGTGCCTAAGTGAGATGAGAAACTGGCTCCAAGTGAGCTGCTTTTGGATGACACTGCTCCCGCTGTGTGTAGTTGCTGTAGAACTTAACTCTTGAGTTGTGGCAGAGATTCTTCTTTACAACATGTCCTCAATAGTATGAAGATTGGTTTTTCAGGGTCTGCATTGCAAACTCTTTGAAAATGGAGTCTGTGAAATCAATCTGGCCCCGTATCCATCTTTTTGTTTTCACCTGTAGACTCGTGAAAATATTCACCACGTTTATGGTTTAACTCGCTGTAGTACTAGTAAAACTTCAAACGGAAGTGTTTCCACTAAATCTTTAGGTGTGGGTCACTTATTTCCCCAAAACATTTTAAAACAACCGCTTTAAAGCCTCTTCATCCCGCTTGTATGTTTAGAGTGCTTAAATTTGGGAGTTGTCAGTGATTTCCCAAAAGAGATCACTGTCACATCTTCCGTTTCTAAGAAGTAAAAATTGCCCTGATTTTCTTTCTGTTCCCTTTGGGATATTAAGGTCATTTATTCATGCCTTAGGCCCACGGAAGAAAGGTTGAATTAGCTCTTGTGGGCCAGCAGGGGGCGTGCTAAACGCGGCTTGGCGGGCCTGTGTCAGAGCCACCTTGGGAGTGGATCTCCAAGTTGAGGTGGGTGCATGTGTGTGCGCCGGTGTGCTCCGCCCCCGCCCCCCGCCCCTCCCCCTCCGCTCCCGCATGCCTGTCTTCCAAGAGATGGAAACTTAAGGAAGGGTTGGGGGCACATACTTGAATGACCAGAGGTTGTGGAGTCTGGAATGTAGGCCTCCCTAGCAGAGATTGCTTCAGTGGCTCCATGTCTTTGGAAGGTGGCTCTTAGCACACTTTGAGTCTCAGGATTGAGTGCCTTCTCAGACTGCGGAAGTGAGTGTTAGTTTGGAGAGGAGAAAGTTGACTTCAGTGAACTACAGGCTGGTGTCCTGGTCATGGCGTGAATGTGCCAGCCAGGGCAACCCCGTGGAAATCCTCTCCTGCACACCCTTGATGTTTGCTCCTGGCTTTGACTCCCGATTGACTTAGGCCCTGGGACCCTGTGTGGTAGTACTTCCCAGAGGGGCCTATTTGACCCCTTGCACTGAATTATAGGTGGCGGATGTCCACTTAGGAAGTAATTCCTGTGGCCCCCAAGCCTGGTGGAGGAGGGAAGGGGCACTTTGCTCTGAGCAAGCTGTGTGCAAGTCATGGCCTCTGACCTTCTGATGGTGCCACATTTATTTCCATGACGTGCCTAAATGAGATGGGAAGGGCTCTTGGCCTCAAAATTTCTCTGATGAAAAACGTTTCGTTACTGTGCTTTTATTTTTCCCTATAAAATGAAAACAAGAAAAAGCAACTGTGCTTTTTCACTTAAAATGTGCTTTATCTGATTTTAAGTGTGTGCCAGGTTATTCAACCACATGTTCCCTGGGAGACTTTTCCTCGCAGGGACTGAACTCAGAGAGGCCAGCTTGTGCTCCAGGGCTATTTTGGTGAGTTGGGATGGGTGTTTCCCATGCTTAGATGGTCATTGCAGCATCTGGGTGTGTTACTGAAGACCAAAGACTCCTCTCTCCTACTGAGGTTCCTCATGGAGGCCCCATGCGAAAGGGAACATCACACTTTAAAAGGAAAGAAGTTTCACAGATGCCCTACTAGAGAACTAGCCCAGTGCTATGACTGGGCATTTCTTTATGCTTCTCATTCCATTTAAATTGTGTGGAAAACTGAACTACTGATTTCAAGGGGGCAAATGGGAATAACATGTTTTTCAGCTTTAGTGAATCAGGCTCTTCACCTTGATTGAACACTGTAAATGGTTAAAGGGGAAGCGCCACTACATGTAAAATAGGTGATGCCAAATCCCTTTAGAAGCTGTTCATCCTTGAGGACAAAATGGGAATAAGATATGCTGGTTCTTTTTTGTAACGTATTTAATGTGAAAATATTTTACCCTTGAACCTTGGAAAAAGAATTTTATTTGCCTATTGGTAGACTGCCATGTCTCCCAAAAAGTTTGTGTGTGAGACCAAGAATAAGATGGCCTTAACACAGATGCCACAAGGGGGGAACCGCCTTCATCACACTTTTGGAATGGTGTTCTTCATCATTCATAGTAACAGACGGGAGAAGTGGGTTAAAAATAAGTCTTTAAAAAGCTGAAATGGAGAGAAGGGCCGGACGCTGCCTTATTACTTGCCTGTGTTGTGGAGGCGTGTTTAGCTGGCTGGTTTGCACACAGCATTTCTGGACCAGGAAGTGGGGGAGTATAGACTAGGACTGGGAGGGAGTGGGCCATGCAGCAGCTACAGCTGGCCAAGGTCTGGCCTGTCGTGCTCTAGGTTCCTCTTGGCAAAGGGAAAGAGTTAGTCTCCCATGCATCTAAAGCCTTGTTTGGTAAAATTGCATGATTCCACAAAACCCCAGTCCTTGCTATTAGCAATTACTGCTCTACAGCATCTCACATTCTGAGAAGTCAAATACACATTAATGCTAATACAAGTTTTAAATACATCTCTCTTAGTTAAGTAGATAAGTCTAAAGTAAACTCATTTTGTAGGATTGAAGTATTTTGCGTTTCTCCTTCCAAGGAAATATTTTCTATTTGAGCATATTTTATTCTTAATCTCGTTTTCCTTATAAATATAATGGAAATTTGATGTCTGAATGAATACACATGAGTAAGATGCAGTATTGACTTTTATGAAATATAAAATTAGACCTTGGAAATTCATTTCCTTGTCTGTTCAGCGTTTCATTTGTTTTATTAGATTACTGTTAAGTTTCACATGGTGCTGGGGATTGGTGTGAACAGACCATACACCCATCCCTCTGTGAGATTAGATTAAGTTTCTCAGTTACTGAGACAAAGGTTTAGGAGCTCACTCAAGAGGAGGTGGCTGCCTGGAGTGAGAGCAGACGTCTGTCTGTGGTGCAGACAGGTTGAACCTTGCTACCTCTGAGAAGACCCCAGTTTTCATGCCCCCAGGGCTAACACACCCATCTTCAAATAATTTACCCAAATAATTTCTGCGCTCACATTTTAGGAACTTTCTATGAATTAAGTTCTCCGAGTTTTTACAGTAAGCTTAGGGTTAGCCTGTTAGCCTGTCATGTCTTCGTTGCAGAAGAGACCACACAATGCACAGTGTCCTGGGACTCAGCACGTCCTCCTTCCCCAGATCACCTTACATCATCCCTGAAGTCCATGCAATACCCTTTTATCTTGGGGGTCTAAAAACCATACCATGGTTGCAGCCCATTTCCTCACAATTCCTCTAATGATGATTTGAGGTTTCAAGACAACGTGTGTTATTGTAGTGTGGGCAACACATTTGCATGTATAATTTTTCATGCCTTTTACAAAAATTGTTTGACATCCAAGAGGTACATAGTTAACTTTTTCTTTTTAAAATGTATGAATTGGAGTATTTGTTTTGACTGTCTGTTAAATAATATACCATCTCTTGAAAGAATCATCACTGAACAGTAAAAATAAATGAGACATGCTTCCAGCTCACTTGGACTTGATGACCAGTTGTGTGACCTTGGGCACAACCCCAGGGGGGGGCCACAAGGGCAGAATATCTCTTGGGCCATCCTGTAGGCTTTAGGGTGGAGCAGATGAGTGAGTGTATGCCATGGGTTCTTAAGTTCTAGATTGATAAGTTGTTCAATAAAAGGAACTGGAGACAGTATTTGTCTCACTTACCATCAGCCCAGTTTCTATCCTTTGACAGTTGATGTAGTCATAGTTTGCACTTGTAACCAAGGCATTGCTTAGATGAACTTGCTTTGACTTGTGTGTGTGTGTGTGTGTGTGTGTGTGTGTGTAGGAAGAGGAGGTGTGGGTAAAAAGAATGGAGGGGCTTCTGTGGCTTGGGGATTCTTGGAGTTAAAAGTCATTAGCCATGATATAGTTTGGCTGTATCCCCACCCAAATCTCAACTTGAATTGTATCTCCCAGAACTTCCATGTGTTGTGGGAGGGACCCAGAGGGAGTTAACTGAATCATGGGGCTGGTCTTTCTCATGCTATTCTCGTGATAGTGAATAAGTCTCACAAGATCTGATGCATTTATCAGGGGTTTCTGCTTTTGCTCCCTCTTCATTTTTCTCTTGCCACCACCACGTAAAAAGTGCCTTTCGCTCCCTGCCGTAATTCTGAGGTCTCCCCAGCCGTGTGGAACTGTAAGTCCAATTAAACCTCTTTTTGTTCCCAGTTTCGCATATGTCTTTATCAGCAGGGTGAAAACAAACTAATACAGTAAATTGGTACCAGTAGAGTGGGGCATTGCTGAAAAGATACTCGAAAATGTGGAAGTGACTTTGGAACTGGGTAACAGGCAGAGGTTGGAACGGTTTGGAGGGCTCAGAATAAGACAGGAAAATGTGGGAAAGTTTGGAATCTCCTAGAGACTTGTTGAGTGGCTTTGACAAAAATGCTGACAGCAATATGGACAATAAGGTCCAGGCCAAGGTGGTCTCAGATGGAGATGAGGAACTTGTTGGGAACTGGAGCAAAGGTGACTCTTGTTATGTTTTAGCGAAGAGACTGGTGGCATTTTGCCTCTGCCCTAGAGATTTGTGGAACTTTGAACTTAAGAGAGATGATTTAGGGTATCTGGCAGAAGAAACTTCTAAGCAGCAAAACATTCAAAAGATGACTTAGGTGCTGTTAAAAGCATTCCATTTTAAAAGGGAAAGAGAGCATAAAAGTTCAGAAAATTTGCAGCCTGACAATGCAGTAGAAAAGAAAACCCCATTTTTTGAGGAGAAATTCAAGCCAGCTTCAGAAATGTGCATAAGTAGCAAGGATCCTAACGTTAAACACTAAGACCATGGGGAAAATGTCTCCAGGCCACATCAGAGACCTTCATGGCAGCCCCTCTGGAGAACAGGTCTGGAGGCCCAGGAGGAAAAAGTGGTTTCATGGACTGGGCCCAGGGTCCCCGAGCTGTGTGCAGCCTAGGGACTTGGTGCCCTGTGTCTCAGCCATTCCACCCGTGGCCAAAAGGGGCCTACATAGAGCTCAGGCTGTGACTTCAGAGGGTGGAAGCCTCAAACCTTAGCAGCTTCCAGGTGCTGTTGAGCCTGTGGGTACACAGAAGTCAAGAATTAAGGTTTGGGAACCTCCACCTAGATTTCAGAAGATGTATGGAAATGCCTGGATGCCCAGGTAAAAGTTTGCTGCAGGGGTGGGGCCCTCATGGAGAACTTCTGTTATGGCAGTGCAGAAGAGAAATGTGGGGTCAGAGCCCCCACACAAGTCCCTCCTGGGGCACTGCCTAGTGGAGCTATGAGAAGAGGGCCACCATCTTCCAGACCACAGAATGGAGATCCACCAACACTTTGCACCGTGCACCTGGAAAAGCCATAGACACTCAACACCAGCCCCTGAAAGCAGCCAGGAGGGAGGCTGTACCCTGCACAGCCACAGGGGTGAAGCTGCACAAGACCACGGGCATCCATCTCTAGCATCAGCGTGACCTGGATGTGAGACATGGAGTCAAAGGAGATCATTTTGGAGCTTTAAGATTTGACTGCCCTGCTGGATTTTGGACTTGCCTGGGCCTTGTAACCCCTTTATTTTGGCCAATTTCTCCCATTTGGAATGGCTGTATTACCAAATACCTGTACCCCCATTGTATCTAGAAAGTAAGTAGCTCGCTTTTGATTTTACAGGCTCATAGGCAGAAGGGAATTGCCTTGTCTCAGATGAGACTTTGGACTGTGGACTTTTAAGTTAATTCTGAAATGAGTTAAGACTTTCAGGGACTGTTGGGAAGGCACAATTGGTTTTGAAATGTGAAGACATGAAATTTGGAGGGGCCAGGGGCGTAATGATATGGTTTGGCTGTGTCCTCACCCAAATCTCAACTTGAATTGTGTCTCCCAGAATTTCCACATGTTATGGGAGGGACTCAGGGGGAGGTTATTGAATCACAGGGGATGGTCTTTCCTGTTCTATTCTCGTGATAATAAGTAAGTCTCACAAGATCTGATGGGTTTATCAGGGGTTTCCGCTTTTGCTTCTTCCTTATTTTTCTCTTGCCACTGCCATGTAAGAAGTGCCTTTCACCTCCCGCCATGATTCTGAGGCCTCACCAGCCATGTGGAACTGTAAGTCCAATTAAACCTCCTTTTGTTCCCAGTTTCGGGTATGTCTTTATCAGTGGTGTGAAAATGAACTAATACAAGCAAGCTCTGTTAAGCCATGCTAAGTGAAGTTCCTCTCACTCAGAGTAGATAGTGAACTCCCCAGGAAGCCGGTTATGTCTCCTGTATCTCAGGTGCTGCTGTGCATAAGAATAACAGGCATACAAGGGCTCATTGGGCAGGATCATTACAGAACGTACTTCCTTATCCTTGGGGATGATGAAAGATTAGTCCTTTACATGAAAAACTAGGGGGTGGGAGAGAGGAAAAGAATAGCATTCCAAAGGTAGAGTCCTGGGAGTAGATTTCAGGGAGGAGAGTGGGCAGTGACTGTGACCTGAGGTACTACCAGAGAGGGTGGTCTTGGCATTTTCCCCTGGGGGAGGCATGACACCAGGCTAGGGTCTGCACTGTCACCCCCACCCTAAGTATATTCCCTTGCAGAGCCTAGAGCTGCTCCCAGAGCATGTCCTTGGCTCTGAGACCACTGGCCATCTCTTGCCATTGGTGTTGACTGCCATGGTGAAGGACACAGGGGTGTCTGTGCCATCTGTGGGATGACATGGTCCCCCCAAGGAAGGATGTGGGTCCTTTGCAAGTACAGCATTAGATTATTAGATTGAGTGAAAACTCTCTGGTTGTCTGTTTAACTTGGCATTGTGGGTCTGCAGCTATTGGGTAGGCACATTGAAAGGCTGTACTTAATCCCTTGGAAATATGTCCTAGAATTGCCAGGATGGGTTGCAGTTCATCCCCAAATCTCTTGATTATTCTGTCTCTACCTTGTTGAGGTATTGAATGTGAACTCAGCTCTTGGGTCCACGTGGTTTTAAGTGCCCACTGACTCTGGGTTCTCAGACACGGCATGCAACCAGTTGGGACATCCCTCCAGGGTCCTCTGCCTGTTCTGGAAGAGGTAGACAAGGTTTCTTCTACCAAAGCTGACTTATCCCATTTACAATCTGGCAAGCAGTATGTTCAGAAATGCATCATCAGAAAAGGTGCTTCAGGGGCCTAGAAAAGGAGTGGATACAGGTGAGCCAGCCCACTGCTTAGCATGTATGGTTTATTAGAAGATCGGTGTGTGGTTGCATTCACATTAGACTCTTTCCATGCCCGTTGACTAGTGACTAGAGAACCTGGTCCAGGCTGGGGAAAGAAAGTGCCCCCAGCCTAGAGGAGGCCTCATTCTGGCTTGGGTCCCCACTCTGGGGATATTCTCTAGGTCTTAACTGAACATGTGAAATGAAGAACCGCAGCTGCCTACTCTGATACCCCTTTCAACTCCATGATTCTGTACAAAATTAGTTCCCTAGTTCTCCCAAAGTGCTGAGTGATCAAGGGGAAGGGAAGCCCTGCTCAATGCTGTGAGAGAACAGGTAGGAAAAATTAGGTGTCTTTTAAAAATATTTATCTCTGGCTGGGTGTGGTGGCTCATGCCTGTAATCCCAGCACTTTGGGAGGCTGAGGCAGGCAGATCACGAGGTCAGGAGATCGAGACCATCCTGCCTAACATGGTGAAACCCCGTCTCTACTAAAAATACAAAAAAAAAAAAAAAAAAATTAGCTGGGCATGGTGGCGGGCGCCTGTAGTCCCAGCTACTTGGAAGGCTGAGGCAAGAGAATGGCGTGAACCCAGGAGGCGTAGCTTGCAATGAGCCGAGATTGCACCACTGCACTCCAGCCTGGGCAACAGAGCGAAACTCCGTCCCAAAAAATATATATATATACATACATATATATATATATATATATATATGCACACATACATCTATATATACACACATACATACATATATATATATATATATATATATATATATATATATATATATATATATATATATGTATATTTATCTCCACTTCTGGGGTCGAGGAGAATACTGAGCATTTGAACAAGTATTTATAATTAGAAATGAGTTGTGTGGACATCGTTCCTCCCTTTGACTCTTAAGCCCTTGAGGAGAAGCTCATGCATTATTTTTTATTACATCTCTGAGGCACCTTGTTCAGAACAGTCTCTCCATTCATGTTTGTTAAATGCATTTAATAGCTCTATGGGAATTAAAATTAGAAATTTAATCATTTTTTCTCGAATTGCTTAGCTCCCATGAGTTCAAAAGCATCGCAGTTGAGAAAGTTGCTTATATAAAATTTGAAACATTTCATACTTAAGCTTGCAGTTCAGTGGCATGCAAAATTGTGTTTACTTGGGTTGCAAATAAACAAAAACCAGATAATTTACTGATTAGTTGTAATGGGACTTGCTTGTCATACAGCAGAGTGTGAGTTCAAAGAAGAATTATAGTTTCAGATTTTCCATTCCATAGATTTTTAAGAATGAAATAAATTAGTTGTACTACCTTGAAAATGTTAGTGATAGAAAAGAGAAAATGGAAGGTCACATGGATATGTCATATTTGAAACAATCCTTAAGGAAAAAAGAAAATTCATAATGGAAGAAAAGACATGTGATCGATTAAGATAATTGATTACAATACCTTCCTATGTTAAAAAATGGTGGCAAATCCTAAACCTCAAAATCTCTTAATATCTCCCCAGAAAGGAAGATACCACTGCCAGGCCTGTGTCACTGCTGGGTACGTGCTCAGAGTTGCGGCTGTCCTGGCTCTCTGAAGGGCCCGGGCCAGAGGTCCTCCACTTCCTATTGAAACGATAGGGGTACTTTAAAAATCTTAATGTCTGGGCACTTCCTCTAGAGGTTCTGATATCAGCAACCAAGCCGCAACCTTGGAACCCATTGGGACTTTTATAAAAGCCCCTATTGATTCTGGGTTTGAGAACCACTAGCTTCAAGGAAGTTCTTGTAACTTTATAAATGCAGGGAGACAGGTCCAGGAGAAACAGGGAGGACCATGAGTTCCTCTTCTCTTCTTATATATTATCCCACAAGGGGGAAAGAAAGTTGGTCTCCTTAAAGCAGAAAATTGAAAGACATCTGCAAGGTGAACTGGTAGAACCTTTACTATTTGATCAAATGATAATTTTATATCACTTAACTGAATATATAGCTGGCTTACAAATGTTTATGTTCATGAGATCTGTTGTATAATGTGGTGGCTAAATTAATAACAATGTATTATAGACTTGACAATTGCTAAAAGTAGAGTTGAAGTGTTTTTACCATAAAAAGTAATAAGCATGTGAGGTAAGGCATACATTGATTAGCTCTATTTAGCCCTTCCATGTACAACATGATGTGTTGTACACCAAAATATAAACAACAAAAACATACAGTTTTGTCAAGTTAAAAAATAAAATAACAACAAAAAAATACAATTTTGTTAGTAAAACAAACAATAGTAAGATGTACAGCCATGCAGAAGGAAATCAAACTGTTTGCCAGGTTTGTTAACTTGCATACAGCATATCATCATGTCTTTGCAGTTTTATAGTGCTTTGCAGTTTGCAAAATACTTTTGTGTAGATTATCTAATTTGATCTTCCCAATAACTCTGTTGTCAGGAGGGAAGTTGTTCCCATTCTACAGTTGAGGAGACTGAGGATGGCAGTTTGTGGTTTTCCACGGTGGTGAGAGTGACTGGCACACTTGGGATGCCCTGTCTTCAGGCCCCATGTGACTGCCCCTCACCTGGTGATAGTTGGTCTGGTGGGCTCCACCACTGCCTCCCTGACATTTTAGTGACGTCTGTGAGAGGCTGAAATGAAGACTGTGAGGCTGACTCTGCCGAGGCTAACACAGCGGCTAGCCCAGTGAATGGTGGGGCTGGCCGGGTTGGTGGTGTGCAGTGGGATGGGGATGTGAGGCAAGACGGGGAACCTGGCCGTTGTTCTTGTTATGTTTGCCTCATTCTCCTGTGTCTCTAGGCTTGCTGTCTTCTGTGGCAGCAGCATCTGTATAGCATTGTACATCCGTGAGAGCAAACACCTGCTTTCCCTCCTTAATAGTGTTTTCCTTGGACGAGTCTTTGTGCCCTTAACTATTCCTGCTGCCCTGTTCTGCAAGGTGGGTCCCATCCCCCTGCACTTGGGCATTTGGCAGATGTACATGGCTGAGCTGCTGCCTCTTCCTCTGGCCCCAATTTTCTCTGTCTGGAATTTCCCCTTTGTAGAGGGATCTTTGAACGAAGCCTTCCATGCTAGCCACACTGCACAGCAAGAGGCATTGGACCTCAGGGCTCAGGCATTCAGGCCTCCCAGAACATCTTGACTATGACTACTCTGGTCAGTGGCTGTGGTCTGCCTCAGTCTCCTTGCCACCCTTGCCCTCTGGCTACCTGCCACACCTGTCTTATAGGCTCTCTCCCTGCTCCAAGAGGTCCTCAGCGGGCTGCTCGGGCCTTTTGACCTCACCTTTCTGCCCCTGAACAATACTCCTTATCACCTGCCCCCTTGTTATTTTATCTTGGCAGGAGAATAAGTTCTGCCCTTTCCGGGAAGACAACAGTGCCACGACACAGTGATATACATACTTTTGTCCCCAAGGTGTTGAGTGGGAAACCATGCGTTCTTCGTAAAGTACTACTGGTTTTAAGTAATTAACCTTCCCTTGTTGATTTTCTTTTTCCCTTTCAATGTTCTTTCTCTTGGAAAAGTTGCCCAAGAAGGAACTGAACTACTGCACACATTATAATAGAGAGGGCTTGTGGTTCAGTGCTGCAGTCTCAGCAGAAAAGCCCTTTTTCAGAATTGAAAGTCCAAAGTAGACATTACTAAGAAAAAGTGAGCAATCAAGTGGTAATACCCTTCATGGTCCAGGAGATGCCCAGGATAGCAGAGCAAGGGAAAGCCAAGTGTTGAAGGACGTGGGGGGCAGTCTGGAGTCACATGTCATCCCCGCCCTGGAGCATGTGCTGTTTATGTCACAATTTTCCTAACATCGAGGGGCCCGGCTCAGGCTGCGCTGACTGCCCTGTGGCTTGCATTTACTCTATCTGTACACTCCTCCTGGGTCCCAGGCTTCTCCCAGGACAGCTTGCCATCCCTATGTGATTTCCTTTCCCGAGTGTGTAAGGGGGAGGGCGTGAGAACCCAAGTGCCAGCAGAGGGGACTACGAGTGCCCAGGCCAGGCCTGGGTGAGAGTGAGATACTCCCAGCCCCTGCCCCCACACTGGGTTTGCTTTCCATTTGTGCTGCCTCCTGCTGGGAGGCCCGGCTCCTGGCTAAGGCAGTTCAGCTACCAGCTCCAGTGTCCCTGTATGTGACATCTGCCTTACAGGTGACAGCAGGCCCTAGGTGCTACCGTGGGCTCTCGTTGGCTATTTTCCTAGCCCCTCTTCCTTCAGGACAGAGCACAGACTGTCCAGGTGCATTCATTTTTTCTTCAGGGCTGGGGCAAGTTTGGGCCAGGAGCTGGGTCTAAAATCAGCCTGGGAGCTGAGGCGTCTCAAGGAAGTGTCTCACTTCTTTAAGCCTCTATTTCCATGTTGTGGAATGAGGGTAAGACTAGGTACCTTTCAGGATTGTTCTTGTAGGATTATTTTTGTGAGGACAACAGAGGGATGGTTGGCGTTTGCCGGCCGTCAACTATTAGAGAAAGGTCACCTGGAAAAAGAGAGGGGCTCAGTGGGCAGGGGCTGGCCCAGTGACAGCGCTCTGTCCAACAAGCCCCTTCTCCACCAACTTCTGTGATGCTCCCGGCTGCGAAAGAGCTCAGAGCCAGAAATGACAATCTGGACCCGTTGGGCAGACGTCAGAATTTCCTTGTGTTCTTTCCTTTTTAGGGAGCATACCAAAGGATTGTTCAAACCTTTGTCCGCTGTGCGTCATCACTTTAATTTTTACATAGATTGTAGATGAGTTTAATTAACGTGTGGCGAGGAGGGGTTGAGAAGAAGCCGGTCCTGAGTGAGCTTCACTTTGCTTGTGGTGTTTTGAGTGTAACCATCTGTTTGGGGGAAACTTTGTGAAACATGTTCCATGAAAAACAGTGACATCTACAAAGATAAAACTAATACAGAGCTTCTCAAACCCCACACTCTCAGCATTTTGCTCCTCTCTGTGCATACAGCAAGGCAGTGGGAGTACATTGTTCTGTAAAAATCGAGTCATACTAGTTTTTACTCTTTCCTTTGCTTATTTATTTTTCATGAAAAAAAATCTAATATTTGCACAGGTTAAAAGAATAAGTTCAGCAAAACAGTAAAATGGGAGTCATTTTCTTCCCTCAATCCCCATGCCTTTCCCAGGAGGCATTACTACTAATTGCTCCTTGTGCATCTTTCTAGAAATGGTCTGTGGATATCCAAGACTATTAAACACATAGGAACATACATAGAATACTTGTTGGAGATTATTACATTTTTAGTCTACAATACATGCTATTTTAACTAAAAAAGTACTCAGTTAAATTATATTTTTATTTAGTGATTAAAGACTTGCTGAATTTAAGTTACATGTCTTATTTCTTAGAGCATAAAAGTTTCTAAAAGTTCCCTTTCTTGGTTTGGGTAGACCAGCCTGGAGTTACCATTGACGTGGCAGCCCCTCCCAGGCATGGCTCCTATAGCAGAGCCAACTGATGTGCAGGAAGTAATGTCCCCCGGCCACTCAATTTATAGTCCTGTGGGTTAGCTGAGTGCCCAGGAACAAGAGATGGATTTGGGGAGCAACTATAGCCTCCATTCAATCCCTGTAAAATTAGGGGAAACCTATGAAATACCTGTTTGCTTGTTGCTGTTTATTAATGTTGCATTTGCTGTTTGCAAACTACTGTGTATTTAGGGTTGGCATCTGCTCACTCAGGGGTTGAAAGGTTACTAAATTTGCATATTAGTGCTTCCTTTTCCTCCCACCCATTTCCCTATTTTGTTACTCACCCTATAACTTTTTACATTGTCAAGGAACATAACATGGGTCATCTCTTAGATAACTTGTTTCCACAGTTACTTATTCTTAGTGCTCTGTTTAAATAGATTCCAGGATCACACAGTATCAGTCTTTTTATCAGTAGTTCCAATGGATACATTCTTGAGGATTTTTTTTTCGATTTGTTTTTCGGTTGTCTGGAGTTCATTGTATAGTTTGTTTAATCCCTGGCTCTGTTTTCCTCCTTTCTTGTTCTCTTCTCACATGGCTCATGGCACACTCAAACTTGAAGAATTCTTGCAAGCTTGAAAATAACTCTTGCCTGATTATAAAGGTCTTGAGTTGCATAATTTCCTTTAAAACTATATAGAGATATTTCTCCTGTCTTTTAGCACAGAGTTATGAGAAATTTGAAGTCAGCCTGTTTTGCCTAGATGTTCATGTGATTCTTTTAATTCGGTTAATTTACTTGAATGTTTCTGGATGCTGGTATTGCTGTATCACTTTCTTTTAAACTAAGTAAAGTAAAACCCTTGTAATTGACAGAGATAAGTCAGTTTATTTCAGAAGTTTTCTTGTATTATATCTATGACCTTTTTTCTGTTAACAATTCAAGAATGTTAATTATATGCACATTGTTTCTTTTGTCTTATATTTGTCATCTCTTTGATAAAGTTGATATTTCATATTCTTCTCCATTTCATTTGCTTATCTCTGGGGTTGATTGCCTTTATTCTATTATTTAGTTGCATCTAATATGGTTTTCATCCCTATTCCATTTATTTTAATTTTTATTTCTTCATTTCTTTTCCATGCTCTGATTCTCTTTCTGTTGGTTTATGATCTCTTCTTTGTTGTTGTTGTTTTTTTTTTTCCTTTTTAGGAAAGTGTGGTAGGCAGGAAGACAACCCCTCAAAGATGTCAGTATCCTAATCCCCCAAACCTGTGAATATGTTACCATGCATGGCAGGAAATTGGAACTGAAAAATGAAATGAAGTTGAGCATGGAATTAAGGTTGCTAGTCAGCTGACTTTAAAATAGGGAGACTATTCCTGGATTGTCTGCATAGGCACAATATAATCAGTAGGGTCTTTCTTAAAAGTGGAAGGAGGGAGGCAGAAAGATGAGAACCAGAGTGATGGCAGCTTCAGGACTTTGCCTGACATCATTGGAGGTGGGGGACCAAGAGCTGAAGCATATGGGGGTTTCAGAAGCTGTAAAAGAAGAGGGAAACGTTTCTCTTTATGGTGGGCAGAATAATGACCCCCCAGAGATGTTCCTGTCCTAATTCTCAGAACCTCTGCATATGTCATCTTATGTGGCAAGAGGGAGTTTTCAGGTGTGATTAAGTGAAGGTCTTTGAGACAGGGAGATGATCCTGGACGACCCAGGTGGGCCCCAGGTCATCACAAGGGAAGCATAGGAGTTGTGGCAGTGAGAGCAGAGGTCAGAGTGATGTGTTTCCTGGAAGGGGTCCATAAGCCAAAGAATGAGGGCAGCCTCTAAAAAGCATAAAAGACAAGGAGCAGATCCTCCCTGGAGCATCCAGAAGGAATGCAGCCCTGCCAACAGCTAGATTTTAACCCGATTTTAGATTTCCGACTTTCAAAACTATAAGAAAATAAATTTATATTGCTTGAAACCACTCAGTTTGTGGTAATTTGTTACAGTAGTAATAAAAAACTAATAGAAAAAATGGGAAATATTTTTATAAAGTCACTTTATCTGTTTCTTTATGGGTATTTTCTCAGGCATCTGCATTTGCTCTTCTCCTTCCCTACCCTCTCTTCTGTGCCTGATTCCCATGCTGGTTGCTTTGTGATTTTAGTCACTTTTGAATGGGGTCAGGTCTTTGTTGAAGAAGAAGGATGAGGGTGAAGCCAGGGCGGGATGCACACTGGATTCAAGTTTGTGGTCTGAAATACATTTATTCCACATGAATTCCCTTTGTCTAAGGCAGGCTGTGTTCCCTAGATTTCAGGGTTTAAGTTGGGTGTTGTTCATAGCAGACCTCTTGTGTTTCTGTCATACATTTGCTGCCTTTCTCTCTGTACAAGGCCGAGTCCACAGGCTGAGGCCTGCTCAGTGGCCATGCTTCTGTATCCACACAGCCCTTTCATGACCAACCACATTGGGGCTAGGCCATTTCTCCTGGCGGGGCCCATGTGCCTCCCCAGGTTCAGGAGGTGGGTGCTGGCTCTCTGTGTCTGTTCCTGATTGCATTGGTTCTGGTACACTCAGTAGTTTGTGGCTTGTGGTTGTGTCTGTCTCCTTGATTTGTTGGGGGTGGAATATATTTCTCTTTCTAGTTTTCTCTCTCCCTTTCCTTTTTCATTGTTTCTGGGGCTTTCAAAGAAAGTGTGGAGGAGTAGATTGTTTGCTCGAAGCTGAGAAGCTGCTGTCTGCTGGATGATTGTGTGGATGCTGAGGGGTTTTGCTTGTAATCTTTGGGGACTTCTTGTGCTTTGAGAAATAGGTCACTGTTTTGCACGGATGCTGAGCATTGTGTAGTAACTTTAGGGCTCCTTTTCCAAGAAGAGTTTTTGTTTGACTCCAGAACAATTCTTCACAAAGGCTCTTTTATTAGATTAGACAAGCTATTGTATTAGAGATTTGGCATCCCAGCGAGGGCCACCCAGGCCCTTCCTTGCAGAGCAGCCTGGGGGGAAGGGAGGTGGCAGGTACCACCCTGGACGTCTGTCCCCACTCTTCCCCACCTCCTCAGCCTGTCCCTGTATACTGCCTGGTCCTGGTGGCCTTGGAGTGACCACCTGTCTTTTGGAAGTCTGTGACCTTTTGGGTATTCATCAGTATAACCTTGAATGAATTCTTACTGCTTTAGTAATTTAATTAAATCATTAATGTAATGAATATTAAATTAGCGCTGTAATTTCTAAGTGATAAGAGTAGCAATCATTGCCAAGTGCTTTGCCTATATTATCTAGTTTAGATTTCACAGCTACCCTGCCAGGCAGGTATCAGTGTTCAAGCCCACTTCACAGATGAGCCCATTGAGGAGCACAGAATTGGCCAGTTGGCCACTCACATGGCACAAGCTGTCTTCGTAAATGTCTGACTTGGTCCTTTGTATGGAGGAGGCATGTAGGTACTTTATCAGATCAAGTTGAAGGTTATGAACTTTGTGTATTATAAGCTATTTGTAGTTACAAATCTGTGAACCCAAACTGTATTTTGGAATAGTTTATTGCAATAATTTGAGATTTGTTTGTTTTAAATTCTCAGTTTAAAATAGTTATATGTTAACAACCCTTAGTTTTTTAGTTTCTCCATCTGCAAAACTTAGTTTCAAAGGCCATGGCGACTTAAAAGTGAGAAATCCTAAATTCCAAGGAACAAGAGTTGATGAAGATTTCCCCTCAGCCTGGCCTACTGTGGAATGTCCTGTGGGCACTTCCTTCAGTCTGTTGCCCCTGGGGCTCCTGCCAGCAAGTGGTGTGAAAGGGAGAGGGCACCCACACTTACTGTCTTCAATTGCTGGCAAAAAGTCTACCTTGCGTTAAAAGGCAGTCAGGGCTGGGCGCAGTGGCTCATGCCTGTAATCCCAGCACTTTGGGAGGCCAAGGAGGGCGGATCATGAGGTCAGGAGTTCAAGACCAGCCTGACCAACATGGTGAAACCCCGTCTCTACTAAAATTACAAAAATTAGCTGGGCATGGTGGTGCGCGCCTGTAATCTCAGCTACTAGGGAGGCTGAGGCAGGAGAATCTCTTGAACCTAGGAGGCGGAGGTTGCAGTGAGCTGAGATTGTGCCACTGCATTCCAGTCTGGGCGACAGAGCGACACCCTGTCTCAAAACAAAACAAAACAAAACAAAACAAACAACACAAAATGGCAATCAGTTGAAGTATCTAAATACTTTTCTTTCTCTGCCTGCCTCCAAGTTTGTAGAGTTCACATGGGATTGTCAATCATGGGGATGTGTAACTGGTGAACTCTGGCTTTAGAGAAGCCAGAAGGGCCAAGCCCTAGCATCCCTGTAAACAGGAGGTCAGCAGGACCCAAAGGATTAGTTCAAATGATCACCTCCATCCAACTCCATCATGGTATTATTGCAAATGTGGAGAAAAGACAAAATAAACTGGTGTTTGGAAAACACTACATCCTGGGGTCACCTGTACAACCAGAATGTGTGATATCTTGGAAAATTAGCCGTCTTGATCTTTTTGGGTTACTTGAGAAGATTAGAGAATGAACCATCAGTTTCTCTGGCCTTTCCTAAGTAGAGAATCCATGTATGACATTGATTCTATGACATTACTAGCCACTAACTCTTCATAGGTTGCCTGCTACCTCTTCTCTCTTTTCTTTCCATCTCCAATTAGTCATTTATTGATCCTTTTCATTACATCTTCTAATTTCTTAGCCATTCTCTCACATTACCTGTTCTTCCAGCTCTCTTTGGTACATTCTGGATAATTCCCTCAATGCATCCTTCCACTTCATGAATCTACCTTCTACCTAATCCATGTCAAATCCACTTTAAAAACCAGCCTCTTGGTCTTTGATTTTGTGATTATAGTACTCATTTACACACATTCTCTTCATTTCTCATCACCCTGGTCTTTTTAATATTGCCATACTGTTTACTTAGTGTTTTAATCATGTTTAAAAATGCTTGAATCAACCTTTAAAGCATTATTTTGGTCTCCAAGTAATCATTTATTACCTGAGCTTGGTGGTAGTGGTGTTGGTGGGGTGGGAGCTGTTGTCTGGTTCTGCTGTTTCTGTGTCTGTTGGCTCTTATTCTTGGGGAATTACTGCTGCTTTTGTTTTGTCACTGGATTGCAGCCTCATTTTTGGCTTGGCTTCAGGATGTGCCTGGCCAATGAGGTTGTATTTGCTTCTGTCAGGCCTCCAAGAGTACCATGGGCCGCTTTGCATGTTAACTCCTTGGGTTGTTGGTTTTGGAGCCTTAAGTGGCTCTCTGAGGTGAGAACCTTCTGAAGCTGTGCCCTTTATTGGTGCATTGTCCTGCCTGCAGCAAGGTTGTAAAAGTGCTTTGTATGCATCAGGGTTGTGGTGGGTGTGAGCAGAAGGATGGGGCCAGCCACAAACCAGAGAGCCTGCAGGCCTATTTCTTTTTCTTTCTTTATTATTATTATTATTATTATTATACTTTAAGTTTGAGGGTACATGTGCACAACGTGCAGGTTTGTTACATATGTATATGTGTGCCATGTTGGTGTGCTGCACCCATTAACTCATCATTTACATTAGATATTTCTCCTAATGCTATCCCTCCCCACTCCCCCCACCCCACAACAGGCCCCAGTGTGTGGTGTTCCCCACCCTGTGTCCAAGTGTTCTTATTGTTCAATTCCCACCTATGAGTGAGAATGTGCAGTGTTTGGTTTTCTGTCCTTGCAATAGTTTGCTCAGAATGATGGTTTCCAGCTTCATCTGTGTCCCTACAAAGAACATGAACTCATCCTTTTTTATGGCTGCATAGTATTCCATGATGTATATGTGCCACATTTTCTTAATCCAATCTATCATTGATGGACATTTGGGTTAGTTCCAAGTCTTCGCTATTGTGATTAGTGCTGCAGTAAACATACATGTGCATGTGTCTTTATGTAGCATGATTTATAATCCTTTGGGTTTATACGCAGTAATGGGATCGCTGGGTTGAATGGTATTTCTAGTTCTAGATCCTTGAGGAATTGCCACACTGTCTTCCACAATGGTTGAACTAGTTTACACTCCCACTAACAGTGTAAAAGTGTCTAAAAGTGTTCGTATTTCTCCACATCCTTTCCAGGACCTGTTGTTTCCTGACTTTTTAATGATCACCATTCTAACTGGTGTGAGATGGTATCTCATTGTGGTTTTGATTTGCATTTCTGTGATGGCCAGTGATGATGAGCATTTTTTCATGTGTCTGTTGGCTGCATAAATTTCTTCTTTTGAGAAGTGTCTGTTCATATCCTTTGCCCACTTTTTGATGGGGTCGATTGTTTTCTTGTAAATTTGTTTAAGTTCTTTGTAGCTTCTGAATATTAGCCTTTTATCAGATGGGTAGATTGCAAAAATTTTCTTCCACTCTGTAGGTTGCCTGTTCACTCTGATGGTAGTTTCTTCTGCTGTGCTGAAGCTCATTAGTTTAATTAGACCCCATTTGTCTATTTTGGCTTTTGTTGCCGTTGCTTTTGGTGTTTTAGTCATGAAGTCCTTGCCCATGCCTATGTCCTGAATGGTATTGCCTAGGTTTTCTTCTAGGGTATTTATGGTTTTAGGTCTAACATTTAAGTCTTTAATCCATCTTGAATTAATTATTGTACAAGGTGTAAGGAAGGTATCCAGTTTCAGCTTTCTACATATGGCTAGCCAGTTTTCCCAGCACCATTTATTAAATAGAGAATCCTTTCCCTATTTCTTGTTTTTGTCAGGTTTGTCAAAGATCAGATGGTTGTAGATGTGTGGTATTATTTCTGAGGGCTCTGTTCTGTTCCATTGGTCTATATCTCTGTTTTGGTACCAGTACCATGCTGTTTTGGTTACCGTAGCCTTGTAGTGTAGTTCAAAGTCAGGTAGCAGCCAGAGAGAAAGGTCGGGTTACCCACAAAGGGAAGCCCATCAGACTAACAGTGGATCTCTCAGCAGAAGCTCTACAAGCCAGAAGAGAGTGGGGGCCAATATTCAGCATTCTTAATTTCAACCCAGAATTTCATATCCAGCCAAACTAAGCTTCATAAGTGAAGGAGAAATAAAATCCTTACAGACAAGCAACTGCAGGCCTGTTTCTAACTCTGAAGTTGGAAATAGCTTGGGATGTGGATCCATAAAAGGACAGGGCAGCAACTGGTGCATTTGTATGCCAAGGCCTGAGAGTGCCCAGTGCGTGCTCTCTGACTTTGAGTGCTGAGCTACTGTTGGAGCAATGTGGGCCCCTCCAGGAACTCTCAGCTGGGCAGAGGCAAAGAACTCACCAGCCTTTCACAACTGAGCATACCATATTTTTCAGAACTCTATTTGTTTGCTATCAACGAGATTAAAAAATACAAAGCATTGGATATGGAAGAGCACATGATCTCAAGAGATGACTGCTGAGTCAGACCAGGGGAAGGCAGGGAAAGGCTTTGGGAAGGCCGGAGGGCAAAGAAAGGAGAGAGGCAGCTTAGAGGTTGATGGCTGGGATGTTCTGGAGCCTATTTGTGGACTTCTGACTGAAATTTCTTAAATTCTGCAAGCTCAGTGAGAGAAAACTGTTTTTTTTTAAAAATAAAAAGCACAGTTTTTTAGAGTATTACCTACAACTGGGGAACCATTACTTAAAGTTCAGGGTTTGATGCTTCCCCAGGCAGACTGGTCTGCACGTCCCCCTCATCTCAATCCCACAGCAGTCATGGCTGCCTTACCCCTGTTTTTGCTATTGCCCCTCCCTGCGTGCCCAGCAGGGCCTTCTCTTCAAGACCCTAGCCCCTGCCTCTCGTGTGACACCTTTGGTTTCCCTTCCCAAAGCCTTTCCCTGCCTTTCCTTGCTCAGCACCTGCAGGCAGTGAGGCCGCTCCTGTAAGCCATGAGCCTGCCTCACTGAATGTGTGTTCTTCGAGGGACTCTGCAGTTAGGGACCTCACTCCTGAAGGGCAAGTTGCAGGTTGATATGATCTAGCTCTGTGTCCCCTCCCCAATCTCATGTGGGAACTGTAATCTGCACATGTTGAAGGTGTGGGCTGCTGGGAGGTGACTGGATCATGGGGGTAGACTTCCCTCTTGCTGTTCTCATGATAGTGAGTGGGTTCTCACGAGATCTGATCATTTAAAAATGTGTGGCACTTCCTTCCCCCTTTGCTTTCTCTCCTGCTCCAATGTGGTAAGACGCGCTTGCTTATCCTTGGTCTTTCAGCATGATTGTAAGTTTCCTGAGTCCTCTCAGCCATGCTTCCTGTTAAGCCTGTGGAACTGTGAGTCAATTAAACCTCTTTTCTTCATAAGTTACCCAGTCTCAGGTATTTCTTTATACCAGTGCGTGAATGGACTAAGACACAGGTCCGCATGGCTTTGTGAATCTTATCCATGGTAATAGTGATTTTCATGGTCACGACATTATCAGAGCTCTTCAGATCTCCAAAGCAAGGTCTTCCCTGTGTTGCAAACCCTTATGCCTTCAGTGCCCCCACAGAGCCCTGCAGTAACCAACCCCAGTAGATGTGGGAGTCAGAGGCCATTTTACTGCTTCCCTGGAGTAAAGTATGTATTACCAAGTCACTGTGACCTGGGACCTTTACAAATAGCCTCCTTCTCGTAGTAAAGGAACGAGAAGGAACATCACTAGTCCTTAGTGGAGGAGAGCGGCTGTCTTGCTCTTTGACCATGATCACACCCTTTTTTCATTTCTATCATGTACTCACAACCAACTCAGTATCAGGCATGTGTGCACAGTGGCCTGGCTCTAGGCACTGCCCTCCTGCATGTTGGGAATGGGTGGAATTGTTTCAGAAGCATGCAGCATGTATGAACTGTATTTACACCTGGGACACATATTTATGGAAAGGGTCCACTGCAGCCCCATCACGCCCTCTGTGTGCCCTGACATACTGTGCTAGCCCTTTGCAGGCCCATTCACTCACAAGGATGCCCAGGCTACGGCAGGCCTGCGGGGTGCCCTGCCCTCTTGGCATAGCCTGGGAGAGGAGGAGGACTGTCCTTCCCTGCCCTGCCTAGCAGGGAACAACAAGGCGACCCTTGGCTTTTCATTGTCTCTATCTCTAAATTTAGTCTATCCTAAATCTTGCTGCCCTTGGCATTGTGTCATCTGCTTATTCTTTCAACAGACTTTTTGTCTAAACTCGTGAAAGTAGCAAGTACTCTTTAGAAAAATACCTACTCGTTGGAGAAGACATAAATAATCATATATGCGAAAAAAGTAAATAATCATATATGCTAAAAAATGTTTTATCTGGTTTGGTTTTTCTTGTCACGGACATCATTTCTTGAGCCTTTTCCGTGTTATAAATATTCTTCTTAAACCGAGGTTTCAGTGGCCATGTGACACTGTGTTGAATGTGCGGTGGTTGTTGAACTGGATATTGATGGGGGCTCACCGGGGGCTGGGCACCATGGCTTTGCTGCGGAGGTGCTCCAGGTTGAGTAGATGAATCTTGCCAGTGCAGCCTGGCAGGTCATTGGAGACGAGTGAGCCATACCAGTTCCTGCCCGTTCTTATTCCATTGTCAGAGTTCTCCCCTTTTTCCTGTTCTTTAGGGTTCTCAGTGGGCTCCCTTCACAATTTTACTCTGATATCTGCAATATGTGCTCCTTCCAGCTTTCTTAACTTAGTCCTTGGCAACATACCCAAAGAGTTTATATGTAATCCCATACCCTTCCTCCACAAACCTCTACCCAAAAAAGAAAAAGACAGTTTGGGCCACAGGCTCTAGACTGGCCAGTGGGCCAACTTACCCATCTGGTGGAAAGCGCTCAGGAAAGAGTCATGTTGATCATATCTGAAAGTGGGATTCCTTGGGGATCTGAATTGGGAAATATGGAAGAAATCAGACAACTGGAAATAAGAGCAGAGTCCCAGAAGACAGGAGGTAGAGAGAGTCTGAAGGACAAAGGTGAGCAGAGCAGGGCTGTGGAGTTGCAGGGGCTTGAAGCCCGAGAGCCTGTCCAGCAGAGGGGCAGAGCCAGCCAAGGGCAGGGGAGGAGCAGGTGGAGGCAGCCCCTGGAACAGCTGAGTCCCTGGCATCCCACACTGTGGGGCCGCCATCCTGAGAGATCCTCCTTATCAGACCCCAGGCCTGTGGGCTCTCTTGTGCATGGTGTCCCGTAGAGTCCCCAGACCTCCTCCTGCATGGGGGAGCCACCAACCCCCAACGGGTCTGTGGATTGTCTGTGGTTGCACTCCAAGCGCTTTGTGCTCCATGCTCACTCAGGCCCTCCCTGGCAAGTGCTTAGGCCAGGTTAGAATACCACTGGGTCCTGGCACGTCTGCCAGAGTGGGTAGAGGGTACAGGGTGGAAGATGGCATTGCAGAGGTGCTAGGAGGGGCCTAGTATGAAGAGCAGTGGGAGGTCGCAGAGTCCCCAGGCCAGCCCTTCCTGAGGGGGCCTCAACATGCTGGTTGGGGGCTGGGGATCTGTAAAACATGGCCAAGTGCTGAGCATGATTCCCCTGCCCAGAGCCGGATCCTCTGTGGCCCTGGGTGCATCGTGTGGTTGGAGCCGGCATGAGGCCAGCTTCACAGAGGACGAGAGAGATGGTGGGTGCATGTAAATATTGGCTACTCCTGTGGCTTACCCGCGTGGTTTCTGATGTGCACGAGTGTGCACCCTACCTACTTGAAACCTGGGGCAGAATCAGGACAGAAGTAGGGGCCAGAATCTGCACTGAGTGTGGCTCCGCAGCCTTTTCAATTCTCCTCCCCTTGAGATGGAGAGGTACAGGACATGGAACAAGGTGTGTTCAGAGCCATGAGGGAAACAGGTTTATGTCGCCTAGCGCAGGTGAGAGGATGCCCAGTGCCTGGGGAGGAGGGATGGCTGGCATGCTGAAGAATCCTGCTTTTTAATTATTATTTTAAACCAGCTGTAACATGGGAACCAGAAGGGGTTTGAATGGCAAGAAGGCAGCCTATTTCGGGGCTCTCTCAGGAGCCCACCATGGAGGGTGCCTCCTATCGACTGTGAAGGAGAGAAGAGCTCATACAGGAGGCTCTCTGTTTGCTGGGGGTAGCAGGGTCTTCCTTGTATCCCACATGAATTCTTATGGGAGCTCTGCCAGTGGTAGCCATGTCTCCAGCTCACAGATGGGGACACCAAGTCCTGGGAATGGTCCCCGAGGCAGTAAGCAGGGCCCTGAGTGACAGGAAGAAAGGATTTGCACTGTTCCTGGCAGGGCATTGCCTCTCGTGGCCTCCTGTGGGACCCATCCACCTATGTGGCATCAGGTCTTTTCCTTTACGGAAGGTTGGGAGTGTTGGTTTTGCTTTTGTAATTGATGTTTTCTGCTTAGTAAGGTGAACTGTGTAGAGGAACCTCCACCTTTTGAGGGACACGTTACTGGCTATGGAATCAGGAGTTCTGGGAGTTGTATATGAGGAACCAGGAGACACAGGCAGGTATCTTCACAGCAGGCTGTTAGGAGGCCAAGGACAAGAAGGCATCTCCAGTGTCATCAGGAAGGGGTCTCATGGAACCAGTGTGTGATTCTTATTTTATTTTATTTTATGAGACGGAGTCTCACTCTGTCACCCAGGCTGGAGTGCAGTGGTGCAATCTCGGCTTACTGCAACCTCCGCCTCCTGGGTTCAAGTGATTCTCCTGCCTCAGCCTCCTGAGTAGCTGGGATTACAGGCGTGCGCCTGGCTAATTTTTGTATTTTTAGTAGAGACGGGGTTTCACTATGCTGGTCAGGCTGGTCTCGAACCCCTGACCTCATGATCCACCTGCCTCAGCCTCCCAAAGAGCTGGGATTACAGGCATGAGCCACCGCACCCAGCGCAGTGTGCGATTCTTGATTCTCTTTTCTGTCATATCCTGTACTGTGTCAGTGTGGGTGCCTGGGATGCTAGAGGTCAAAAGGCACAGAGAAAAGGTGGAAAGTGTCTTTAAATGATAAGATGATTAAAGTTCACTCTTTCCCCCTGATTTTCAAATATTCCGTCGAAGTGAGTATGTCCTTAGAACTTTGGATGGGCTTTGCAGAGAGAATTAATGAGGTCTGATTGATTGGAAAACTTGAAGGTGTGGCCCTGCTCCCCTGAGGTCATGGCCCTCCTGCCTGGCTGGGTGGTCCTCACAGTGCGAACCGTGTAAACCGTGAACCTCACAATGTAAACCGTGTGGTTTAGCAGGGAGTAAACATGACTCCAGTGTATCGGGGACCATCAAAGAGTGCTTTGGTGCAGGGCTTGGAACCTGCCCACAGGGAACAGACATATGCTCCTGGACATCATATCATTATGTGATGCAGGTGGCCCTGCTAGTCCTTAACCTGTTAAGTTTGAGTTAGGCGTAGCAGAAAAAATGAAACAAAAAACAAAACAGGCCAAAAACAATGACTGTGACACAGCCAGGGTTTGTTTATTGTCACCCAGCTCAGCAGGGGTTCTGCCAAGCAAGGGCTCATCTGTGATGTTGTTACAGATGTTTGCAGAAGCTGTGGACATTGCCTTGCTTCTGTGCCAGGGCCTAGAAGGCTGCTGTAATTGTGTTAAATGGAAATTGTACAGATTGTCATTTCAAAATGATACATTTTTAAAGGAAGAGCTGGAAAAGTAGCATAGGTGTGGAAAAATCACTGTCAAAAGAAATAAGGATCACTGCCAGAACATGTTTTCAAGAAGACTGACTGTGTTAAGGCTTAATGGTTGGGGTTTTTTTTTTTTTTTTTTGGAGAAAAAATATTTTAAAAATTGTCTTGAGTTATAATGCTATGATCAGAAAAAAAAAATGTCTTGTCACTGGGAAGACTAAACCTTCTAAGAGAAATTCCCCCAGAAGTTGGGGAGGTAACTGTTCCCAGCGTCCAGGCCACCTTCCTAGGGAATTTTGCCCCTTGGACCTCAGGAAAGCAATCCAGTGGGATAGACTTCCCGACTCCTCACATATGCTGTGAGGACAGAGCACAAGGGCAGCCAGGCCTGGCTGTCCTCCTTCTCATTTCTATTGTGGGATGGGGACTAGGGTCTGCATAGCAGTGGTGTGAGCCTGGATGTGTGCAGGAAGGGAGCAGTGCTTCTAGGAGGCTTGTGCACAGCAGTTTCTCGTCCATTCCCTCAGCCCTTGGCTTCCTGGAACCGAGAGCATTAATTAGGATGCATGTCACACTGGCATTTGGGGTTTTTGGAGCAGGTAGCAAATATAAGCCCATCTTTTGGAATTCTGGGCCCAACAGTGGATTTGGGATTTTCTTCTGTTCTACTATGGCTTAAGTCATGAGAGACATGCTTTAAATAGGGAGGCAGCGATGTGATTTACAGGCACTTTCCCAGCCCTAAGTAGGTCAGGGTTTTGTCACAGTTTTGAGGAGATCACAGGTGAGTCACAGTAAATTTGGAGAGTCACGAATCTTGTCAGAATTCAGAGTGCGTTTGTGATAGTTAAATAGCATACCTTAATTACTGGCCTGTGCAGTGTCCTCTCTGTCCCCCACCAGCCCCCATTCCCTGGAGTAGATAGTACAGTCTCCATTGAAACCAGCCATCAGAGGGATTCAGCTTCACTTCCGGCTGTGAAAATCTGATCTCTTGCTGGCTTAACTGGTGGGAAAAAACAAGTTCTGGGAGCAGGGCATGAGAGGCACTCCCTCTTGCTAGCCTCTCTTTCCCTTAGTCCTTGGCTGCACCACTTTTTATGGCAGTAGAATCTCATGCACAAAGGCCACGTCAGAAGTTTGCAGCTTAATAAATGCAGCCAAGTAACTGAGCACACCTCATAATCCACACCTAGATCAGGACACAGAACACACCCACACTGCAGGAGCCCCTCATACCCCCCTGGGGTCACCACTGCTCTCACTTCTAACACCATAGATTTGCCTGTTTTGTGCTTTATGTATGTGGGACCATGCAGGATGCATGTTTTCCATTTTGCTCCTTTCACTCAATATTATGTGTGTGAGATTCATACAGGGCCTTGTGTGTAGTTGTAGCTCATTAATTCTCAGTGCAGTGCAAATATACAGCATTCACTGTTGATGGGCATGCAGGTGGTCGCCAGTTTGGGCTATTATGAACAGTATGGCTTTGGACATTCTAGAGCATGGGTGGAGATGGGAAGAGAGACATTCTAAAGCATATTCTGCCAAACATCTGGATGCATTTCTGTTGGGTGGACCTAGGAGTGGAATTGCTGGGTGGCAGGTATGCAGGTCTTCAGCATAGGACATATTCCATCTCTCCAAAAATACTCTTTCCAGCAGGTAGAAGCTAGAATAAGGTTTCCAGATAGAGTACATGAAGTTTTCTGATTGCCCTGGAGTATATTTTGGATTAATTTTGGGTCAAGCAGGAATACAGTGGCATTTTAGTAAGCAGTTACTCTTAGAAATCTGAGAGAGGAGTACTGGTCTTGACAGAGGCAGATTCTGTATTTAAATGAAGACGTTTTAGTTCAGTGTTTGTTCGTGCAACTCCATTAACTTTTTCTTGCTATGCTCAGCCAGTGTCATCCACCAGCGGAGCACATGCTGTCCCTGATACACTGACTCGGTGGGTAGTAAGGGAAGTGACTATGTAGAGGGGCAGAGGCAGCGTAGAGCCACCACATTGTCACTGACCACTTGTTGCATGTGTCCTCGAGGCTTCCTTGTGTCCTGCATCGTCAGGGCTGTGTTTCAGAGCGTGCCTTGGACGCTGAGGACATCCACCATTCAGCAGCCTCATTTCCGAGGCAGTTCATGGTTTGACCCAGGCTCTGTCTTCTGTCAGAATCACCTCTCACTCTCTCTGAGGCCAACAGTATCTTCTGGTCCTGGGTTGAAGTCCAAGTTGAGTGCCTTGCCAAGGGACTCTGTGACGAAGAAAAAGGGGCTGGAGCTTAGCCTGAGTCTTCTGACCACACACCCCAGGCAATTCTGCCACACCACAGCCCCCACCTCTGTGTACCAAGCAGATGTATTGGAGGTGGTGCTTTATTTTATAGTGATGATTAATAGGTCCACCTAGACCACAGGCTCTTCTGTTGCTTGGCAGAGGTTCAACTTTCTGTTCTCCACATTGCACAGGTGACGGCATTCCTCAGCAGCAGGGTGTTGTGGTCTGTCAGAAGCCCTCCCAGCGTGGTACTGTGACAAGCCTGTGACTTTGGGTATTCCTTTGCCATGGCACATAGTAGATTGTATCCTCAGTAGTAGATGGATAGTGATAGATAGTAGATTCTATTCCTTTTCCGTGGTAGATAGCAAATTCTATAAAGTTATTTTAGGAAACTCTCGTAATGGGATGTACTAGATTGAGTAATGTGAAATCTAAATCCTCAAGAGAAATATTTGGGCATTATTGTCCATTTTAATATTTCCTGTTCTTGTGTGGTATTTTCTGAAACCTGAGCATTTACCTTAAAAGCATGTTTTCCACCACTACCAGTGTCTATTAAAGGGGGAAAAAAAGACCGAAAAACAGTCCAGTTAACTTCATGCTATATGTAACATTAAAGGACGCTTGATAACCTCTAGAGTGTAATGTTACCTTTCATCATTCTAATAGAATAGACTACTATCATTTAGAGAGTGAGCTTTAAGCTTCAATTTTATTTTTTATTTTTATTTTTATTTTTTAATTTTTGAGACGAAGTCTTGCTGTATTGCCCAGGCTGGAGTGCAGTGGTGCGATCTCAGCTCAGTGCAACCTCCACCTCCCGGGTTCAAATGATTCTCGTGCCTCAGCCTCCTGAGTAGCTGAGATTACAGGCGTGCGCCACCATACCCAGCTAATTTATTTATTTATTTATTTATTTGTATTTTTAGTACAGATGGGGTTTCACCATGTTGCCCAGGCTGGTCTTGAACTCCTGACCTCAGGTGATCCACTCACCTTGGCCTCCCAAGGTGCTGAGATTACAGGTGTGAGCCACCATGCCTGGCCTAAGCTTCAATTTTATAATAGTCTATACAATTATTTCAGAAACTGCTGCCTGTGTCTTGAAATTTTAATGGGGATTGCTAGTCATTGTAGGTCATTTTTATTTTAAAAAGAGATTTTATTTTGTGTAGTTAGAGTCTGGTCAAGTTAAAGAGCTAGCAAGACAAAATAACATAAACAAAAAAAAAGTTTTTTTAAAGTAAATAATACAACTTCCAAAATATCATTTATATTTTGTATCTATTAAGTGAGTGCCCACAGTATCTCCCAGGGAAGTTATTACAAGATGTTTAATGTTGTTTTAAGAATCCCAGCCTTGATATAAGAGTTTATATCCCAACTTAGTCCCAAGAGGCTTTGCACATGGTGACCGATGCCCTTATTTATACCTGACCATGGTGCAGTGACACCCTTCTTAGAGCTTGTCCGAATCCCCTCACACACACAAGTTAGTTTCTCAACCCACTTTTTGGTTCAATGGAGCCGGGATGTCCCTGGAATATGGAGCCATAGAAGTTTATAGAAGAGGAGAGCAGGGCTCTCACACGTGCTTCTGTGCAGGTGCTGAGTGGATGCCAGGACAGGCTGCAGCAAGGGGTGTGTCTTTGGCAGGATATGCCTGGCTCTACTGTTTTACCACCTCAAATTAGGTTACATTTCCTTTAGAGTTTAAAATAAGATTGTTGTGAGCCCTCATCCTGTTGGTCACAGCCAGTCCACTCTTTTATTTGGTCCAAGGGCCCTCAAGGTGCTTACCTGGCCCCATGGATACCATCCTGCTGACGAGCAAACAGAAGAAGAAATGGGAATGTGAGCATGTGTCCTGTTCCCCAAAGTAGTCACTGCCTTGTGGCTTTGTCACTGAATAGTGGTGACATCCAGTATTGAGGCCAGCGCCTGCCCACTGTGGGAAGCAATCCAGTTGCTGGAGCCTGGGGCCACTGCTGGCCAGGACGAGGGTGCCCCTTTCCCCAGCATGGTGTTTCGAACGGTGCTCCAAGCCAGAGGAACCTGGCCCTGAGGCCAGGGCTCACCTGGCCAGCCACTCTGCTGGTTCTCCCACCAGCTGTCCCTATGGAGTGCCATGGAGCAGGGGCTGGGAGAGCAGCACACCAGTGTCATGAACTCCCCACCCCAACCCAGCTATCTGTCTGGGTCCTCCAGTCCATCGGATCTGTTATGGTATTTGTGGATCTCAAAGGAAAAGGGCTCAGTCATGACCCAACATGCATTTGGCAAAGGTCTCTCTGACTGTTGAGTGGATTATAAAGGAGGTGGGGTTCAAGATCAGTTAGGAGTAGTGGAGGACCCTCAAAATGAGTTCGGACTAGTAGGGGGCCTTCAAAATGAGTTAGTAGTAGGGGGCCCTCAAAATCAGGAGTAGTGGGGGCCCCTCAAGATCACTTAGGAGTAATGGGGGTCCCTCAGGATCACTTAGGAGTAATGGGGGTCCCTCAAGATCACTTAGGAGTAGTGGGGGGGGGTCTTTGAGATCAGTTAGGAATAGTGTAGCATCTTCAAAATCAGTGAGCAGTGGTGGGTGTCCTCAAGATTATTAGTGGGGGTAGCCTGAGATCAGTTGGGAGTGGTGGTTCTGCAGGCTTCCTGGAGAGAGATGTGGCAGCTTAGACCAGTGGGTGCAGATGGGAAGAGAGGCCTGGCTTGGAGACCTGGTCTTTGTGGGTTTGGGTGGATTGAATGTGGAGAGGTAGAGGGTGATGTGGAGGATAGGGCCATGGTCTCTGGCTTGGTCCCTGGATGATGGCAGTGCTAGTGGTTGAGGTAGAGATGACTAACCTTTAGCCTCTGCTAAATAAATTTTTGTAGACCAAAAGTTGTTATTGTTTGTTTTTAAATGTTGCTGAAGTCCAATTTATTACTTTTAACGTACTTTTAAAAAAAGTGACTAGCGTCACATCTAAGACCTTTTCATGTAGTGCTAGGTACAAAACATATTCTCCTACAATTTCTTCTAAACTTTTGTAGTTTTGCATTTTATGTAAAGCTGTGATCCATTTTTGATTATTTTTTATAAGACATGATATTTAGATCAAAGTTCACTTTTTTGCTTATGGATGTGCAATTGCTCCAGCACTGTTTTTGGAAAGGTGATTCTTCCATTGAATTGCTTTTTCTACTTTGTCAGGTATCAGTTGGCTGTACTTGTATGGATCTATTTATGTTGTTTAATTCTGTTCCATTGATCTATGTGTCTGTTCCTCTACCAATACTACACTGTCTTGATTACTATAGTTACTTAATAAGCCTTAAAATCAGGTATAATGATTTGTCTCATTTAATTCCTCTTTTTCAAAGTTATTTTAGCTATTCCAACTTCTTTGCCTTTCCATAAATATTTTAGATTAAGCTTGTCCATATTTACAAAAACACCTTGCTGGGATTTTGATAAGAATTTGGAAATAATTGACATCTTTATTATGTTGAGTCATCTAATCTATGAATATGGTATGTTTCTCCATTCATTTATTCTTCTATATCTTTCATCATTGCTTTGTGACTTTCAATATACAAGTCCAATACATGTTTTGTTCCATTTATACCTAAACATTGTATTTTATTTTATTTATTTTTTTTTGAGATGGAGTCTTGCTCTGTCACCCAGGCTGGAGTGCAGTGGCACAATCTTGCCCCACTGCAACCTCTGCCTCCTGGGTTCAAGCGATTCTCCTGCCTCAGCCTCCTGAGTAGCTGGGATTACAGGCACACACCACCACACCTGGCTAATTTTTTTTTTTTTTTTTTTTTTTGTATTTTTAGTAGAGATGGGGTTTCACCATGTTGGCCAGGCTGGTCTCGAACTCTTGACCTCATGATCCGCCCACCTCAGCCTCCCAAAGTGCTGAGATTACAGGTGTGAGCCACTGCACCTGGCCCAGCATTTTATTTTGAGTGATCATGAATCATATTGTTTTAATTTGTTTCATATGGGCATTGCTAGTATATAGAAACACAATTTATTTTGTATGTTTATGTTGTATCTTGTGACCTTGCTGAATTTGTCTAGTACTAGAAGATTTTCTGTAGATTCCTTATTATTTTCTATGTAGACTATGTTATCTGTAAATAGCGATAGCTTTATTTCTTCTTTATGAATCATTATGTGTTTCATTTCCTTCTTGGGCCTTATTGCATGGGCTAGAACTTCTAGTACTATGTGGAATAGCAATGGTGAGAATGGACATTCTTTTCTGTTTTCTGACCATAAGGAAAAAGCATCCAGTCTTTGTGCATTCATTATGATATAGCTATCTGTTTTTTATAGATGGCCTTGATCAGTTTGAGAAAGTTCTTTTCTAGTTTGCTGAGTGTTTTTATATCATGCACATATGTTGGATCTGCCAAATGCTTTTTCTGAGACAGTTGATATGATCTGGTGGTTTTTAGATTTAGCCTGTTAATATTGTGGATTATATGGCTTGATTTTTAAAAATATCAAACTAGCCTTGCATCCCTGGAATCAAGCCTACTTGGTCATGGTACGTAATTCTTTTTACATATTGCTAGATTCTAGTGGCTAATATTTTGTGGAGGTTTGTTGTGTCTGTCTTCATGAGGCATCTTGGTACTCTTTCTGTACTCTCTTTGGTATCTTAAAATGAGCCTCATACAATTAGTTGGGAAAATATTATCCTTAGCAAGGATTTCTGAGAAAGGAATTTTGAGTTAAATTCCATACTGTAAATTTTGTTTAGATCTTCTGAATCTAAAGTGATATAAGTTCATGAAAAGTGCAAAGAGAGTAAAAAAGGAGAGTACTTCAGAAGAACTGAAAAGTGATTAAGTTATACAAGTACCCTTTTTTTAGATTCTAAAATGGCCTGCCCTGGGGATAATTGTGAAAGACTACTTCTGCACCACAATTCTGCATTAGAGAGAGCATTTTAAAATGTTACCACCGAACATCACTTTTGGAGTTTGCTTGAAAATGTGTCTTGAATCAGAGGCGAATTATGAAACAGTGCTGTGTTTCGGAAAAAAAGTTTTGGTTTCTCGGTGGTGTTATCACAGGGGATATGCTTTAAATATTGAGTTAGTCTCCTCAACTTGTGTATATACAGGTTGAGCACCCCTAATCCAAAGATCTGAAATCTGAAATGTTCCAAAATCCAAAACTTTTTGAATGCTGACATGATACTCAAAGGAAATGCTCATTGGGGTATTTTGGATTTCAGATTTTCAGATTAGGGATCCTCATCTAGTAAGTATACTGCAAATATTCCCAAATCCCAGACACCTCTTGTCCCAAGCATTTTGCCATTTTGGATAAGGGATACTCAACCCATGTGTGTGTGTCTGTGTGTGTATGTTTACATATGTGTATGTGTGTATGCATACATGTGTATGTGTATACAGATATATGTATGTGTGTATGTATATATATGTGTGTACATGTATATACCTATGTATTTGTATGTGGGTATATATGTGTATGTGTGTTTGTATGTATGTGTATGTGTGTATATGTGTGTGTGCGTATGTGAAATATCTATATTTAGGTCCAAACAATAGGGCAGTTTGGAGAACAAAGTGGAATATATAATTTTGAAAGGGAATAAAACAGCATACTTGCATTTCTTGTCAATGAAGACCAACCCTGGCTGCCTTGTACTTATTATTTGCGGTGAAAAATCAGTGGGGATTTGCTGCACATGGCCTCACCATTCTCTATGGTGCCCAGCTGAAAGATGGTTTTTGGAAGGTCAAACAAGTTTGTGCTTCTTTTAGTTGCCAGCTGGAAGATGATAATAATACGGGATGCCTAGTTAAATTTGAATTTCAGATGAATAATGAATAATGGTTTAACATATGCTTGAGTCAAATATTACATGGGACATGGTTATACTAAAATATTCGTTGTTCATCTGAAGTTCAAGATGAATTGGACATCCTGTTTTATCTGGTAAACCTAGCTTTTCTCCATATTTTTTCTGTGTTTGAACCTTGTTCACTTTCATCCAAGGTAAAAGCAAAATAAGTTACAGGGAGAGCGTCAAAATCTGTAGCAATAGACTGAGACAGTCATCTTTTCCTGGCAGATGAACAGGCTGGCAGACCTTGTGTAATATGTATTTAATTTTTTCCACTGGTGCTTGTGGCAAGATGTTTAGCCCTGGGCTGGGGGATGGGGTGTTACACCCCTCCCCATAATAGTTTGTGTCCTGCACCATCGTTGCTCACTCACACTTACTCTTCACAGTGATCTCACTTCATTTGTCTTGCCAGCATCTAATTATTCAGAAAGATTCTTACTCATCCACACATCTGCACCTCAGTCCTATTTGCAATTACCCTTTTAGGATGCTGCCTGAATTAGTAGTGTTCATACACTGCAGATAACCACTTTTACATACTTCCTGGGTCAGATATAGAAGCAGACACAGCGTTTATCTATTGCATGCTTTACTTAAGTTGTCAACCATCATAAGCATTGTCTTGAGTCATGTATAGTGCTTGGATTCGACAATTGGCCTAAAGAATACATACATAATAGAACTTCTCTGTCAACACCTTGAGACACCAGATCCAGCAAGAGGCAGCTCCTGGAATATTTTACAAATTACATCTGAAATCTGTACCATCCATTAAACTGGCTTATGTGGCTAGAATAGGAGAGAAGAAATAAAATGTTCACTAATATTTTTACTCCCATTAAAAATGTCTAATGTTAAGAAAACTTTAAATAAACATGATTGATTAATTTAAAGACAAAACAAAACAAAACAAAACCATATACCAGCAAGATGAAGACTGACTGGGGAAAGAGCTGTTGGCGGTCATCCTGCCATCTCTCTTTACAGCAACACTGGTCCCTGGAGCTTCCTGTTCTGTTCCTTTCTGCTTTGTTCTGTTCCAGGCAGTTGGCAGAATTGCACCGTGAACTCCAACCTTGTTGCTATGAATGTATTCTTTTATCTGTTTGATTTGTTTCAACCCAGAGGAAGGAAATGCCTGTGACTCTTGTTAGCACTTTTGGCTGGTTTTAGGGCACCTGAGGCCATTCAAATTATGACTCTGCCCAAAGCAAAAGCTAAAGAATATTACTCTTTTCAGGACAGATGTCCTTAATGTAAAGTTAGAAAAAACATCATAGGAAGCTTTACAGCAGCTAAACTGAAGGCCCTCCACGGCCTCCCTGTTTCATTAGAAAGGCTCTGAAGAATGTGGGCTCTGCACAGAGATGAGTAGGGGAGGACCCCCCAAAAAGCAGAGCGGGGCCTCCAGGGCCATCTTCTCTATGGCTTGTGAAAACTGAGCCCAGTATTCCCAAGTTTATGATGGATTCTCAGATTTCTACCATTTTCAGCTAAATTCACTTACAAGAAAGTTTAAAATCTTGTTTGTAATGATCTATTCACTCAAAATACTGAAGTGAGGAATTCGATAACTGCTAATATCTGGAATTCTAAGATATTTAAATCTAGCCTGGTTCTAAAAGAGTGTCAATAAATAGTAACTACAACACTTTTATATTGACTTAAATACATTTTATTGGTTAAACTGCATAAATACATATTTGCTAAGCATTGGTCTTTCAGTGGTCAGAATGGATATTTTCCTACAATTTTGATGCAATAGGAAGCAAATAAATACCACTTGCTGCAAGGCTATTGCCATTCGTGAGAATGTTTCTGCAGCCCTCAAGCCTGGATACAGATTTTATAAATGGAAATGGTTTATTTGGTAAATATTCTCTGCTTCTTACCTTCTGCATTGGAGCATAAAGAAATCTGTTTAGTTTCTAATAACCAGAAATTATACACATGCTTGCATCAAATGTGTATTGGCCAAACCTCGTGGGCAAATGTGTAGGGAGATCACTTGAGTTGGGCATTTTGAGGAGAAAGAGCCTCCACTGCCATCCCTGGGCATTCTCTGCCTCAATTCTCAGCTGTGGAGCTCAGCCCTCTGCTGGGAAATCATCTTGGAAATAAAGGCCTCTTCATTTTTTCTCTGGGAAAGGAGCATAGGCTTGTATCCTCTTTTAAAAAGGATCAAGAACATCACTGCACACCCATTAGGATGGCCACTATCAAAAATAAAAACAGAAAATAAGTGCTGGTAAGGAATTGGGGAAGTTGGAGCCCTTGCTCACTGTTGATAGGAATGGTGGTTCCCCAAAATATTAAACATAAAATTACCGTAGGATCCAGCAGTCCCACTTTTGGGTGTATGTCCAAAAGAATTGAACATGAAGACTTGGACAGAAATCTGTACATCCGTGTTTATAGCAGCAGTAGCAAAAAGGTGGGAGCAACCCAAGTGACCCTCAATCTATGAATGGATAAGCAAAATCTGGCATATTCATACAATGGAATATTATTCAGCCTTTGTAAGAAAGCAAATTCTGACATATGCTACAACATGCATGAACCTCAAGGACATTATGCTAAGTGAAATAAGCCAGTCACAAAAAACACATACTAAATGATTCCACTTACATGAGGTACCTAGAGTCGTCAAATTCATAGAGACAGAAAGTACAATTGTGGGCGACGAGGGATGAGGGGGGTAATGTGGAGCTGTTGTTTAATGGGGACAGAGTTTCCGTTTTACAAGATGAAAACAGTTCTGTTGATGGTTGTACAACAGTGTGAATATACTTAATGCCTTAGAAGTGTACACTTAAAAATGTTGCAGATGGTAAATTTTATGTTATGTGTAATATACCACTATTTTTTTTTAAAGTATCAATGATTTGTGTCTGTCTGGAGATGGAAAGACCACTCATTCCTTCCTGTGCCCGTGTAAATGTTTCTGTATTGTGATGTAGTGTTGTGATGGGCCTGTGCTCTCCCTGTCACATGACACTCTTGAGCACATGAGGTTCCCTTTCAGGTTGCCATGCCAAGAACCCCTGTAGGTTTTCTCTGGCTCCCCATCATCTGACATAGGTTTGGCCAAGAGAGCCCCAGCGGAGGAGGCAGGATGCCTGAGATACCTCTGGGTCAAGCTTGGAGGTAAGGGCTCCCTGCAACACTGGCCCAGGTTCTCAACCTACCAGCCCAACTTTTTCTTTTTCTTTTGAGGTAAAATGAAATGCACAAATGAGATGAGCCGTGACAAATCCATACACCTGTGTAATCCAAGTCCATATCAAGATACAGAACACTCACATTCACATCATACCAGAAATCTCCCTCATGCCCTGCCCCAGCCCTTCCGCCAGGCAACCTGTCTGATTTCTCCATCACAGATTAATTTTGCCTATTCTAGAACTTCACATGAAAGGGATCCACAATGGGCAGTCATTGCTCGGCGGAATGCCCCTGTGATCCATCTGTGCCGCTGCTTTATCAGTGTCCTGCTCCTTTTCGTCACTGTCTGCATTCCATTGCCTCACCGTGCCAGGGGTTGCTTGGCTACTTTCCTGTGGCTAGAATCCTGGGCTCTTCCCAGTTTGGAGCTTGTTGGAATAAGGCTACTGTGAACGTTCTTGTACAAGGCTTTCTGTGAACGGATTCTTTAGTTTCTCTTGGGTTAATGCCTAGGAATGGTATCGGGTCACAGAGAAGTTTACAAAACTGTTTTCTTCTCCTGCCCACAAGGTCTGAGGGTTCTGGGCACTGGGCGTCCTCACCAGCATTTGGCACTGGCAGCCTGCTTTCTTAGGGCATTGGCGTGGGTGAGTAGTGGGTTTCATCGCAGTTCTCATTTGCATTTCCCTGTTATCTGACGATGCTGAAGACATTGATTGATCATTCACATACTCTTCATTTGCGAACTACCTATTCATCTCTTTTACTGATTTTTACTAGGTTTGTTGTACTTGTTGACTTGCAGCTAGTTTTTTGGGGAAGTAAAATTTTAAAATTTTTACGAAGTCTGATTTATTATTTTTTTATTTGTGGTTGTTGTTTCTGTGTCCTAAGAAACTTTTGCCTATGCTAAGGCATGAAGATATTCTGTTTTCTTTATTAAAGCTTTATAGTTTAGCTTTTACATTGAGCATTGTGATTCATCTCTAATTTTTGTGTATAGTGTGAGGTAGGGATTGAAGTTTCTTTTTTCTATGTGGATACCCAAATTTTTCAGCATCATTTGTTGAAAAGACCATCCTATCCATGACGAATTATAGTGGTGCCTTTGTCAAAAATCAAATGGTCATGTAAGTGAGGGTCTATTTCTGGGCCCTTTATTCTGTTCCATTGTTGGTCCTGCTATTACCACACTGCCTTGATTACCATGCCCTTGTACTAACATCCCAAACTTCTATCCCATGTTCTCAGCTGTGCTCCAATGTGATTGAGTTTGTAATATTAACCTGTTGGCTCACACTCACTTTCCTTGTGCATAACATGGCAACGATGTCACTGAGTGATGGTGATGACTAAGAAAATTCTGACAATGACATCAGGCACAGCATACACATAGGACATCTTCAGTAAATGTGTCTCTTCGTACTGGATTCTGGAAACTGAGCTCACATCTTTGTGTACTATCACCACATCATTGTGGTATAAGTGGGAGGTCAGTTCAGGAACAACAGGGTGAAACAATTTTAATTAAGATCTTTCATTCTGTAGCAGAGAAAAAAGATGTAGCTCCAATTGCTTAGTTCCAGTGTTGACCTTGGCCATTTTATTTTGCAGCATTCTCTAATCTTTCAAAATTGACCAGTCTGAGCCTCACTTCTGTCATATGTAAAATGAAGACAGTACCCCTCAAGGTCATTGTCAGACACAGATCCATTCAGGCATGTGAAAGCACTTTGTAGGACCTAAAACATTGTAACATCCTGAAATGCTGTCTTGACCTTTCTCTCTCCATTGGTATTGCAGATATTCAGAGGGAAGGACAGATGTTTCATTTCCATTTTTTGTGTCTGACTCAGATATGAGGTCTCACTTCATTGATTTGGTATTGATTTGGCATTGATGAACAGAACGTTTAAAATCATTGACTAAGAGTGTTTACAGACTTAAAGAGCCAGCTGTTGCCTTCTTGAAGGTTTTGATTTAAGGCATAAACCTGGGCAAGTTTGAACAAGAAACAGGAACTGTGGGACACAGATGCTTGGACTCGAGCAAGCAGCAGATGGTGGTGATGAGACTGTACAGCCACCAGCCTCATGCCTCTTGAGGTATGTTTGGAATGCCCCAAAGTCCCTTAACCCAGAGGAAGGGTGAATGCCCCAGACAAGGAACAGGTGGGCATGAGAAAGACGAAGAGAAGGGCAAGAAGAGGCTACCACGGCAGCAGAGATTGTCGTGTTCACTTTGAGCCCTGAGCAGTGGCTTTGAGGCTTGTTTGGAAGTGTTTCCAACTCTTAGGTTAAGTGTGTCTGGGTCTCAGGTAAAAGACTCAGGTGTAAGGAACAGCCTTTTCCTTCTCTGTGAGTCTGCTTAGATTCTGAGCTCCCATTCCACACAGCCTGTGCCAGAATCATTTTGGATGTTTTCTGTCTCCCTGGGTTGTGTTGGAGATAGGATCTTTCTTCAGAACTGAAAGGGGGAGGTCCCCAAGAGGGAATGGCCACCCTGAGGCTGGTGGGCATTGGTCCACACAGACAGGCTCTGCAGTGTCCATGCATTTACTTGCCTCGCATTACAGGTATCTGCACATGGTGAAGGTTGGGAATGTTTGACATCTTTATTGGAACAACCCAATGTCTAGTATCCTCATATCATGCCAAGATGGTCTCCACTTCCTGGAGCTTTCACCCAGTAGTGGGCAGAAGCCCATGGAACCAAGACGAAAGATGGCAGAAGCCTTCTTTCATCTTCACAGGGTGTGACTTCCAGAACAAAACCAGCATGGATGAAAGATCAAATGTGGGAGGCCTCCCTGTCTGGAACCTGTTCCTTACCATGTTGATGGTGCCAGGCCACGCTTGAGTCAGAGAATTTGTTGGAGCCACAGAAAATAATACAGTGCCTAAGCAGACCCTGTCCCAGGTCTAGTGCCACCCCTGTCCTCCAAGGAGAGGGAGGGTGTCTTCATGTCTCTAGTCTTGACCTGTGGGCGCTTCCGCTACTGCCCCATAGTTTGCTTTGCCTGCTGCCTGTGTTCACCTTTCTGTTGGTCTCTTTGGTTTTATCTGCTTCATTAGTTGACATGATCATGTACTCATTTAACAGATGTTTATGGAGCATGTACAATGGACCAGGGGCATCAAATGCAAAAGGAAATGAGCATGAGCACTTTTCTCTGCTTGGATAGAGCCAGTTCAATGCATGGACACTCAGAGGCACAGCAATGAAGAAGGGACCATGCCCTCCTCCAGTCATAGTGTACATCTTCTGGCCCCTGGCTTAGGGACCTGCCTGGGGTAAAGCGGGAGAGGGAGATGCGGGAGGCAGCTGTGACACATCCCTGCCCAGAGGACAGGGACAATAAATGCTTTGTATTAGCCAGTGCTACCCTTGAAGGCCAAAAGCTCAGGGAGATGGGTTCCCAGGACAGAAAAAAGTACAGATTGGTGATAAAATATTCCAGGCAAATTTGAATCAGAACCATACACTCTCTCACCTTACTTCACCCGTTTTCTCCATACTGTCCTTCCATGAGTAGCTGATCTCAAAGATGACTAAGGCCTGCAAAAGAACAAGCATGCAGAAAAACCTGAACATAAAAAAGAAAGAGTTTGTATAATTACTTGTCATTGACTATAGTTATCCTACTGTACAATATACTATGAGAAGAGAGGATCTTGTGTGTTCCCACCACAAAGAAATGGTAAATGTTTGATGCGTATGCTAATTACCCAATTTAAACATTACACGATGTAAACATCTATTGAAACATTACATTGCACTCCAGAAATAAACACAGTTATGTGTCCATTAAAAGTTTTTAAAAATTAAAAAAGAAAATACTAACAAAAATGTAAAAAAAAAGACATAAGCAAATGTCTGAGGAAGAATTGAATGATTCAGTGACCAGCTCAAGAGTTCAAAAAAATAAATTTCCATACTCAAAAAGAAACTGCTGATCTCTAAAGCAGAATTTAAGCATAGGAGGAAGACTCAGAGGAGCGAGTGAGATGGAGGAAAGTAGGGCCCAAGCTGACAGAATTCAGGATGGAAAGTGGAAAAGAAAAAACCAAAATGATGCCATCACAGAGATTAACCAGGAAGCCACAAAATAGGAAGCCTCCTTGACAATGCAAACACCATGGACAGGATAGGACCACACAAAAGGAACAAAGCCTCACCATAATTTGATTTTATGTGGTTTTTTTTTTGAGATGGAATCTTGTTCTGTCACCCAGGCTGGAGTGCAGTGGTGTGACCTCGGCTCACTGCAACCTCTAACCCCCGCCCCCTCCAAGTTCAAGCAATTCTCCTGCCACAGTCTCCTGAGTAGCTGGGATTATAGATTTACCCCACCATGCCCAGCCAATTTTTGTATTTTTAGTAGAGACAGGATTTTACCACGTTGGCCAGGCTGGTCCCAAACTCCTCGCCTCAAGTGATCCACCCATCTCAGCCTCCCAAAGTGCTGGGATTACAGGCATGAGCCGTCATACCTGGCCTGATTTTCTAACAAAGAGTTTTAGAAAAGAAGGAGAACATTAAAGTATACAATAAAAAGAAAACTGTGTAAATATACAGGCCAGACTTGGCTCTGTCATTCAAAAGGAACAATTGCATTTTGGTAAATGATACAGTTTAGCTCTGTGTCCCCACCCAAATCTCATCTTGAATCATACTCCCATAATTCCCACGTGTTGTGGGAGGGACCTGGTGGGAGATAATTGAATCATGGGGTGGTTTCCCTCATACTGTTCACATGGTAGTGAATACGTCTCACAAAATCTGATGGGTTTATCCAGGGTTTCTGCTTTTGCGTCTTCGTCATTCTCTCTTTGCCTCCTGCCATCCATGTAAGACCAGACTTGCTCCTCCCTGCCTTCTGCCATGATTGTGAGGCTTCCCCAGCCACATGGAACTGTAAGTCACATTAAACTTCTTTCTTTTGTAAACTGCCCAGTCTCAGTTATGTCTTTATCAGCAGTGTGAAAACGGACTAATACAGTAAATTGGTACCAGTAGAGTGGGATGTTGCTGAAAAGATACGTGAAAATGTGAAAGCAACTTTGGAACTGGGTAACAGGCAGGGGTTGGAACAGTTTGGAGGGCTCCGAAGAAGACAGGAAAATGTGGGGAAGTTTGGAACCTCCTAGAGACTTGTTGAATGGCTTTGCCCAAAACGCTGATAGTGATATGGACAATAAGGTCCAGGCTGAGGTTGTCTCAGATGGAGATAAGGAACTTGTTGAGAACTGAAGCAAAGATGACTTGTTATGTTTTAGCGTAGAGACCAGCAGCATTTTGCCCCAGCCCTAGAGATCTGTGGAACCTTGAATTTGAGAGAGATGATTTAGGGTACTTGGTGGAAGAAGTTTCTAAGCAGCAAAGCATTCAAGCGGTGAATTAGATGCTGTTAAAAGCATTCAGTTTTAAAAGGGAAACAGCTTAAAAGTTTGAAAAATTTGCAGCCTGACAGTGTGATAGAAAAGAAAATCCTATTTTCCTAGGAGAAATTCAAGCCAGCTGCAGAAATTTGCATAAGTAATGAGGAACCAAATGTTAATCCCCAAGACAATGGGGAAAATGTTTCCAGGGCATGTCAGATGTCTTCACATCAGCCCCTCCTATCACAGGCCTGGAGGCCAAGGGAAAAAAAGTGGTTTCGTGGGCTGGGCCCAGGGTGCCCAAGCTGTGTCCAGCCTAGCGACTTGGTGCCCTGTGTCCCAGCTGCTCCAGCCATGGTTGAAAGGGGCCAACGCAGAGCTCTGCTGTGGCTTCAGATGGTGCAAGCCCCAAGCTTTGGCAATATCCATGTGGTGCTGAGTCTGTGGGTACACAGAAATTATTAATTGAGGTTTGAGAACCTCCACCTAGATTTCAAAAGATGTATGGAAATGCCTGGATGCCCAGACAGAAGTTTGCTGCAGGGGCAGGGCTGTCATGGAGAACTTCTGCTAGGGCAGTGCATAGGGAAATGTGGGGTCGGAGCCCCACACAGAGTCCTTACTGGGGCACTGCCTAGTGGAGCTGTGAGAAGAGAGCCACCATCTTCCAGACCCCAGAATGGTAGATCCACTGACAGCTTGTACTATGGGCCTGGAGAAGCCACAGACACCAAATGCCAGCCCAAAAAGCAGCTGGGAGGGAGGCTGTACCCTGCAAAGCCACAGGGGCGGAGCTGCCCAAGACCATGGGAACCCCCCTCTAGCATCATCATAACCTGGATTTGAGACATGGAGTCAAAGGAGATCATTTTGGAGCTTTAAGATTTGACTGCCCCAATGGATTTTGGACTCGCATGGGGCCTGTAGCCCCTTTGTTTTGGCCAATGTCTCACCTTTGGAACAGTAGTATTTACCCAATGTCTGTACCCCCATTGTATCTAGGAAATAAGTAGCTTGCTTTTGATTTTACAGGCTAATAGGTGGAAGGGACTTGGCTTGTTTCAGATGAGACTTTGGATTGTGGACTTTTGAGTTAATGCTGAAATGAGTTAAGACTTTGGGGGACTGTTGGGAAGGCATGATTGGTTTTGAAATGTGAGGATATGAGATTTGGCAGGGCCCAGGGGTGGAATGATATGGTTTGGCTCTGTGTCCCCACCCAAATCTCATCTTGAATTGTACTCCCAGAATTCCTACATGTTGTGGGAGGGACCCAGTGGGAGATAACTGAATCCTGGGGGCAGTTTCCCCCATACTGTTCTCATGGTAGTGAATAAGTCTTATAAGATCTGATGGTTTTATCAGGGGTTTCCACTTTTGCATCTTTCTTATTCTTTCCTTGCCTGCTTCCATCCATGTAAGATGTGACTTGCTCCTCTTTGCCTTCTGCCATGATAATGGGGCTTCCCCAGCCACATGGAACTGCAAGTCCAATTAAACCTCTTTCTTTTGTAAATTGCGCAGTCTCAGGTATGTCTTTATCAGCAGTGTGAAAATGGACTAATAAAGTAAGCATTAAAAAGACTGAACAAGACTGACTGACATCCTGGTGAATTTCTCGATTTCCATGGTGATTCTTACCTGGCACAAAAGCAGAAAAGGTTAGGAACATAGGTAGGTAGAATCACACTGGGTCAGCGTCTGTCAAGCAACACTTTCTGAAAGATACTGGTTTCTGAGAAATTCTGAGTGGAACAATGGGGCCCTCAGTGATTTCCTATTTAGCCAAATTGTCCCAAGTATAAAGACAAAGATAATAGATTTTTTTCAAGCCTGCCATAAATCAGAGAGCTTAGCTGCTATGAGCTCTTTTGAATAAGGGTTTTGAATAAAACTATTGAATATCAAAATCCAGCCAAAATAGAAGTGAATAAAAGTACAGAGCTTAGTATAAATGGGTGGCAAACCTTGGATATGTATAAACATAAAAATAAGACAGGCCATCTGCATGAATTACAGTGAAAGTATGTGATGTAAATGATGTAAACCTTGCAAATAGTATTATAACTTAGGAGAGTCTTTGGCTGGGTGAAGGGAGCGGATGTGTGAATATCTAATGGCTTCATCTTTCTTAGCAAAACAGTTGACGATCACTATGTCGAAGAGGCTATTTTAAAAAATGAGGGTGATAACTTCAAGACTTTTCATAATGTTTTTGTTATCTTTAGAACAATCATTTAGGAAGACATTTCTTACAGTAAAGAGGCATTTCTCTGAAATTTAGCAGCTCTTTCTGTTTGGCTGTCTTGTCTTTCCTTTCCTTTCATTATCTTTGTAGTGAAAAATATGACTTGCCGAATGCTCAGTGTGTTGTGGGCATGGAGGATACCTGGTGAGCTGGCATTCATGCATGGAGCATCCTTGCAAAGCGGCAGGTGTTGCTATGGTAATAAAACAGGTGAAGTGATGGAGGGTCGGGGGTGAGATGTGGCTCAGGAAGGCCTCTCTGAGGAGTGCTTGGATAAGACCCAGATGCTGAGCTGGAGCCAGCCTGGCATAAGGAGCAGGCTTCAGTGTCCTGAGCATGAAGGAGTCTGTTCCAGAAACTGAACAAAGGCCTTGGTTCAGTGTCCCTGCTTTGCTGGTGCTCTAACAGGTGATCTGCCTAGTGGCTAGTGCTGCCCCTACTATGCTCTTCATGCCTTGGACTGTGTCTTCGTCTTTTTGCCTACCTAACCAGCCTGTAAGATTGTCTGGAAGATGTTCAATGAATGTATAAAGATGCATTATGAATGAAATAACCCATGAATGAATGGATTCTTTCAGGGTGTCAGGTTAATGACATATGACAGTTTATGCCATGAACTGTTTCTTATTTTTAAGTTTGACATTGTTGAAGTAGACCTCCTTTTGGAAACACAATGAAATCCAAATTTTCCAGCATGGGATTTAGGCTGCTGCTGAGGGCTCGTGACCAGGCAGTTCTAGTTTGATATTCTGGCGTCCTCCTGTGAACCACATGAATTTCTCTTCTGAGTTTTAGGTTCTAAGGTACACGTGCAATCAGAGAAATGAAGTTCACAGCCAAGATCCTTGTCTATATTTGCTTGAGAAGAAAATAATTTGAGATATTTTACGTCAGGTAGGTTCAGGAGGCGTGTCCTTTGAAAACCTTGAGTGTAATGATTTTGCTAACTTTACGCTTACCTATTCTTTGCTGTAAGGATATTTATGTAACAGATATGGCGACTCTCAAAAACAGGATAATGAGTAATTTTAGCTCTTTTAAAATAAATGTATCCTCTTTGTTGGCAGAGATTGCTTGGTGTGGGAGTCTGCATTTTGACAATCAAATACATAAGTTAGCTATTTTGTTTAAGCAGCTGTGATTTACTGGCTAACATGTGGAATGCTCCCTCTTAAGGCCACACCCCTGGGGATGGAGCAAAGACACTCATCCTCCTCCCTCGAAGCCCAGCTTAATAAGATTGGTGGGAGGTCGCTGATGCTCCTACCTGCCTGGTGAATTTCTCGATTTCTGCTGGGGGTGCAGGCCTGAGTTTGAATCACAGTCCCTCCACAGCACCGGCTTTGTGTGCGAAAGAGGTGTCCTGGGGAGACATCGAGGAGCAGAGCTTTATGTGTATGGTATTTTTTGTCTTTGAAACACAGGCTGCAGAGAGGCTGACAAAGTTTTCAGCATGTAGCTGGAACATCCTTTGAACATTGTTCTCCAACCCCTTGAAATGCATGCCCCACAGGCCAAATTTTTTTTGCCCCATTTTACTCTCTGTAGTTTTTACATGGAACCATACGTCTTGTAGGTTTTATTCTGAGAATTTATAAAATTAAGAGTGTCTTTTTAAGTAGTTATTGTCTATGGAGATCTTAGAGTCCTCCGTTAGGGTACGCAGCCTTCCCCTCCACTTTGAGGTCAAGTCTATACAAAGATATTTCCAGAAATGTGTGTTACAGTGCATTTCCCAAGTGATTTGCCCTCTTGGTCCTGAGGGGTCTGCCTGGATTAGAGATGAAGTCTCTTCAGGCTCTACAATTGCTGATCTCTCTTATGTAAGAAAGTCCCGGCAACTGACACTTGCAGTGTGCTATTTAAAGAAAGTTTTCTGTGAATCTCTTTGCAAGTGAAGAGAAGCTTGTCTGGTTATTTGTGATGTTTCTTCTCTGCCCACAAAGAGGCAGGGTGGCCAGGCTGGGGGTGCAGGCTGGGGAATCACAGTCCCTCCACAGCACCTGCTTTGTTGACTGGACCTTCTTGGAACCTGTTTTCTCATCTGTAAACTAGGTACGCTGGTCGAATTTCTTGTTTTCTTTGTTGCTTCTTTGTCTGTTTCCTAATAAATAACAGAAACTGGAGGGAGCTAGGGTGCGGGGTCCGTGATGCCCAAGGGTTCCCAGTCAGGTGCAGCTGGGTCTAGGGTATGCCTGCCCCCAGAGAGCAGCGCTTTGGGAAGCCCATGCCTGTGTCTGCCTACATGGCTCCGTTTCTCACTATGCCATTTTCTGTCTCCCTACTGAGTTCCTCATACACATGGGAGCAGATGACCACCAGTAGCTGCCTCACTTCAGAGAGCTACCACTGTACGATACCAAAAGACCAGGAACAAGAGAAGAAATAAATATATTAGATCACATCAAAAGTAAAAACTTCTATGCTGCAAATACTACCTTTAAGGAAGCAAAAAGACAGTCCATAGAATGGGAGAAAATATTTGTAAATCATGTCTGATAAGGAACTCATATCCAGAATATATAAAGAACTCTTAGAACCCAATAATAAAAAGACAGCTCAATAACGAATAGAAAAGACACTTGACCAGACCTTTCTCCAAAGTTGATATACAAATGGCCAGTAAACACATGAAAGGATAGTCAACATCATCAGTCATTACAACACAAAAACCAAAAGCAGAATGAGACAGCACTTTACATCCACTAGGATGTGTAGAATCAAAAACACAGACAAGTGTTGACAAGGAGGTAGAGAAATTGGAACTATCATATGTATGTTTCTGGTGGGAATATAAAATGATACAGCTCTTTGAGAAATAGTTTGGTAGTTGCTCAAAAAATTAAACATAGAATTTCCATATGACCCAGTAATTCCACTTCTAGGGAAGAGAAATGAAAACATGTTCACACAAAAACTTGTACATGAGTGTTTATTATCATTATTTATAATAACCAAAACTAGAACCAATCCAAGGCCCATCAACTGATGAATGGTTAAATAAAATGTAATATACAATGGCATATTGTATATTGTGTTATTATTCAGCAACATAAAGAAATGAAAAACTGGGCTGGGCTCAGTGGCTCACGCCTGTAATCTCAGCACTTTGGGAGGCCGAGGCAGACAGATCATGAGGTCAGGAGATTGAGACCATCATGGCCAACATGGTGAAACCGCATCTCTACTAAAAAAAAAAAAAAAAAAAAAAGGTACCTGGGCGTGGTGGCACACGCCTGTAGTCCCAGCTACTCGGGAGGCTGAAGCAGGAGAATCGCTTGAACCCGGGAGGTGGAGGTTGCAGTGAGCTGAGATTGCGCCACTGCACTCCAGCCTGGTGACAGAGCAAGACTCCGTCTCAAAAAAAAAAAAAAAAAAAAAAGAAATGAAAAACTGATTTATGCCACAACGATTGACCCTGGAAAATATGTTACGCAAAAGGAGCCAGTCACAAAAGACCCCATATTATATGATTGCATTTATATAATGCCCAGAATAGGCAAACCAATAGAGACAGAAAGTAGTCTCGTGGTTGCCTAGGGCTGGGGGCCTCGGAGGGAATGGTAAGTGACGGCTGGTGGGTGCAGGGTTTCTTTCAGGGTGATGAAAATGCTCTAGAATTAGATTGTGCCGATGGTTGCACAACTCTGTGAATATACTAAAAACCATTGAACTGTGCACATTAAATGGGTGAATTCTATGGTAAGTGAATTATATCTTAATAAAGCTGGTCAAAAAATGAAAATTTACAAATTGAAAAAATAAAAAGAATCTTTCAGCCCTGATTTCAAATTCCTGGAGAAGTACTCTGGTCTAGCTTGTGGGCAGCCAACCACTGGATCCAGTGTTGGGACCTGTTATAAGAGCACAGCTACCAGAAAATGGTGGGGCCAGTTTTCTATGAAGCAGGCAGGCAGAGAGAGCAATAGGTATCCATGCATGAGGATAGCAATAGTGTCTTGTTACTAGGATTAAAATAAATAAATGCATGGGAAGCATTTAGTACTGTGCCTGACACACTGTATATGTTGACCATAACGATTGCATCAGTGTCAGTTTACATGGGGAAGAATCGTGCGATATCTCGTAGAAAATATAGCTCAAAAAATAGTCAAGTGATGATCTCAACCTAAAGGAACCTGAAGAGAAGTGCCAGGATAAAACGGGATTTAACTCTGACTTTATTACTTGAAACTTTGAAGGCAAATGGTGTGTGGGTGATTGTTTAAGTGGGATACATCTATACCTTATATTTTTAAATGTATAGACTTGAAGTCATCTTATAGACAGTCTCAGTTACTTTTCAGTAGTAATTTATATGCTCCATTGCCTGCTTGCAAGATAATTTACTGATTTCTGTGTTTTGCTATTATTAGCTTTCCATTGTTGCTTCCTGTGATATGAAGTATTAAGTGGTTGCCAGCAGAAGCAAATAATAAGAATGTTTAAGGATGGAGTGGGGCAGGAGTGGACTTTCTTTAATCAGCCTTTGCATCTGACACTCAGCATGTGAGTTGTATTCAACTTCTTAGTTGCCATGTGAATGATAACCATTTCACAGTGTGGAGGTGAGGGACTAGATATTTAAAATGCCTGTATACCTACTCCATAATCACAAAACCATAAATACTGTCATTATAATTTTGATAATTACATATATCGAATATATTTGATATTACGTATAAAAATAACATATATACTGATACATTATATATGACATAATATATAACGACTTGTTACATGTTACTTATATGTTATATATAATGTAGTATATTTAGTTTATGTTACCTGTATAATATATAAGTATGTATATGTAAGTATATAAGCATATATGTTTGTATAAAAATGAAGTGGTTTTGAATTATACACATATGATTACGTTAGAAAAAAACAGACTACACAGATAGACAAAATAAAATACATTGGAATTTCAAAATTCCATATTCCCAAACAACCAATACTGGTATCTGTCCTTCCAGATTTTATTTATTTAGCTCTACAAATATATAGATCACACTAGTCATATTCTTTTCTCTCTGAATATTTACTAAACATCCATGTGCATTAATAAATGCAGGTCTACATTTTTTTACTTTTTGGTTTTTAGATAATTTTAGACTTACAGAAGAGTTGCAGAAAGCATGCTTACTTTCCTCTCTCTAGCACCCAACTTATTTGCAGCCTTCTTGAGCTCATCAGGCTTCCCCAAAAGTGTCATATTCTTAGTTTTTAGGTTATACTTTTCCCCCTAAGCCATTTATCCAACAAAAAGAAATTACTGGGCCTTTATTCCATTTGTGATTTATAACAGCAATTCAAGGGTTCTGCCCTTCATTAGCTCCTTGCTTTTAAAATGTGGTTTTCTAGCTCAGAGTCCATCCTTAATCTCTTATTATTTGGAGAAGAGAAGCTGTTTCATCTTCCAGCCTGATAAATCTCTACATGCATGGACCACTCCATTCATTTCTGCTTACAAACTGGCCAGTTCTTTTCTGAGCTCATCTCTTTCTTGTATCACCTTGCCAAACCCAGCCGTCAGTGTCCCTCTGTCCCACAGGACTGACCTTTTGTCCTCCACTTATTCTCATCAAGTAGAGGACCTGCCCTGAAAGATGCTTGTAGGAAGTAGTTTTACCAAACTCTCCACCCATCCCATGATACCAGGACTACATAAATTATTTTTAAATTTTTTACAGCAGCAGACCACTAGCAGATGCTCATTTCTGTATCAATCACCATGAGTTCTGTAATGCTTCAGTAATAAACAGCTTCAGAATCTCCGTGGTTTAGAAAAGCTTATGTCTTACTACCATCCGTTGTCCATCCCCAGTCAGCAGGGGCTGTCACACTGCAGGTCCAAAGAGCAGCCACTGCACAGTGGCTGATGGAGATAGGAGTGTGGGAGGTCAGGCCGTGGCTCTCAGGCTTCCACCTGGAAGAGGCACATCACCTCTCTGCCCACTCTTTATCAGTCAAAGCCAGGCCCATGGTCTCACCCCTCAAAGACAGGGAGGCCGCTGTCTCCCTTCACCTGGAAGCAGGGAAGCCAGACACACTTGGTTAGTAACACCTGTGACTACCATTATACCCTTTTGTTGAAAATGTTAGTGGTTTCTATTTTTTTCTCCCTATAAAGAGAGATGCAATGAACATCATCTTTTCTCTGTACCTCTTTGTTCCTGTCCTTTTATTTTTTAAAGATACAGTTAGAGACTTGGAAGGACTGTGTTAAAATGTTTGGCATCAAGGCTGTTGCTAGCATATGTGGTACCTGCCTAGTCCATCCTCACTGCTATAACAAAATCACTTAGACTGGGTAATTATAAATAATAGAAATGTATTTCTCACAGTTTGGGAGTCCGAGAAGTCCAGTTTCAAGGCACTGGCATATTCATTGTCTGATGCACCCTTGCTCTCTGCTCCATAGATGGTGCCTTGTTGCTGTTTCCTCAGTTGGGGGGAGATAGAAGGGCAAACGGGATGAACGTGACATCCTCACATGGCAGAAGAGATGGAAGAGGGAGCAGCTCTCTGACGGCTCTCTTCTAAGGGCATGAATCCCACTCAGGAGTGGGAGGCCCTCATGACTTAATCACCCACAGAGGCCTCAGCTTTTAATACCACCACCTTGAGGCTTAAGTTCTATCTACGAATGTTGGAAGGACACATACCATTAAGCTGCAGCAGTGCCTCTGTGTACAACTTGGAGAAAGGCAGGTGGGCAGCAGGTTGGTATGAATAAGGTGCTGCCCCTTTGCAGCCCAGGCCAAGGGCATGGGTGGTGGCTGGATTTCAGGCTCTGCTGGCCCTTGGCCTGAGAGGTGACACAGGACATCACCTTAGTTGTGGGCAGGACTTACCAAAAACCCAGGAAGCTTAGGTTCCCATGTAGAGTCAATCCATGCTTTCAGAAATTGCCAACATGTCCTGACTTTCGGAGCCCACAGGAGAACAAAAGCCTTGGGTTTTTCAAAGATCAGCAAAGGAAAGACCCAAAGGAGAGATACTTATTCTATAGAATTCATTCTAGTCCATAAATTATATTGAATTTCTGGATGGAGCACAACAAAACAGAAAAATGTCACTAAAAGGCACCTAATCTCCTGGTGTTTGATTTCTCGATTGCAGAAGGGCATCTCCTTCCTTAGAATGGAGTTATTTTTAATCAGTCCTGACCACAGGATGCTTCTCTAGACTTTCAGCAAGATCTCACTGATAAGCCATGAGTGATGGGGGGGGGCAAATGATCTAGGGTGGTGTAATACAAACAGGAGAAACTGGATGTGAATAACTGACTTAAATTGGATGAAAAGCATGGACAGCAATGGGAGCCACCCGGTTGAAATATTTGGACCTTTAAAACCTATCAAGCAGAGGACCCAGGGAAACGGTGCTCATAGACAGAAACTAGTTCACAGCCTCAGCATGATGGCGTGCCCAAGAGCTGCATCACTTCATTATTTTCTGCTTATTTGGGTTCTGAACATGTAATTCTGAAATTTTGTTGTAATTGTGAATTAAGTGAATTGAGGCAAGTTTTGGGGTTATTTGGTTTCTTTATTAGTTTGCCTTTCTTAATGTACCGTCACATGACAGACACCTTCTTGCGGTTCATATCCCCTCTCAAGTGCCCTTGCTGAGAACGCCCTTCCCATGGGACACGCAGGCATGAGTGCATATGAAAAACATAACACAGTTATAAATCTAATATACATAAATTAAATTCTGGCATTAATAATTTGTTTGCCAAAGGATTTACCCTAGGATTCTTTTAAGTAGTAAATGTCTCAGTGTATGTTTAACATGTGATTCTAATTTTTTTTTTTTTGAGACGGAGTCTCGCTCTGTCACCCAGGCTGGAGTGCACGATCTCAGCTCACTGCAAGCTCTGCCTCCCAGGTTCACGCCATTCTCCTGCCTCAGCCTCCTGAGTTGCTGGGACTACAGGTGCCCGCCACTGTGCCAGGCTTTTTTTTTTTTGTATTTTTAGTAGAGACGGGGTTTCACCGTGTTAGCCAGGATGGTCTCAATCTCCTGACCTCGTGATCTGCCCGCCTCAGCCTCCCAAAGTGCTGGGATTACAGGCATGAGCCACCGTGCCCAGCCATGTGATTCTAATTTTTAAAGTGATTTTTCTTAATATAGTGGGATTCGTTGTTAAGGGGAAGAAACTGACTAGTATTTTAGACAGCTTTTTCCTCCCTTTTCTGGTTTTGTGAAGAAGGAATCAAATATCTCCTTTGTTTAGTCCAGGAAGGACATGCTAGAATTGCATGTGTACCTGTGGGCCCTCTACCCAAGGTTTGATGTTACCACAGAGTGATTGGATGAAAAGCATTCCAGGGCACACTGCTTTTCATCTTCTGATATGGGCTGGAAAGAGGCCGGAGCCCTCAAAGCAGCATCCTCACCTGTGCCCAGAGCAGGCAATGCTTCACTCGTTCAGTGGTTTTTTTCCTGGAGGCCAGCAGAATCTCCTCATGCATCAGTGGCCCAAACTGGGGCATGTGCCTCCTCTGGTCGGTCACTGTTGGCTGAGGGAGGAGCATGGCGAATGGTGTAAGTCACCACCTGCTGTGCCGGCTGGGAACATGGTGGGGACCTTTCTCCCAGAACATCTGTCCTATGGGCAAAGAGAGAGAGCTGCCAATAAATGTCCTTGTGAGAGAGTGTTCCTCATCTCTGTAGAAGTTTTCTATTCATTATTGTTACTGAATGCGTACATTTATGTGTCACGACACAACTTTCAAAACAACCCCCGTGGGATTCCAATGCTATGCTTTGGGTAGGAAGATGGCCCGTGGTGGGAGAGGCCCCCCAGCCTGGCTCCATCCTGCCGCCACCACTTCATAGCCTAGCGCCCTGTTTCCGGAATGGACCCAACCATAGACCAGAGGATCTTTGCAAAGTGAACTCACACAGTTCCAGCCCCTCACGGGCTTTGGCAGAAGGCCAGTGGCAGAGAGGTCAGAAGCACTGGATGTTCAATGAACTCAGACACAAATTAGCTAAGTGACCTTGAGCTCGTTCCTTGCTGGGTAGATGTTTGTTCATCTGTAAGTCAGAATGATTGTACATCACCCCAGCCACCCTTGAGGGATGGCTGTGATGATCAGATGGGAGAACAGATGCGAATGGTCACTCACCTTTGGGACTGAGGAGTTGACAGTGGCTCTGGTTTCTGCAGCAGTGTCATTCTGCTGGGAGCCCTCTGATTCAGTGTCCACTTGGGCATGTTGCTTTCCTCTGCTAAAATCAGAGGTCTGTATGTAATTGCTGCTATGGCTACAGCAGCACAAACGTCCTGGCAGGGGGTGTTTGGAGGGGAGTTTCCACATTGCATAGATTTGTGCAATTGCAGATTTAGATACAGCACCCTAGAAGGCCCTGGAAGCAGCAGAAGGGCTGGGGAGTTCTGTGTGCCTCTGTTCAGAGACAGGGAACCAATGTTGAAGAAACCCAGTTGTCTCCTTTGCAGCAAGCCTGGGATTTGAGAGTCAGGGAACATGGCAGGGACAATGTGGGAGCTTCAGGACTCTGCCCTAGGAGTTCATTCCAGCCATGGCAAGGCAGGGTATTTACTCAGAGCTGTGGTATAATGAATAGATACTTGGCCCATATTGCATAGATTCATATCTATGCAAAAAAATAACTGCCCAGTAAACATGAATAGAACTTACGCATGATTTTTAGGCTGGGCCCAGTGGCTCACACCTGTAATCCCAGCACTTTGGGAGGCTTAGGCGGATATATCACTAGAGGTCAAGAGTTCAAGACCAGCCTGGCCAACATGGTGAAACCTCATCTCTACTAAAAGTACAAAAGTTAGCCGGGTGTGGTGGTGCATGCCTGTAGTCCCAGCTACTTGAGAGACTGAAGCAGGAGAATCACTTGAACCCAGGAGGCAGAGGTTGCAGTGAGCCAAGATTGCACTGCTGCACTCCAGCCTGGGCAACAAAGCGAGACTCTGTCTCAAAAAAAAAAAAAAGAACTTACGCAAGGTTTTTGAATTCCATTTTCTTAAATGTTAAGGCTCTTGTTTATGTCTTAGTATCCCTGAATTAGGACGTGTCACATGAACAGGGCTACAGCAGGCATAGCCCTCCATGGTCATCATCAGTGCTGTTGGTGGGATTCTCAGTTCTTCAGGGCACTCGGCTGGGCTGACTCCTAGGCCTCTTGCGGCAGGGCAGGCCTAGGGGATGATTCTGCCTGGTGAATTGTGAATGGGAGTGCTGTGTGTAATTTCCAGCTGGAGTAAGTTGTTGGCACATGATCCTTTAGAGCACCCTTGCATGGCCGATGCCAGTGGTTGGGTGGTCTGCTCCATCAGCCTGAAACCCAGAAAGAGGGTTTGTGGAGCACAGCCCTTGGCTGATTATAGTGCATAATTAGCATGCGTGAGAAATAAGCTGTTGTGGGTATGAGCTACTAGGGTTTCGGCTGGTCTATTTGTTACCCCATGGTGACCTAGTCTACATGGATTGATGCTCTCACCGTTTCTTTTTTTATTTTTTCTTGCCAATTTCTTATCAGGCTGATCATGTGTCTTAGAATTAAGGCATTACAGTAATTCCTCTGGTGGTTTTCCATAATTCCCAGTTAAGGAATCTTTTCAAGCATTCTCAGGTGAACGTAAGTAGAGCCTCCTGACTGTTGTCCAGGTGTCACTGCGGAGGCAGGAATTGGGCCTGGATATTCTAGGAGATTGATATTTACAGAAACATTTTGAAAACTAGAAAGCTTTGTGAAATGCTGAAACTGGAAGTTTCCCAAGTTATGTTTCATGATGTTAAAATATCTTCCATTACAAAATAAAGGTTCTTTGACTCAATAAGCTTGAATGTTATGTACTATTTTTTTCTTAAAGATGCACAATGTCCATTAGCATGTCAAAGGCTCTGAGAAGGCCTGCAACATAGAAATTGTTTATTTCAGTGGAATCCAGTATTCTTCAAACTTATTTGACCAAAGAATGTCCTCCTTTACCCCTGACCTCCCCCACACATTTATCAGACCCAGTGTTTATGGGGAGGGTAAGACACGAATGTGGCATTTGCTGAATCTTGGAGCAGTAGAATAGTTCTTCATGTCAGAAAGCTATATGGTGTGTCATGCAGTAAATCATCGTGACCTAAGACACTTTACATAATTACTTCCTTTTCTAGTCTTTTAACCAAAATTTATTGAGTTTCTACTGTACAGAAGCCTAACAATGCTGGATGGTAGTGAGTGGAACACTCTGTGCCTGATCCATGGACCCAGGTATCAGCATCTGCATCAGCAACGGCATTGGCATGGGGAGGGCATGCGTATACCTGCACGTGCTTGGCCTGGACCATTACCTGCTGAATGGAACTCTATTAACATGAGGCTGGAGGATCTCTATTGAGCACATGCTACCAGCAATTCCCGGGCTCCCCGGCGTTTGACAGCTGCCGCATCAGGTGTCTTGCTTCTACCTTCTCTGTGTTTTGGGTTGGGTTCCGAAAGTGGCCAGGGAAGGGCCTGGCCTTGAGAATCCATCCTGAGGGAGAATAGATGATGTGGCATGACCTCATACCTGTGTGTGTGTGTGGAGCTTAGTGCCCTTAGAAATGACAGCTAAACCCTTATATTTTAGAAGATGTTTATCACTTGCATGTTAAGATCAAGGGTCCTGAGGACCAAGGGGAGACTCAGCTTGGGGTGTGTGGCTTGGACTAGCAAAGCTCCTCACATGGTGGATGGATTGAAACTTCACACTTGGCAGTTATACCATGTACTCGGGGACATTCTGAAGGGTGACACTATTTGAGACTGCAGGGAGTGGGAGCAGGGGATAGGGACACTTTATGGTATAGTTGGAGTGTTCTGTCTCTTGAATGCATTTCATTGCAGCCATTAGTAGGTGGGTTCTTGAGGTCCAGAAATAGGCATTCCATGAGGCAGGTCTTCTGGAATTCGTTCAAGCACCAAAAAGGGAGATTTGGCTCTTTTTACTGGCCCATGAAATGGCTTCAGGGCGTGCATTTTCTTGGAAGCTGCTATTAACCATCACCTGAAATTTCTCCCAAGGCTCTTTCTTCTCTCCTCCAGCAAGGACAACTGTAAATGAGGCAGAGTAATTTAAATTCTGTCCTTTTCACATTCAAATTACCTCAGGGTGGCTAATGTGGCCACCCTTGGAAGGCGTAGCTGAAGGGCAGTTGATGCCGTAACTGCCTGATTCCTGCACGTCTGTGTGGTGAGCTGGGGGCCTGTGGAGGAGTGTGGAAGCCCTGGTTGGGCCTCCCTGAACAGGGTCAGCTGGGGCATTCTGGTTAGTATGGCAGTGGGTCCAGGACATGTTTGGGAGATGAGGCCCATGTGATGCACGGGTTGAGGCTCTGATACTGTCAGAAGCCGGGGTCCACTTGCAGAGCCCACTTGTTTGTTAATGCTCCCTCAACCCCTGCTGCTTCCACCAGTGCAGAAGGCCTTGCTCTGGTCACCACCTGCCCCATCCCTGGGAAGGCTGGGTGAAGCAAGGCAGCAGTGACCAGCATCCTCCCGCAGCCTCAGTCCTCTCTCAGGTCTCCTCAGGGGTGGGCTCCAGCGAGAGTGAAGCTGACCCCTCCCGCTGTGCAGAGTGAGCGAGTGAGTGAATGCTCACTGTTGCTCTGTGTACAGCTCTGAAAGGCTGATAGGAAAAAGCAGGTTGCCCTAGTCCAGGGAACATGGTGTTCTGGCCAGGCGGACTGCCCGCAGCAGGGCCTGGCCAGCTGGCGGCACTGGGCGGATGGCAGACCTCATTGTGCTCTGTATCCTCCCTACAGAGTGAGGATGGTGAGGCAGTTGTGAGGGCAAGAGGAAGGCACCTCTCTACTACCCTTTAACCAGCACCCGGAGCCCCGGGAGTGCGGTGGAGATCCTGCTCACTCCTGCGGCTTCTCACTGTCTCCTTTTCCAGCCACACATGCCAAATGCCCATAAACGCACACTCACATGCACATACGCACACACACCCCACAGATGTCATACACATACCCATGCACTTACATACACATCACGCTACACACATCTACAGACACTACACCATACATACATACAAAGCACACACTCACACATACCACACACACAGACACAGCCCACATCATACCCCCCCACACATGCAAGTATGGATACATATCACACACACCACACACACACGCACTTACACACATACCATGCACATACACACCATGCCACACACACACATCAAATCAACCAAAAGGTCTCAATAATTCATTTCCTAAACATCTCTCCCTCTGTCTACCTCTTTCCATTCCTGCTCTACTAGATGCAGCCATCACTGTCTCTCCCTAGCTAGAAGTATTATTATATTTTCCACCAAATGTGATTTAAATTGCCCTGGAAAGTGGGGACTGAGACAGAGGTTGAATCCGTGCACCTTCTCTGCATGCCTCACCTGTGTATAATGTTTGTTCTCACTGCAGCCCCTCCTGCTCCATAGGAGATCCTGGACCCTGCTTTGAGACTTTCAATGCAAGGCACACTCCTTCACAGGCACACAATACAGGCTGCAGTGGCTTGGCTTTGCACCTCATGGACTGGGGACTTTCTCATCAGAGAGTACCCTGTGTTGCCCTGCTGGGTGTCCTTTAGGGCTCAGAGCCTCCTGGGGATGGAGGCCTGAGCTGGCTGATACCACAGAGCTAGGAGAGACTGACTTTTGGACAGAATTCCAGAAGGGGCCAGCCTAGTCCTTGTAGTGCCTAGCCTCCAACAGTTAGTAGAGAACCATTACTAAAATGGCTCTTTGGAGCAGCAGACATAGAGGCCACTGGCATTAGTTGAGGTGGCTACCTTAGTCTGCTTGGACTGCCATACAAAATACCACAGACTGGGTGGCTTAAACAGCAGTCATTGATTTCCTCACAATTCTGGAGCCCGAAAATCCCAGATGAAGGTGCTGGCAGGGCTAGTTTCTGGTGAGGGCTCTCTCCTCAGCTTGCAGACAGCCGCCTTCTTGTTGTGCCCACACATGGCCTCTTTTCTACGCATGCATGAAGCTAGAACCAGTGATCTCTGGTGTCTCTTTTTCTTCTTATATGGACACAAACCCTATTGGTTTAGGGCCCCACCATTATGACCTCATTTATACTTAATTACCTCTTTAAATGCTCTATCTCCAAATGCAGTCATGTTGGTGGCTAGGACGTCAACATAGGAATTTTCAGGGACACAGTTCTGTTCATGACAGTGGTGAAATTTTCAGTGAGGCTCCACTGGTTCTTCAGGTAGGCCCTTGCCCACCTTAGCATCCCTGTTGTCCCACCTGCACCTTCTCTGTAAGTAGACCCAGCTCCGTAGAACTATGAGTGTGCCGGGCTGCTGTGTGGAGGGACCCCTCTGGCCTCCCGAAGCTGCCCTTCTCCAGCTGCCTGAAGAACTGCACCATCTGCACCACCTTGCAGGCTGAAGGTGGTTCCATAGAAGCCCTGGAGAAGATCTGGCTGTGAGTGCCTTGCACTTACCCCTTCACCTCTCCAAGTGTGTTTTCTTATCTCTGAAGTGGGGAAGACACACTCACCTGGTAACAAGATGTTACTGGGTCTAATTAGATACATTTTGTGGAAGTCTTTAACGGACTAAGAAATAGTTATACACAGGAAATGAATTGTTGTAGCTGTTATCACTGAATCACTGATGTGCATAAATAAAGTGCTTTTGTTTGTGTATTATTTAGGAATCTGTTCAGGTTTGAGTAACAGAAAACTGACCAATGAGTGTGGCTTGCTTTTCACTCACAAGGAAGAGTCTCAAGGTTACTGGCTTTGGTGTAAAGGGTTGACCCATCTAGGCTGACCTCTAATTCTCTGGACCACATGGCCACAAGGTGGCTGCTGAAGCACTAGCCATTGTGTCCTAGTTCAAGGGAAGAAAAGCTGGTCAGTACCAGCTGCTTCTGATACTATTTTATTAGGATTGCAAATACTTCCTGGAAATCTGCTGGGCAGGTTTATGCTTAAGTTTTTTTGGCTGGAACTGGGTTTCTGCTCAGGTTTTATTGCACTAGCACTAACTGCAATAGAGGCAGGGAAAGCAGGAAACAGTACTGTCACCATTGTCTTACAGTAGTCTATATCCATTGCCCAACGCTAGACGCAGTAACCCACCACTACCGCTCAAGCCAGATTCTGATGGGAAGGCAGAAGAAAGGGATTGGCATTGGGTAGACAGCAAAGGATGGTCATGTATCTCCCAGGATACACTTTACTTCCTAAGAGCTGGAATTCAGAATCGCCAGTGGTGAAAGGATACCAGATTCTATTACAGGAACGTTCCTCAGTGTTCCTTAAAAATAGTAGCACCAGGGATGCAAATCGAGAGCAGAGTTTCAGCTGGTTTGAAGTCAGTGTGTATCTCTCTAGTCAGAATGGAGGTGTTGGAAGCTGACCCTGCAGTCTACACTGTGCTTATGCCTGCTTCCTCTCCTGTCAGAGTCTGTCTCATGGTCCCCCAGGCACTTCTTGGTCCCTTGGCTTCTCAGTGATTTTGCTTTTCAGTCTCCACTTTGAGCAATTGCCCAGCAAGTTTAAAAAGGAAAGGCAGGAGCCACACACGATTAGACAATGTAAAAGGAAGCAAGCCCCAGCCTCGCCTAGCCTGTGTGGGGCCTGCGCAGCCTGAAGTTGGACTCCTTCGGTCCAGCTCTGTAGCTCCCTACTCCAGGCTTGTCTGCTAAATGAAGTCCACACTTTGGCTCTGCAGATGTGAGGCTCAGGGGAGGGAATATGCATCTTGTTTCATTCTTTTGTCCACTCTCACACTGATGTGAGTGCTGCTGTGGATGGAGCCTGGTGAGGCCTTGGATCATGCTGTCTGGAACAGTCAAGAATATGAAGCAGAACTGATGTCATGCTCTGGCATCCTTAAAAGGGAAGTGCATCAGGGTCTCTTACACTCAGACTTCTAAATATGTGAAACAAGGTCCTAGGTAAATGTGGAGAGTGACCCCGAGGCCAGGGCTGACCCAAAAGGAGGTGGTGTCAAGAACAACGGTACAACTCAAGCTCATGCTGGACCTCCGAGTCAGGCACCTTCTCCTCTTTCCAGAGCCTGTTTTCTGAGAAGCTTGTCGCGGCTCATGCTCTGAAAGTGCTCCTGTGAATGAGGTCTGTGCTGGGGAAATGCAGTGGGTATCACTTTTGAAGCTTAGTTGTGTTTCAAGAAGCCCAGCGCTCCATACAGGGGCTCCTGTAATGGAAAGGCAGTGCTGCTCAAGTAGGAAGATGGTTTTGCTGTTTTATTTCATTGCTTTGACAGTTCATCCTGGCACTTGCTGATGGAGTGTCAATTCTTGAGTTGTGTTTTAGTTGAAACCTTGTGAAGGAAAAACCTGGTGAGGATTTGTTTGTGTGTGTGTGTGTGTGTGTGTGTGTGTGTGTGTGTGTGTGTGTTTGGCATTTGTTAGCTCAATTATATAACAAAATATTATGTTTTGGGGTTTTCTCTCTTCTGGCCCCTCCTCTATGTAAAAGTGCTACGTGCTGTGAGTGTCGCTAACTTCAACTGACAGACGAAACTGGCACCTATCAGCAGCAGGGAAGCTTCCTCGAGGTTATTAAATACAAGAAACAGCATATTGGTAACAGCGGCTCTCTCAATTGGATGGTTTCCTCTAAATTCCTGGGAAAGGTTCAGGTCAACAGTCTGTGAGGCTTCAGTGTATTTGTGGGTTTTTTTGGGGGGTTGGGGGAGTGGAGGTGGTTGGTATATGATTTCCATTTTACTTCTTTAGGAATGAAAGCATCTTAATCAAATATAGCATACTAATTCCTGGAAGACCAGCTCCAGGGGGCTCTGCTGATGGTTTTAAACCATCTCAGGCAGACAAGTGTTACTGAGCATAGCCGTAGTGTTAGGCAGGGACCCTTAACCCACCAAATCCACGACAGGCACTTCCCAAACTCTCCCTCTATAATCCTGCCAAAACTGGAGCTGGGGATCTTAACTGCCAGCTCCCCAGGTAGGAGACTGGGAATTTTTCTGCCTTTCCTGTGGCATGTCTTGTGTGCAATTTGGGGGACAGTCAAAGAAAATAACATGTACGAGTTTAATAAAAGGAACTTAGAGTTAAGAATGTCATTGATCACGTTCATCAACTTTAATGACTTGTAACTCATGCACTCACCTGTGTGAGCCCTTTCACAGGTGTGAAACACATGCATGTCCCTGTGAGACTCTGTCTCTTGGGAGATGGCAGTGAAGAGCTTGGGGCTCAGCAATGGGGAGATCTAGTGTGAACCATAGCCAATGTGGGCAAGTTAGTTAGCTTCTCCGAGGCTCGATTTCACCTGCAAAATGGGAACGGTGTTATTGACTCTATTGAGCTTATAAGGGGATTCAATGAGGCCATGTTTATAAAAAGACTAGTACATTGCCAGGCACATAGGAACTGACAAATAAGGGAGAATTGAACAGATTGAATTGAAATAGCCCAGAGGCTTACAACATCTCCAGATGGGAGAGGGAAGAGTGGTAGAGTGGCACATGTGGCCAAGGCCACCCCACTTCTTGGAAAAGTGAATGAGTACACATCCCCAGGACGTCAGGTGATGGCTTAGGATGGGGACAGTGTCAGGGCACTATGTGTCTGCTGCCTTCATCCCCAGGGTTGCAGACCACATGTCCATAGTGGATGCCCCAGAGGCAGAGCACGGACGGCAGAATACCTTTCCTGTGAGATACTCAGTTCTCCTGCTTACCATTTATATTGGATTGTGAAATGCTCTGTGGTCACTTTTGTTGATAACATATTTTGATAAATTCTCTCTTTTTAGCTAGAGGGAACTGTTTTCTATACATAATCCTGGGACAAGAGACTTTGGCTGTGCTACTTGATGGAGGGACAGTGGCTGAAGGATGGGATGATCAGCCTTTGACCCCCAGGACCAGCAGTGGTCATTGGGGGTCCTTGTTGGCTTTGCAGCAACCCACTAGACCCTCCACGAGGGGTCTGCATGGAAGGATGGGGTTTAAGTAAAAATTGTAACAGGCCTTTTTAATGACAGAAGTCTTGAATGTCTGGTTCAATATATTAAACAGACTACATTCTGCTTTGACTCATTTTCCAGTGATTATAAGAGGCTGGCTTGGATGATCTCTTCTTAAATGTGTTGCCAATAACATTGGTAGCCCTACTGATTCATGAGGAATCTCTCATTAGTGCAAATGTACTTCTGAAAGGCACATAAATGACACTCCAGGGAAAAGTCCTGTCCAGAGATGCACCAATTATTGCAAGATGAGCCATGTGCTTTTTGCATTGAATGAGACCCAGAAAATGATATCAACTGAAGCAAAAATCTTACCCTAATGCTTAACAGTAGAAAATGATCTTAGTTCTCTGGACTGAATAAACTTCCAGAGGTTTCAGGATTGGAAGCTAACAAGAGTTTTGCATAAAACTCTTGAATTTTATTGCTAAGATTATGATAGATTAGTTGGAATGTAATTCCTAAACTTGTAGAAAATGTACAAATCTTTAAAATATATTTTGTTACAGTTCCATATAGAAACCCCCTTAAAATGTGTTTTAAATAATATGGCCTTGTGGATGTTTTGCAAAACCACAGTGCCTTAAAAACATTTATATTACTCTTGTCTCCTCCCTTGCTTGGTTGCTGAGAGTACATTTTAATTGGTTTGTGTTAATTGATTAAATGTAGATATTTGTAGTTCTTATTGTTGGGTTTTGGAGGAGGAAGATCTCCGGAGAACTCAGGCTGTCTCTTAGCTGTCTGCCTTGAAGCGGGAGTCAGGGACCTCAGGCAGCTCCCTGTGCAGAGAAGCACACCTTCTCCTCCTGCCCTGTAACTCTCTTCACATTCATCTGGATTGAAGTAAAGGCACTGAATGTGATGTCAGTGGGTCTTAGATTTTGCCAACTACAAATCTGTCAGTTCCAAATATGCCTCTCTCTAAAGACAGACACATTTTGATAAATCACAGGCCTCCCTTTAGTGGTGATGTGGTTATATTCTCTCTGGCCCTGTGCAGACAGGGAAGTTATCTTTTGGGGTGGATAGAAGAGAGGGTTCACGCGTCAGGCCCTTCCTGCATACAGGGCCCTGTGAGGTCGGCTGGCATCCCAGGCATTCAGTGGGCCCTGGGGAGGGTCAGGAGGAGCCCAGGCCTGTCCTTTGCCAAGGTGCATCTACAGGAGCCTGCCAGTGCAGGCCATTGCCAAATTGTCCAGCTCTCTAGGTTACCAGGTTGGTTACACCTGCCTTTTCTATTTCATTACAAATCAGGCTCACTACTCCTCCCTCAGCACTTGGCAGCCTCTGGGCTGATGGGCCTCTTTAGTGCTGTCTTCCAGCCTTCCAACAGATCCTAGACCCTACAGGGAAACTAACTCACCCGACCTGTTGCCTCTGCAGGGGCTGTGTGTATGTGGAGATCGGGCAAGAAAAGGCCAAGGATGGCTCCTGGCTGTTCTTTGTTCAAGATGCCTGGCCAGCCGAGGAGCTTCTGCACACAGCTGCTTTCTGATGCCTGTCTTCTTCCTTGCCTTTCAACACGGTGCCTGGGACAATTATGATGTTATTATGTGCTGTACCCATTATTTCTTTAGCAATTGCTTCTGCACATGTTGTGAACAGTTCTCCTAGAGCTTAACAGAAATAGCTCAGTGGCACTTAAACCAAAGTGGTCTATATAAACACAGGATTTAGCTTTGTGCCAGGTGGGTTGGTTTGAAACTTACCACTTGTCATGGGTGCATCAGCAGGTGATTTCCAGCCCAGGTGAGATGATGTTTATGGAACCCCCATGATGACAGCTCCTCTGGGGAAGGAGAGTTTCTTCGGTTCCATCTAGCATGGCTGGGATTGGCCATCCCTGCCCCACCCCTCCCCAGCACAAGAGAGGTGTCGGTTTCTGAAGTCTGCCATCATTCACTGCACCAGCCTTCAGACTTGTGAAGTCGAGGGGCAGTAGGAGAATGAGGCAGAAATTCTCAGACCCCTCACAGCACTACATCCTGAGGTCTCCATGGAGGAGAAAGGGGAGGAGGGGGCTTAGTCCCTCGGGAGGGGTTGGTCCAGAAAGGAGGAGGGACCCAGCCCTGAACTTCAGGGAGAGGTTCCTGGGTCCCTTTAAGGACATTCTAATTCAGGGAGTTGGGGGACCCGGGTGTTTCCAATGAACCATAAAAGTAGGCACTCCATCAGAGCTGTGGTTTTAAGGTTGCGTCCAAGAAGCTTTCCTGGACATACGTTGGTAGCAATGCCAGGGGGAGCTGCCTCTTCCTATTGTCCCACACATTTTCTCTTCAAGCTATTTTATATCTTGAAATTATGTTTGTGCAATTTCAGTTGAAGAAAGGGTCTGTTCCTTGAAGGTTTGGAAGCCATCCTGAAGAGTTAGGGGTGAATAGTAGGTAAAGGCTGAGGACTGTGTAATGATAAAATTGATTAACTTCAAGCAAGACCAAATATGTTTTGTTTCATCCCCCCTGTCATCCTCTGCTCCCCTGGAGTTAGGGAGGCATCTGATGTACCCACCAATAAGGGGATTAAGCTTGTCATCTGGTATCATCACCTTGATCTGAAACCATGGGGAAGGAAGCTTTGGGCTTTTTAGCAGATGTGCTCAGCTGGGATGAGAACTTATTGTGAATTCCATCTTGCATCCTGAAAGATGCACTTGTGGGTGGGGCCTCCACTGGCTTTTCACCTTGTCCCCTACCCCACCAGGGCTGTTTGTTTGCTCTGGAGGTCACTGCATTAAAGCGTTGCTCTCAGATGGTCACAGTGGAAGGCACTTATGTGACTCACTGCAGCGATGGAAACTTTCTGAGAACAGGGTGACACACCTCAGCCAGCCAGTCTTCCGAGTCATAATGAAAAGACTGTGACTTTAGCTGTGGGACTCAGCAGCACTTATGGAAAAGAAGTGGAGTCTCTGCTCCCTGTGGAGCTCCTGCTAGCTGAGGCCTTGAAAAGGGTGCTTCCCCCAGTGTTCTCAGCAAGACAAGGGCAGAGGCACCCCTGAGCCTTCCTGGACAGCTTGGTCACTGTGCACAGAGTGGTGTGTTGGTGGTGTATATGCTGGAGAATCAGAGCCATCAGTGTCTTGGGGACAATAAGAAGCAAGCTTAAAATATACAATCTTTAAGGAATGTTTTGTGAATAGGTAAGAAATGAAGGGAAAGATGATATTTTAGCAAATAACTTTTTTTTAAGGTTGTTGAAGTGATATAGATTGATACGGCAAGATGTTTTTATTCTAGTGCCCTGGGCAGCAGGCAATGTGTCCTGGAAATGTGAAAATGCTGTTCCTAGTCTGGAGTTTGCTGCTGAATGACCTGGTGACCTGGGCCACTCTGAGCTTCTGTCCCCTTCTCTGGGGCATGATTATTGGTTATGTGGATTTAGTGGTTTTCAACTGTGTTATTTTCATTTGTCTGGGAATGCTCTGCTCAAGTGAAGTCTTACCCACAAAAGTCGACAGACAGACCTGCCCCTTGATCCTTCTCTCCCTCAGCCAAAAGGTCACTTAGAGGCGCCTAGAGGCCTGGGAGAACCTCCTGACTGGGTGAATTCAGAGATTCCTCTCCTTCCACGTCACTGTGGAGCCTGACAAACCTCAGCAGTGTTTGCACCAACACTCAATTGGGGTTCAATTCAGGCCTGAAGAATTTGACCTGAAGTAGTCCTTGTAGTATTTTTATATCAAAGAGATGGTAATTGCCTTTCAAAGACTGAGTAAAAAAAGGAAGTGACTATGACTTTATTTAATTATTTTCTATAAAATAAGCCGGTCTATTAAAAAAGATGTGAGATGTTAAATGTACCTCAAAGCGTTCTTAATCCCACATCTCAAATGTGCTATTGCAGCACTGAATTTTAATAACATCAAATTGACTCCATAAGTAGTTACTTATAATCTGGATATCAGCATATAATGAAGTGTAATGTGAGAGTGAATATTATTATACTTTATGTGGTGGTTAATACTGAGTGTCAACTTGATTGGATTGAAGGATGCAAAGTGTTGATCGTTGGTGTGTCTGTGAGGGTGTTGCCAAAGGAGATTAACATTTGAGTCAGTGGGCTGGGAAAGGCAGACCTACCCTTAATCTGGGTGGGCACAATCTAATCAGCTGCCAGTGTGGCTAGAATATAAGCAGGCAGAAAAACGTGAAAAGGAGAGACTGGCCTAGCCTCCCAGCCTACATCTTTCTCCCATGCTGGATGCTTCCTGCCCTCGACCACTGGACTCCCAAGTTCTTCAGTTTTGGGACTCAGAATGGCTCTCCTTGCCCCACAGCCTGCAGACGGCCTATTGTGGGACCTTGTGATCATGTGAGCTAATATTTAATAAACTCCCCTTTACATATATATATATATATACACACACACACACACACACACACACACACACACACACACATATATACACACACATATATATTCCATTAGTTCTGTCCCTTTAGAGAACCCTAACTAATACACCTTATTTTTTTGTGATTTCATGTAAAACCCATAACAAAATGGGAGGTAACTGCACTCCTGGTACATGGAGCTTGCAGGATACTAAAGTAGTGTCACTTGAGTGTAATGTGTAGATGCGTACACCATGTGTGTCAATTATGCTGTGTGAATGATGGTTCTTTGGATCAGTCTATATAAAAATATATAAATAAAAAACATAATTTTACATTTATTTATCATGACAGTATTTTAATTTTATTTATTTATGTAAAAAATCAGTCACATATCATAGGTTTAGGATTTAAAGCCATCCTGATTTCTCTTGGCTGTTAGTGGTGGATTGAAAATAATTTAATAGTAAACCTCATATTTCTTGCATACACACATACACACAGCACAATGTAGAAATGTAGCAGAAATAAGCTACTTTAGCACCCACAAAGTAGATGATGTTTCTTTTCCTTTTTGTTTTGTTAATCGATACTTTAAAATGTTATTATTGCACCAAAAATGCAATTTTATGCATTTTGAGAAAATGCCTCTGTATCTGAGGTGATGTGCCCGCTGCTGGCCTAGATAGTGGCAGCTCAGAACCAGCCCAGAGTTTGCCCAGAGCCTCTGCAAACCAGAGCCTCTGCAAACCAGAAGGGCTGGGTTCTGGCAAATTGTTTTCTGAGGCAGTCAGAGCCCTGGCCACCTGCCATCAGGCTGGGAGAGTTGAGTTAGTGCAGTTCCTGGTGTTCCGCTAGACCCCAGGCCAGGCCATCTCCTGTGAGAGTAGTACACCTATCTCTGCCCTTGCACCTGGCCTCCCAGTTGCCTGGGGTTCGAGGCCGACTCAGCAATGCCCGCTGGCCCTGGCACACACCATCCTGCCTGTGTTGAGTGTGTTGAATGTGCTAGTGATTGTTCATTAGGAGGACTAGTTGCAGTGTGGAGTTTCTGGGAATATCTACTTTCCAGAATGATCTGTGGAAACCTGATTCTGCTTTTTTTTTTTTTTTTTTTTGAGGCTGCTGGATAATGCTCTACATTAAGCTGCGTGTGTATTTTCTGTAGGTTGTTGTTTCCTGCTTTGTTTGTTTGTTTCTGGCACAGCATGCAGAGACCCTGAGAGCATGCCTCTGAGACCCATGGAGGGATGCCCATGTGCACAGCAGGGGCTGCAGGAAATCCACAGCAAAGGGGGACCTGTTTGTAGACGCTGCCATGGCTGCTGTCAGCAAGAATCAGCAAAGCACACAGCCATCCACCTATGAGGGGTCTTAGAATAAATAAGAAAAAAACAAAAAAACGCTGGGGCTGCTTCTCCTCCACTGTGAACTAGGTGCAGTATCACCTTCCCTGCGTCTCCTTCTGCTCATTCTGGTGGTGAGAAGCTCTGTAACCCAGAGGGGCCTAAGAATGGGAGGCTGGATGAGACCCGGACCTGGCTCTGTGCAGCAGAGCATGGGAACTTGGGGCCTCCAGGAGTGACCAGGGGACACCCACCACAGTAACCAGCCACAGAGGCCATTGGGTAGGTCGGCTCTCCTGTCCCTCCTGGCTGCATCCTGATGGCCCCACAGCATCCTGGGGAGTCCCGACCTTCAGGAACACACAATGAGCTTGAAGCTCAGTGTCCTCGATTGGCTGCTGGCAGAGTGCATGGGGGTGGTGAGACCATGGGCCACCAGGACCCTGGGCATAGGTGCCTGGCCTCTCCTTGGCTGGACCAAGGTGCACATATCTGGCTGACCCTCAGGTACAAGAGTACAGGCCTCCCGGGCTTTTTGCCTGGGAGCAGAAACATGCTGCGCGTCTAGGTGAGGCCAGCCTGGGCTCATTTCCAGGCTCTAAAGCTCCTACTTGGTGAGCTGACGTTCATGGGAGGACTTCTGTGTTCATATTCCAGGGTGAGTTTTCAGTGCACACTGAGTACCTTGTGTTATTAATAATCATCTGGCCACAAATGGGATGTGTGCTCCTAATATCACTGCCAGATTTCTGCCTGAGTCACAACCTTATGCCAGCCTTCTCACTTTCTGCGGTTTCTGGTGTAATAAACAACCTTCTTGTTTTTGCGTCTGAAGTGTGGTTTCAGTGATTAGAGCATAATGTGTGGTTCCCCCCATTCACCTGAAGAAAAGTTTGGGTTGCATGTGAAGAGATCTTTAACTCAGTGGTGCTTCCCCCGTATCTTCAGCCTTCTGTCCCACCACAGCCTGTGAACCTTGACTGAAGGGAAGCCCCATGTCCTGGGTCAAGCAGCAGCCAGGCATTGAGAGCAACTAGGTGTGAGCCAGAAAGATCTGGATTCCAGCCTGTCTTAGTAAGCTCAGGCTGCCATAACAAAGTACTACAGAGTGAGTGGTATATGCAAGAGGCATTTATTTCTCACAGTCAGTTCTGGAAGCTGGGAAGTCCAAGGTCAAGGTGCTGGTAGATTCCATGTCTGATGAGGGCCCTCTTCTTGACCTGCAGGTGGATGCCTTCTCCCTGTGTCCTCACATGGCCTTTCTCCTAAGCATGCACGTGGAGAGAGAGGGGACAGAATCTCTTCTTATAAGAGCACTAATCCTATCATGGGGGCCCCACCCTCATGACCTCATCTAAACAATTATCTTCCAAAAGCCCCACCTCCACATGCAGGCACATTGGAGGTTATGTCTTCAACACAGGGATATGGGGTGGACAGAAACATTCAGCCCCCAACATAGCCCCAGATCCACCACTTAGGAACTGTGTAATGGAGAGACTTGCTTCCCTCTCTGAAAGTGTTTTCTCATCTGCAAACTGAGAATGAAACTGTGTTATTCTGGGGCTACCGTCTGGATTAAGGAGACGCAGCCATCTCCATGGCCTGCAGGCCCGCACAGCCCACTGTTCATGTCCAGGTGCCCTCCTCTCCCGTGTCTTTGCTGGATTCACCCCAGCCACTCCAGCCTTCTCTCTGTTCAAGGATCCACCCCAGACTCACTCCTGGCTTAGAACATGTACACTTGCTATTTGCTCTGCTCAGAAATCTCTGTCTCCAGATAATTGTGTGGCTGCCTCTTGGTTGTGGGGCCCTCTCCACCCTGGCCCCTCCTTGAAGGCCTGTGACCCCTCTTCCAGTAGGCTGTGTCTCAGAGTTCTTTTTGAAAGTGGTGATCTTGAGAGGTGAGATTGCAGCTCCCTGCAAAAAGAGGAGAGATCTGCTTTCTGCCCACTAGCAAAGCAATGGGTTCCCTAGGCACAGAGCTCCTCAGCCATGACAGGAGCCCCCCCCCAAGCTGAGCCTCCCCCTGGCTTCCTTCTGGCCTCTGGGGCCGTGGGGGCTGGGAACCAGAACAACGTAGCTGATGCCCTGCTGTTTGCTCTGTTATAAGGGTCAGCTGTCCTGCTGGGGTCCAGTGAGCCTCATTGTTTACTTTTGGCACTTAAGGTGTTGGAGCAAGTTGACTCCTGGTTATCCTCAGTGAGGTTTTGGTTCTTCCCTGGCAGGTTGGTGCAGCATGCAGGGGAAATTCACTGTCAGGCCCATGCACTCCACTTCCCTCCTTGATGCTGCCTGGTCATCTTCAGAATACTCGTCAGTGCCAGAGCTGCCTTGTTCATTTTATGTGCTTTTGCCTTTATGCCTCTGTCCATGAGCATGGGCATCTGCTCTGACTTGTCCATGGCCACACCTGGACACCTGGACAGCAAGCATGAGGGGGCATCGGGAGCACACCACAAACACTTGAGTGAAAGATTGAACTGTATGCAGGACAGCAGGCAGCTCACGGGCACAGCATTTATCTCAGTAACTTTGGCTTCAAATGGGGCCACCCTCTCTCAGAATTTTGGGGAAGATCACATTTGTTATGGACTAAATTGGGACCCCCACCCCCCCACAAAATGCCTGTGTTGATGTCCTAACGTTACCCAATACCTTAGCATGTGACTTTATTTGGAGATATGGTCTTTAAAGAGGTAATCATGTTTAAATGAGGCCCTGTGGGTGAGCTCTAATCCTATATGACTGATGTCTTTATAAGAAGATATCAGTCACTGGGGATGTCCACACACACAGCAATGCCCATGTGAAGACGCAGTGAAAAGGCGGGTGTCTCCCAACCAAGAAGAGAGGCCTCAGGAGAAATCAACCCTGCTGACACCCTGATCTTAAACTTCACACCTGCAGAACGGTGCGAAGTGAATGCCTGCTGTTTAAGCCCAGCTGTTTTTGGGCATTTTTTGTGGCAGCACTGGGACACTAATACAACGTTCCATAACTGATGTGCTGTGATACTTCCTCCCAGCACCGGAGAAGCAGCACACACAGGGACCACTCGTTGGGGCAGTGGCAATAGGAACACGTCTTTGCTTTTTGGAAGGGCACTTAAAATTCTGTAAGCATGCGTCCAGGCTTAGGATAGAGTTTGGGAGTGAAGGCGGGCGACTCCCTTTGGAGTACAAAGCATGCGATTTGCAGGTGTCACCTGAGGAATGGGGGCTGTTCCTTCAGGCAGCCTGCATGGTGGGGCCTGGGCCCTCAGTGAAGAAGGACAGGGCAAGGCCCTGGCCTCCTGGAGCTTGTCCTCTGGGGGAAAAGACAGGCTACAGGGAGAGGGTGCTGAGAGCAAAGCCAGAAACAGAGCAGCTGTGCTTAGACTCGGTATTAATGGAATAGGTACTCGTCGTTGAGAGGTGACCGCCAGTCTACATTCCCTTCACTGCCAATAAAAATTTGCTGCTTTATGGAACCTAAAGAAGGAAGGTCCCTATGAGTAGAGGGGTTTGTGTTCTGTTTTGTGACCAAGATACATAAAAAAAGATCACTCAGCCATCCTAAGCGAGAAAACACCTCCACCCGCCCAGCTTTTTGGGGAGGGTTGGCAGTTTAGAATCACGTCTCAGAGGCAGCGCGGGCTCCCATGCTCCTGAGTTCAAGGGGCATGACACCAGCGAGGTGCCATCATCCACTAGGGCAGCTCTGAATGAGGAGCTCCTGGAACATCTTAACTGATTTATTTTGCTTCCCCCCGCACCCCCATGCTTGTGCAAGTGCAAGAGTAATGTTTGAGGCCAGGTGCCGTGGCTCACGCCTGTAATCCCAGCACTTTGGGAGGCCAAGGCGGGTGAATCACCTGGGGTCAGGAGTTCGAAACCAGCCTGGCCAACATGGTGAAACCATGTCTCTACTAAAATATAAAAATCAGCCGGGTATGGTGGTGCATGCCTGTAATCCCAGCTACTCAGGAGGCTGAGGCAGGAAAATCACTTAAAACTGGGAGGCAGAGGTTGCAGTGAGCTGAGATTGCACCACTGTACTCCAGACTGGGCAACAGAGCAAGACTCTGTCTCAAAGAAAAGAGGAATGTTTGAAAGCTCTGTCTAAATATAAGTATGAAATAAAAACTGGAAGCAATAGAAGAGCATTGGGTCACCATTGACTTGGTGGCTACTTTTTTCCTTATGCTCTTTTACATTAATTGTGTAACAATCACGGTGATTAAATTTTGTTTCAATCTGGCTAGACCGTAATATCCAGAAATGTGGTCAAATACATCTGAATGTTGCTGTGAAGGTAATTTTTAGATGAGATTAATATTTGAATCAGAAGACTGAATAAAACTGATTGCCCTTCTTAATGTGGGTGAGCCTCATGCAATTATTTGAATGCCCAATGAAAAAAGACTGAGCTTCCCCAAAGAAGAAGGAAATCAGTCTTCAGACAGCCTTCAGACTCCAGCTGCAGTATCATTTCTTCCCTGGGGTTCCAACCTGCCCATCTGCCCTGCAGATTTTGGATGTGCTAATCCCCGCAATCATGTGAGCCAATTCCTTAAATCTCTCTAGAAAGATAGAAGACAGATAGATGATAGATAGATAGATAGATAGATAGATAGATAGATAGATAATGCATAGATACATACATAGATACACACACACACACACACACACACACACACGCACCCCTTACTGGTTCTGCTTCTCTGGAGAACCCCTAATGTTATAGAGACTCAAGTTCACTGCATATGGTGGTGATCCCTCCTGTGACTCTCTGCTTCTAGTGCATCTCTCCAAGCCTTAACTGAGCCTTCTATGAAACGAGGATGATGCAGGGTCCGCATGAACATTTCAGGAGATGAAGCAGTTAGAGTGTTTACCTAGGGGCCAGGCTCAGAGAAGCTTGAACACCATGCTTCCGGTAGGGCATGTGGTGTGTGTGACTACATTCCTGTGCTGTCTTTCTTTGCCCTACAGGGATACATATGGGCCTGTTCCTCACTTTACAAAGAGGAAACTGAGGCCCACAAAGGCCCAAGCATGCTTCCAGTCACCCAGCTGTGGAGTGGCAGCCTGCCTGTCTCAGGTGCTGTGCTCCTAGCACCAGTGTTCTTTAAAGAGAGAGCAAAATTTGCATTTCAGGAATGTGCAGGCCGGGGAGAGTGGCTGGGTGTGTAACTGTACTGTGCCTCATATTCCCATGCCCCACTCTCCATGGGGAGGTGTGCTTACTCCATGGCACCTGCCCTGGCACTCCAACCCACTGTTCTCACCTCCCAGAAAGATAGAAGAGATCAGCCAATCATACTGCTAGCTACACCTCTCCGATTTTCTCATCCCCCAACTCCAATTCTCTCTCAACTCAGACCTCTTTGGAGTTTCAGAAACCCACTCCTCCAGGTCAGCACTCCAATATTCACAATGGCTGAGACCCATGAAGAGGTCTGAACCAGGTTTTTAGGGGCTGCAGAATGAAAGTGCAGCCACTGATGGTGCTAGCGACTCTGTTCAACCTTCCCGAAGACAAGGGCCTAGTAGATGAAAGCCTCAATCATACCGTGATTCCCACTGACTGGGAGAGAGGCCAGCTGCAGAGAAATTTCCTGCATAAAAGTCTGTGCATTTCACCTGTGGGCCCCAAAGGAACTGAGTCTGTAACCCAGTAACCTTTTATCCTAGGATTCGAATGAGCAGGCAGATCTGAATTGTCTGGATTTCTTTAAGGCCCAAGTTACTTTCTTCAAAGGATAGTCTCATTTGTAATATTAAAAGCATAATGAGAATAACTAGATTTTATTATTTAAAAGATTTATAGCCGCAGTAATCTTATTTTCATTTTTATAGATCTCTATTCAAAATCAGACCAATGACTAAACTCTGGACAACAAAGGAAATGACCTGTTATTTTACTTAAGCTAAATACATTGACTTTTATTTTAAAATTAAATCTTGAGTAAATTAATTCATATATCTGGGTTGATTGTAAACCCCAGGAGAAACAATAACTGTATTTATTTGCAACTTAAGATTGGCTCTCTTCTTATGAATTGCTCACTGGAGGAGCCCAGGTGGGCCCAGTAGGGAAGGAGCATCCCCCAGACGGTGGGCTGGGGGGCGAGGTGGATGAAGCGATTCTCTGATTTCTGTCACTCAAATGTAAGTCCCATAAAGTTAGGATTTTTTTTTTTTTTTCACTATTCTATTCCCGGCCTTTAGAACAAGGCCAGCCAGCACTTGTAGGTGCTTCATTAATATTAGTTGAATGAATGAATCAATTAGACATTTACTAATTTGTGGCTTTCTCCCACCCTCCCTCCCCCATATTATACCTTTGATGCTTGGTACTTAACAAAAATAGGAAGTGACAAATTTATATTTGAATATTTGAATGTATCATTGAGATTGTCACATTGCTTTCTGCTTCATGTGATAGGAACATTAAATAATCTCTTTTGAGAAATAACCATCAATGTAAAGAGGAAAACTTTGACAGATATTAAGGCATACTGCATACTGCAAATCTATAGTGATTGAAAATGGTGGTCCTGATGTAAATACAGACAAATGGGCCAATAGCACAGAATAGGGAGCTTAGAGACAGATATTTGTGTGACTGAGGTTTAATACATGTTAAGGTAGAACCACATATCCACAGGGTAAGCTTCTATTAGGGAAAATTTTCCATATAGAGAAAAATGAACCTAGAGCCATACCAAACACTACATGAAGGTTAAAAATAGAGGTTTAAATGTGAAAGATAAAACTATAATGTTAATCAAAGAAGGCTTAGATGTAGAAGGGTTTTTAAAATTAAACTTCAAAGCACAAATTATAAGGCAAAAATAATTAATTTGATCACATCAAAATTAAGAATTTCTGATCAACATAGGCTTCCTTGGTAGCATCAATAGACAGATGACAGCTTGGGAGACCATCTCTGGAATACCAAGGCATGATGTACAAGGAACTCTTCAAATCAACAGCAACCAAGAAGAGCCTACATGGAAAAATGGCCAAAGTGTATAATCAGGCATTTTACAGAACAGGAAAGCCACAGGGCTAAAAAGCAAAAGAAACATGCTCCAAGTCATTTTTAATCAGAGAAGTGTGCAATGGAAGGCAATCAAATGGTCTTTTATGAATGACAGTACGATGGGACATCTCCTTCCATTAAGCCTTCCACTGGTGGCTCTAGCTACAAACCCAGGAGGACTTAAGAAAATGGCACCTTCGTACCCCTTCCAGTATTGTAATTTAAGGATGACGGAGAATGAGAAGGAAACATGTATTTTTGGTTTGTAGGAGGAGACATACAAAATAAGTAGAAGGAATGCCTTCTAAGAAGAAGATAACAATGGACCATAGAGGAGGGATGGGGGACTCAGTGAGGAGAGAGGACACAGGGAGACCAGGTTGGGGCAGGAAGTGCACCTCTGGCCCAGTGGGAAGCCATGGAGGCTGCAGGAAAAAGCCTTGTGTGATGCTCTTGGACACAGTGTGGGGTTCTCCTTCACCTGGGGTCAGATAACCCAGGAGGGCATCAGTTACTACCAGGCCAGAATCAGCCCAGAGGGTAGGAACTGAAGAGGCCAGAGACTCCTGATGCTGATGCAGGCAGGGGCAGGAAGAGCAAGTTCTGCCGCATTATCAGAAAGGACATTCCTGCTGCTTCCGGGGAAGGTGCATGGGGGGTTGGGAAGCTGGAGGCAGAAGCACAGCCGCACAGTCTCCTGAGTGCTGTGTGTGCAGTGGTGTCATGGGTCGAATCAGTTTGGGGCTCATTTCCTGTGCCCACACGCCATCTGTCAATTGGTGTGTGGTGTGAGGCACGTGGTGTCTCCCGTGGCCGGCGGTGAGGAGGATGAGCATCTGCATGGCAGTGTGGCAGGACTGCTTAGAATCCCCAGGCATGCCAGGCAGGGGGGCAGCCTGCCACTAGTCTGTATCCCTCCCACCCTGGGGTCTGCACAGAAGAGCTCCCTGAGGACAGCCCCTCAACCCAGCCCTTGTGTCCCACTGGGGCCAGTCACTGTTCCCTGAGGCATAGAGGTGAACACACAATGGAGGACTGTGCTCAGAAGCCAGTGGGGGATGGCAGAACACACATACACATAAAGAAGAATTTTATCTGGTGGTGGTCACTATTGTGCAGAGAATGAAACAGTCTGCTGTGAGAGAGAGAGACTGAGGACTGCCTCAGACTGAGGAGTCAGCAAGGGTCCCAGAGGAGAAGAAAGTCAAGGTGCAACCTGAATAAAGGTGGGGGCCAGACAGAGGGAATACAGGACAAAAGAAGCTCCAGCTTAGGACTGAGTGTGTCTCAGTGCAGGATGAACAAGCTGGCCCAAGTCAGGGAATATGGGGAGAGGGGAGGGCAAGGGATGCTATGGAGAGGGCGGCAGGACTGGAGCAGGTGGAGGTCCTGTGAGCCTGGCCATGGAGTATGGGTTTTGGCCCAAATGTGATGGGAAGTCATTGGGAGGTTTTAAACTGGAGGTGATGGCATCCGGTTTCTGTGTTAAAAAATGACCCTTCCTGCTGTGTGGAGAATCGAATGTAGTCAGGGGTGTCAGTCAGGAGACACATTCAGGCAGCCAGACAAGAGGTTTTATGAAGTAAATAAAGTGGCAGAGAGATGACAAGAGGTGGAGGGATTTGAGATGTGTTCTGGATCTGCCTGCTGATTGCACATAGTTGCTGAGGAGCGGACGAGAAATGCGGAGGGCTTTGATTTTTGGCTTAAGAAACTTGGTGGGTGCTGAGAAGAAGGAAGTGGGAGAGGGAGTGGTGGTAGGAAGTCAAGAGTCCTGGTTGGGCAGTACTTGGTTTGCAGTGAGTAGGCATGTGAAGTGGGGAGCTCGGTTAGGACTGAGTATCTTCTCTACATCATCCAGGTGCTATTTAGAGCCTTCATGGGAGTGCATTTGGGGAGGGCATAAATGGAGATGAGATGCAATCCAGGCTGAGCCCTGCATTCCATGACATTTGTCAACAGGGTCTGAGGAGCAGCCAGTGATGAAGGAGGAGGACCAGGAGAGGGTGGGGTGTCAAGACAGCCAAAGGAAGGCCATGTTTCAGAAGGAGGGAGGGGGCCAGCTGGATGGAATTCTCTTGAAGGCTAATTAATATAAAATACACTTCATGAATGATCCTAGAAACCCACATCAGCACAAAGGCCAGCCAGCACAAAGCTGAATAGAAAGCCTCTTAGATGCTGGGGTTGGTCCGGGACGTGTTGTACCTTACTCATCCATCATGTGTCTGTGTCGCATGCGTCCCTTTAGTTGAGCTTTCCCTATTCTACAACTAGAAGCAGAGATGTGGGCATTTCATTGACCCTCCTACTCAAAAGAGGGACACAGCAAGAGAACCAAAATAGAAGGTGGGATGATGGAATACAAAATTTGAAGAATCCCAGAGGAGTCATCAACCCACTTCTTATATTTAACAAAAAAATTTCCTAGGAACCAAGCAACTCCCTTAAGATGACTATTAGTAGGGCTGGGCGCGTTAGCTTATGCCTGTAATCCCAGCACTTTGGGAGGCTGAGGCGGGCAGATCATGAGGTCAAGAGATCAAGACCATCCTGGCCAACATGGTGAAACCCCGTCTCTACTAAAAATACAAAAATTAGCTGGGAATGGTGGCATGTACCTGTAGTCCCAGCTACTCGGGAGGCTGAGGCAGGAGAATCGCTTGAACCCAGGATGCGGAGGTTGCAGTGAGCCGAGATCGAGCCACTGCACTCCAGCCTGGCGACAGAACAAGACTCCGTCTCAAAAGAACAAAACAAAACAAACAAAAAAAGATGACCATTAGTTGTAGGTCAGGACTAAAACTCAAGACTTGCACCTCCCAGTCCACTATTTCTACCATGAATACTGTGGAAAAATGTCACTTCCATAGGTGTCTCCATTGTCAAGTTCTCATCCTAACCTGAAAAGGGGACCTCAGCCTGTGACTCTGTCTCTCAGGCAGTTCCATAAAGGGGGCAGCCTCTCCTGCATGCTCTGGGGCCCATCATGAGGCAGCATCTATAGCTCCCAGGGCTGTCATTCATGGATTGAGGGCCAGAGGCCCCAGAGGAGGTCTTCAGGGCACAAGAGATGGCTGCATTTTCTGAGTTGTTTCCATGATATTGGCTGGTGGGAGGCAGCTCATTAATGGGTGCAGAACCAGGTCACAGGCCAGGTTCACACCCAGAAATTCCACCCCAGGTTGGACTTGTGCCCTGCCCACACACTGCAGTCTTCAGGGAGCTGTTTTGTTTTCTCTGTCAAGGGCATCTATTTAATCTCTTTCTCTTTTTATCCTTCCTTCCTCTTCTTTTTTATTTATCCTGTCTCTTGATAAAGCAATTCTAGTTTTTGAATCAAAACACCTGGGTTCCAGACATGGCCTCTCCTTTTAGGGCCTCACTGTTCTCATAACATGAAGGTTTTTAGCTACATCAGGGCAGACGTTCTCAAAGTGTGGCCCCTAGGCCTGCAGCATCAGCATCAGCTGAGAACTTGTTAGAAGTGCATGTTGTTGGCTCTTGGGGCCTCCCCAGCCCCACTGAATCAGAGTCTCTGGGGGTGGCCCTGCCGCCTAGTTTTTACAGGCCCTGCAGGGATCCTGACGCCATGTAGGAGCCATGATGTCAGAGGGCTCTGGTTGCTGTTGTTCCTGACACATCTAGGAAGTGTGATGTACTCCCGTCAATGTGACTTTATAGGGCGGTGGTGGCTCCACATGGTAGAATCTGGAGATGGACTTGGCCTTGTGGAGTTTAAATTGTATCCTCTTCCCTCTCCCAGTTGTTGAGGATCCTGAGGCTTGCTAGGCATTAGTCAGCCAGTCTCCCCGCTCTGGCACCCTGTACCTCTAACTGCATAACAGTGGCAGTGATGGGCAGGTAGGGCCAGGCTGGTGGGTTAAAATGCAGCATTGGCTACTTTTGTATTTTTAGTAGAGATAGGGTTTCTCCATGTTGGTCAGGCTGGTCTTGAACTCCCAACCTCAGCAGGAGAATCGCTTGAACCTGGGAGGTGGAGGTTGCAGTGAGCAGAGATCGCGACATTGCACTCTAGCCTGGACGAGAGTGAAACTCGGTCTCAAAAAAAAAAAAAAAAAAGGGCAGCATTGGATTTCCACAGTTCTACCTCTGCCCCTCCCAGTAACTGCAATTTTTCTTGCAGAGACAGATATGTTTCTATTGAATGTGCCACCCTGCTGAGATCAGAATTAAGCCATGAGTGAAGATGCCCAGACTGTATGAGTGGCACGATGTTGAGCCTCAACAGCACTGAACTGGACAGGAAGCATTTCAGTTTTGGGAAACATAATTGTGGAGGAGTGAAATGTGTTGCCCTTTTCATGTCAGAACATTCATATGAAAATCATCTGGCTTCAATTTTTATTTCTAAAATTAACCTTTAGTATTAGAAACATTTACAGTGTTAAAATTTGGGGGATTACTTTCAGACATCTTGGATTACTTTCAGATGATTGCATTTCTTGGGGAACACCACAGTGGGAGAGGAACCAGAAATATTCCCATCTGATTGAACAGAGGCTGGATGTGACAGGCCCAGCAGTTTCTCCTGGTTTCTACCCTGCATGAGGAAGGTGTGGGCTTGGAGGAGATGCTCAGTCAGTGTTGCTTAGAGTGGCTGCTAGAAGACATTCTGTGTCTATTACATAGTACTTACAATGGTATATCTCCCCTCAGAGTATAAAAAAAATGAAATTTATTTCCAACTTCTTCAAGACTTTAGTGATGCCAGAGATCTAACTGGGTGTAAGATTATGGTAATGGCTGTAGGACAACAATCCAGAGAGACTGAAGATAGAATGGAATCTAGGGTTTGGGTCCTGGCATTTAGGAATCCTATGGCCTTGGAAAAGTCACTGCACCTCCTTGAGCCTCAGCCTGTTCATATGCAAAATGAACATTAAAAATAAAGCCTTACCATGAAGGATGGAGCAGTTAAGATTATATGAGTAAGCTCTTTCTAAACTACAAAGAGCTCTGAAGTATCTACTGTATGCTGTGGATAGCTTTGGGGTACCTTTCTCAATGTCTCTGTTCTAAGGGTACCTTTTCTCTCCTCCATTCACATTGCTGCAATGTTTATAAAAAGGGGCCTGGCCCTTCCACCTCCTGCAGCTGCCACCCAGTGATGGGTACCCTACCCACTCTGGGGCCAACACAATCCCCACCTGCAACTATGGATGATTGGCCAAGATGGGCTACTTGACGGTTAGGGCATTCTTTCATGGGAATGTGAAAATAGCTTCTCAGAAGAGTCCTGTATCCTTGAGTAGGTTAACCTGTATCATCGAAACTAGGTTGTTCTCTTTGCCCATCAATAGCCATTTTGGAGTGAAAACAAGAAAAGAGATGAGAAGGAGGAAAGGACCATCCATCTGAAGACATGGCAAACATGGCCATGGTTCCCGCCCAGTCATGAAGCCCAGATCTATTCTGATCCTTGGAGTGTCTGGCCTTCCCTTGTTTGCTTATGCTAACTTGTGGGTTCCTGTGGTTTGTAGCCCAAAGAGTCCTTTGGCATGATGACACCATATCAGGCACATTAGTGCAAAGTCTTACGCATATTTCTTAGTGTCTACAAGGCTGATTTAAGGCATTCATAAACAGAAGGGAAAAAAGATGTAAATATTGGAAAGACAAAAACAAAACTTATTCCTAGAATCAATATAATTTACCTAGAAATGCAAGAGAACCCATCTGTTAATCCAGTTACTCAAAAATTAATTATTGAGTGCCATGTGGGGTCTGGCACTGTGGAATGACTTAGAATTATGAGAGTGTACAGTAAAGTGGCCAACTACAAGATAATTGTATAGCAGTAAGCTTTCCATGTTAAATAAAGCATGTTACAAATTCTTTGATGTTAAACAAAGCTTGGACCATTACTGGAGGATTTCCTATGTTAGATATATTCCTAGGGTCTTATGCCAGTGTGAGCTCCCTCCCTGATTTCTCTAAAAGACTGAACTGTTGCCTAAAGAACTTCCTGTGTTCTATTCATTGAAAGGAGTTTGCACTGCTATGAATTCTATGATACATATGATATTGCCTGCCATTTCCAATGCCTCCTGTATTGTTTTTATTCAAAGGGTTTCTCACCATTATGAATTCTATCATGTACTTTGAGGCTTAAGTCAAAAGAACTTTCCACACTTATCACATTCAAAGTCTTTCTCAGTAGCCTAAGTACTTTGATGTTGAGAAAGTTGTTGATGTGCACTGAAGGCCTTCCCACACTAGTCATGTTCATAGGGTACCTCTCCACTATGAACTCTCTGATGTATTTTAAGGCTGCCACCTAGGCTTAGCATTCCTTGAGGTCACTGAATTTCCCTCCATCTTTAACTCTTTGATGGAGAGTAGGAGATGTATATTTTTATAAGTGAACATTTTTCGTAGCTGATTAGCTCCTATCTTGGTTCCAAATTTGGAAAATTTATAATTCGTATTAGAAAACCAAATGCTTTCTTGCTGTTTCATTTAAGAATTAAATTCCAAGGTAACCAATTAGCCCTACTTGGTGAGGCAACCAATAACTGTACAGTCTTCATGCTTCTTATAACCATCAAGTGCCCTTTTCCTTGCTCCAATAAGGCCATCACATCTGGTTCAGAAAAACAGTGTCTAGCATTGAGATCAAATTGCCAGTTCTCCATCATCACATCCTGGTACAACATTTCTGGAGCAGGTTCAAACAGCCTCGTCTGTGGCCACATCTCTGGCCATGTATGCCATGTTGTTTGATGAGAAAAAGCTGACTAGTCCCCTTTCAGTGTCTCCACTAAGAAAGCCCAAAACATACCTAGAGCTAAACATTGACTTTTATATGTAAAGCAACATTTTCCCCTCCTCCTTAGGGTCTTTGTTTTGTAGAACGACAGGCCTCACACACATTTCATAATGAGATGGAATGAAGGGGGGCGGTTACAGTCTGTCTGTGATATCACTGCGGGGTCCTGGGTCAGAACTCTGGGATGCTTCGACTCTGAGCCACATAGCTGCCTTCTCAGAGCTCCTGAGGGGGAGACCTGCTTACACCTCCCTTTCCCAGATCAAGGCAACTATACCTGCTTGCTGGAAGCCTCCATTCTAGGACTCACTACCTGGCTTCCTTCTTAGGGACACCTCTCTGCAGGCATCTCACGTAACAATGAAGTGAAAGGGTGGAGGGGCAGCAGGGCATGAGGGCCACAGAACCCAGTGACACATCCCACAGCACCACACGCCCACAAAGCCACACACCCCTCACCTGTCACCAAGCCTCACCCACAGCTTCCACATCCACACCCTGTCCAGGCACACACCCTGTCTCACACACAGACGTGCCACACACACAAAAGGAGGTTCCAGTAATGAGACACTCTGTCCACATTCCTGGCCTCTTTGCCTTAAGTGCATAGGCAAATTTGGCAATAAGACTTGTCGGAGGATAGAGAATTTGTTCTACTGGATAATAACATTTATTATAAATAATAATAGTAGCTAATATTTAGTGCTTATCATATGCCCAGCTGTATTAGTTTGTTTTCTGTTGCCTAGGATACATGAAAGTAGGTAGTTTATAAAGAAAGGAATTTATTTTTTACAGTTATGGAGGCTGAGAAGTCCAAGGTTGAAGAGCTGCATCTGGTGAGGCCCTTCTTGCTGGTGGGGACTCTGCAGAGTCCCCAGGTGGCGCACGGCATCATATGGCGAGAGGGCTGAGCGTGCTGGCTCAGGTCTCTCTTCCTCTTCTTATAAAGCTATGATTTCCCCTCCCATGATAACCCATTAATCCATGAATGGATTTGAATGGATTAATCCATTCCTGAGGGCTCTGCCTCTTAAAGACCCCACTTTTTAATACTGCCACATTGAGAATTAGGTTTCAACATGAGTTTTGGAGAGGACATTCAAACCATAGCACCATACCTGCTTTGTGTGTTTACGTGTACTATTTAATTCTCTGGCCAAGGAAGGTGCTGCTCTCCTCACTTTGTGGATGAGGAAACTGAGGCAAAGTATGTTTATCTCACTTGTCCAAAGCCACACAGCTAATCTATGGCTTAAATAGGGCAGGCTCTCACTGCTTTGCAAACAGACCCAAGTCACATGCCTGCTGCACTGGTTGGGGTACAGCAGGAATGTTACAGTCTGGAGTGGTTGCTTGGGGGCCAGAGTCAGAATCATGGAAGGCATCAAGTTTTGGGGGGCACTGCCATCTTCACCAGTAGCTTCCAAGTTGGTCAGGATAATAGGTGTTGCCCTTGTACTACAGTAATGAGAGAAGGTTGTGGAAGGTGTGGGGAGCTCCAGAGGCCAGGTCTGGAAATGGGACACACCTTTTTGCTGTTCCTCTTTCATTTAAAAAAGAAAGAAAAGCTAGTATAATCTTGGAGTGAGAGAAGCAGTTTCTAAACAGAAAAATATGAGACATGTTTCAAATAAAAATATCTACAGATTAGAATTTATTTTTAAAAATTCAAATGTACCGAAAGCTTACCCAAAATTCTGAAAGGACCAGCTGAGAAAATGTATCAATGCATACTTACAGGGTTTACATGCGTCAGTGTGTAGTTACAGGGTTTAGATGCATGAAAGTGTACTTGCATGGTCTGGTTCCATCAAAGTGTACTTGCATGGTCTAGATCCATCAAAGTGTACTTGCAGGATTTAGATCCATCAAAGTGTACTTAGGGTTTAGATGCATCAGTGTGTACTTGCAGGGTCTAGATGCATCAGTATGTACTTGCAGGATTTACATGCATCAGTGCCATACTTGCAGGGTATAGATCATGTGTTCGTGTTATCTGTATGCCCGCGTTTAAGAGATAAGCACAGGTGGGCAGTGCCGCTCCCTTCTGAACTGACCCTACTTTAACTCCAGCCTCCCCATTCTGCCTCCACACCTTCCCCTACTCTTTCTCAATAAAACACTCAGGAGAATCATCTACCTTCACTGTGCCATTCCTCACCTTCTATTCATTCTTTTTGAAAAAGTAATAAATTTTAATTGTGAAACATTTCAAGCACTCAGACAATACAAAGCCCGCTGCTTTTGGAATGCCCTCCTTCTCTTTGGGTTTAACTTCCTTCTTCCTGAAGCAAATGCTTTAGGATGCTGGTTCTCAAAATTTTTGATGTCAGGTTCCCTTACATTCTTAAAAATTATCGTGGTGCCTAAAGAGCTTTTCTTTGTGGGGTATGTCTGTTAATATTTACTGCATGGGAAATTAATACTGAGAATTTATAAAATACCTATCAATTTTAAAATTACAATTATAAACCTGTTACATGTAAACATAGATAAGCTTTTATGAAAAATTTTTCAAAAACAAAAAATATCACGAAAAGGATGGCATTGTTTTGTTTTAGTAAATTTCGACTGGCTTAATAGAAGACAGCTGGATTTTCATATCTGCTCCACAATCCATGTATTGGGGTGTGTTGTTTTAGTTGTAGTGTGAGAAGCAAGTCTAACCTCATACTGCTATGTAGTTGGAAAGGGGAGGAGTATTTCAGTTGACTTTTCAGGTAATTGTGGATATCTTTGACACTACATCTGAATTCAACAACAAGTAGTTTCTTAAAATTAGTTGCCACATGGAATCTGAAGCCACATTGGTAAACTTTTCATACTCCATTATATTACAGTTCTTTGCCCTGTCTTGCACTTATCTACATATGATCTGTAACATGATACACTGATCGCTTGGAAAATAGTGGTCCATTGAGTTAGGTGGCTCTTCTAAGCATTGTCACATTTCATTACACACTCTCAGAAAATCACATTCATTAATATCACCACTAGTCTCATCAGAAAAGTCTCTGAGTATTGGGAGCAGTCAGATTCACAGTAGTAGATACAAGAAGTTTCATGGGGAAGCTCAGATTTTATCATCGATAATAAAATACTATTGGGATTCTCTTTAAAGTGACAGGCTCACTACATTCATTTTCAAGAGGATGCTTGCCAGACACCAGTGTCTGAAAAATGATCGTTTTCAGTTATTCTTTCAAACCCTGCAAGTATGCTTTGATGAATAGAAGGTGAGGAAAATGATGTTCCATGGAAATACAGCTAGTTCAGGGTGCAACTCAGGCAGTCATACAGGTGCTCTGCCTCAGGACCTCCATCGCTCTTTGGCATACAGCAGAGATACTTAGAATATCAGGAACACTTACACACAAGGGTTGCTAGTTAATACAATTAATACTTTTCACTGCTTCATCAAAGATATTCTTAAACTGTTTTCGGTTTCTGTTTGGGTTTTGTTCTTTGGCTTTTGTAAGTTTGAGTGTTTGATGGTGAAGAATATGAAGACTACTGGCACAGTGGTTGCTATTGCCTTAATTTGTGCGGCTTCTTCCATTGCTTCGATACCATGAATGTCAACACAGCGAAAAGCAAATCTCTCCTTAGAATGATCATTGAATGATCATGAAAATAGTCTTGACCTTTTGGAACCTCTGCTTTGGGATTCCTGCATGACATTAAAAGGTAAGCCCCTAGACGGGGGAGAGATTGTCCCCTCCACACTCCTTCAGCAGCAAGTATTGGTGTTAAGCTCTGATTTTCCATTTCTTCTGGTTTCTAACAGCTGAGAAATTCTTTCCTTTGTTGCCAGTCTTCTTTAAGCATTCTTTTCCCTTGATCTCCAGAATGCCACTGCTTTTTGGTTTCTTCCCGGCTCAGTGGCTGTTCCCTTCCCTTCTCCTTGCTGGTTTGTGGTATTTCCTTTTCTATCTGACCTTTAAATGCAGGACTTCACAAAGGCCCAGCCCTGAGTTGTGTTCTTTTAACTCAGCTCTTGTTGGGTGGTCTCAAGTTCCACGGCTTTAAATACCAGTTTTGTGCAGGTTCCCCAAGCTACACCTCCAGCTCAGAACTTTCTGCTGAACTCCAGTTCAGTTTACTAGTTGCCCAGTTGATGTCTCCATGGTTTCCACAGGGACCTCTGATCCTGCTGTCAGCCAAGCTCTTGCTCCAGGCCTCCTCTTTTTAGAAGTGGCATCTTTAATACTGAGATAATCAGAAAATTTGAAGTCATGTTTGACACCTTACTCTCTCTCTGTACCCCCAAGCCAATCAGTCATGAAGTCACGAGAAGTTATTCACCAAATTACTTTCTTTCCATCATCATTACTGATCTGCTGCTTCCTCTCCTGGGTCCCAGCGCCTCTGGCCAGTACTGCTGCCGCCACCCTTCACCAGGCCTGCAGGGTCACCCACATCATCTCCCGTGCCCCTGGGTGTGGCTGTCCCTGCTCACTACCCCTCAGGGCCTCCCACTGTGGTTCCTGTGAATCCTAGCATCTGCCTGTGGCTACAGGCTCCTGCCTAGTTTGGCTTGTCCTTGGCTTTCTGACCTCAGTTTGTGTCTCAGATCCAAGCACACTGACCTTTGCCGTATTCAGGGAACATACCTAGTCTTTTGCCACCTCTGGGCTTTCCAGGACTGGTTATGCTCTTCTGTGATATTCCTTTGGGTCCAGTTTAGAGACCGGGATTTGCTCCTCCCAGCTGCTCCTGCACACCCTCTGTTGATGGCTGTCTCACATTACTCTTGGCACCTCCCTCAGTACCACAGGCCCTTTGCATTATCAGCTACCCTGCCAGGTTCCCCTGCAGTGTGAGCCCATGCCAGCAGTGCCTGCCTGTTCACAGCAGCATAGAGGGGTTGTGTCACTGTGCGTCACGTCTGAGGACACCCCTACAGAGCACCTACCAGTCTGTTAGAAAAACCCATTCCCTTACGTGACTGAAGTACTGGGATAAACAGTTCATAAAAGAAAAATAAAAGTGAGCAACAAGCTTTATAACTGTGTTCAATTCTCACTAGCAATTGATTTCAGGAAAACCACTTGGCAGTATCACCAAGATCCTGAAATCTAATACTCAGTCTCCCACGATTCCACGTTTAAGAATCTTTCTGATGGAAATGGCTGAAGATAGGATACAGATGTATATGTGAGGGTATTTATCTGATAGTAGATAAAGTCAGCCATTTTCATTGGAAGCAGTGAAAGTGTCCCTGAATAGGATGATGGTGAAATCAGTCAATGATGGGTGAGATTAGTGGCTTTGTGTGGCTCGAGCAGAGATGGCATCCCTGAGGCTGCAATCACTATGTCATGTCCAGCCATAGGGGGCACTGGATGCCAGGTGAACAGTCAGAAGAAGTGTGACTGACGGAATTTAAGGAGAGGTGCTATCTGAGCCTGGGGTGTGCATTACCTTTGAAGATGTATACATTGGTGCAGTCAGGTTTCAAAATATGTTTGCATGAATGAGATTGCAAAACTTAATGGTTAATACAACCTTGGATTCAGACAGGGTGCAGTGGGATGGCTCCTGTGTGGTCCATGATGTCTGGGACCCCAGCTGAGAAGCCTTGAAGACTGGGGCTGGGCTCATGCAGAGGCTTATTCTGGAGCTGGGTCTGGATGACTCAAAGATGGGGACTGCTAACTGGAGTGCTCACATGTGGCCTCTACACGTGGCTTGGCCTCCTCACAGCATGCTGACCTTGGGGTCATTCTTAAATGGAGCTTCAGGACTCCAAGTGTACATGTTCTAGTGAACGAGGCTGCATCACCCATCCTTAGCAGTCACACTGCATCCTGTCTGCTGTATTCTATTGATCCTAGCAGTCCTGAGCCCACTGAGAAGCAAGGGCATAGGTCACAGAACCCCTCCTCTCACTGGAAGGGCTGAAAAGGTCACATTGTGGAAGAGACACATTGCTGGGACCATCTTTAGAAAACACAGCTTGCCACAAGGGCCATTATTTAACTGACTAAACAAGAGGCCGATGTATAAACCCACTTTCTAAATTTGCCATACAAAATATAACTGCTCAGTACATCAAGAATATTTGTACCTACAGTCACTGTATTCCTTCCCCTGTGGAAAGTTGACAGAAGCTGTTGACTTTTTAGAACATGAACATGCAAGACATTGAATGGCAGTGGCTAGCGTCTCCAGCCATCAGATCCAATGACAGCCCTCTTTTCTATAGAGATGTACTTGGCAAGCAAAGTTGATGGAATACTCAGAGGCTCCCTTTGCCCTTTCTCCAATACAGAAGGCAATTTGAGAAGCTCTTTCTTGCTTCTTGATCTTATTAAAGAAGATCTCTTTCAATAACTCACTTTAGCTCATCTTTTCTCCCCATATGCTGTACTTCGGTGGTTTTCTGTGAGAAATCCCTCGTTAGTGTCTTTCCCAGGTGGTGGTGTCTTCAAGAACCACTGAGTGCTGGGGCTGCGGAGCCCACAGATCTGGAGTCAGGTAGCCACCTTCCCACAGCTCCCGCCGGCTCCTGCCAGCGCTTCTAAGTATTGAGTAGAGGGCCTGCCTACCTGCCAGGGAGGCTTGATTTAGGTTTTTTATACTTTTTTTATTTTAAATCAGAAATTTAATCTATAGTAAAGTTGATTTTCTCCTCTTAATTTCCAAAAGACAGCCATTTCTTAACTTTGTAGAAGAAGCCCCATTTTAAAAATGCATATATACATGTAAATAAAATACGAGCTAGTTTGAACGTTAAATGTTTATTGTGTGTGTTACTGGAAGTGAAGAAAACAGTGGGAAATCTCTTGATGTGAGTGAAATTGATGCATGGCTGCTTTATTTTTAAGTGATTCTGTAAACCAGAGGGGCAGATACTACAGAAAGAGTCATTTCCTGACAGCTGTCGCGGCTGGCCTGTCTGCTTCTGCCATCCTTGTTGGTTAATCACCCCAGGCACTCTCTTCTTGGTTTGAGGATGACATGCTCCCTCCTTGGAGGGAGCAGATCCCAGCACTTTGTCCTGGACTGGGTTGTGAAGGCTTCTGGGGTGCACTGAGAAGACTCCAAAAGCCCTTACCAGAAGCAGTCAGAGTGTGTGATTGCAAATCACAGGTTGAGGTCGGCAAGAACCTTGGAGAGAATGAGTTCCAAACCCCCATCTTACCGACAACAGATCCAGGAGGACCAAGGCCTTCCTTGGTGCATGGTACCCTCTGCACCCACCTCCTCCATTTCTCTCTCATCCACCCCTAGGGCTCCAAAGTGGCCCGGAAAGAAGACTCTGGTGTCCAGATCCTAACAGTGACAACCTAGGCCGATGTTCAGGAAGTTGCACTAGGAGCCAGAAGCTGTGTTGTACAAGGAAAACAGTACATTGAGATCCTTTCCCAGGCTCTGAGATCCAGACTTTTTTCAACACACAAAGGCCACGGAAAGGAGATTTCTTCTTCTACCTGCTTCTTTACCGTCAATTACCTTGTACACAGGAATGGTGCATTGTTTTTTATTGTAAAGCAAATGCTGTTTATATGAAATAATTTGCTCCATTACACCAAGATAGTTCTAATGTAACAGGTTGGCAGTGTGAGAAACAGAGGTGTCTCCTGTAGCCTCTAAAAATGTGGATAAAAAGCACATGTTGCCTGGATGCCTTCCAGTGAAAGTTTATATCAGTGAAGCGTACTTTTCAGATTGCATTAGTGCCAGCGTGACGATTCCTGAGGAGAGCTGTTTTTCAGAGTTCTGAGCCCAGTTTTTGTTTTGGGTGATAGTGCCATAAAGGAAATGGAACCCAGGGACTCCAGGAGGTGCCCTTGGCCTTTTGGTTAAATAGGGCACCTGGGTGAGGAATGGACAGTCTTAACTCTGGAGGGGAATTCTGGAAGAGTGTTACAGAGGGAAGACAATCTTCTAAAATGTGACCCAAGCTCTGCTGTGGAAATGGAGTATTTAGATATATTAAAAATTCCTAAAATAATGTTTCACATTCATCAAGTAGAATTTATTCATTCAAGATGTAGCTGTTTCCCCAAGCTTCCATTTCTGTTTAGTTTTTCTTCCACAGTGCTGAAATACTGCATTTTTACCCCAAGAATTCATGTCTGCATTGATCTGCATTCCACTAATCATGTTTAAATCATTAAACGGAATAGTGAAGACATTATACTTGATGATGGGGCTGGGAGCGGGGAAAGGAAGAGCAGAGAAATAAATGAATCCCCCACTCGGTGTGTGTGTGTGTATGTGCGTGTCTGTGTGTGTGTGTGTGAGAGAGAGAGACACACACATCTTGTTTACTTTTTCAACGAATTAATTTCACTTTTTCCTAATGTCCCTTGGCTAAGGAGAGGCTTTTCTGCCCAGGCAGGCACTCCACGAATCCACACACTCAAACACTCTGTAGCCTGCAGACCAGCACCTGCAGCATTGGAGTGGGCATCCTAAACACTAGGGCTGCCTCCCGAGGGACAGAGCCCCACTCCGTGCCACTGTGTGCATTGTATGTAGTTCAGGGCATTGGTCAACTAGAGCATGTGCTATTTCGTTAGGTAAATGGAAATTTTTTTCCATCTCTCTTTCCTTTGGATATACAATTTGCAGTGAGTGAGTTTGCTATTCCTGGTCCTTCCCATCACTTTGAGGGATCCAGATGGAATCCCCCAGCTGCACCCCATGGTATATTTCTCTTCACCTGTTGTCTCTCTCCATGGTTTTACCTGTGAAGATTATTGCTACAAAGTGACCAGTCAGAGCCATCCCTGCTGACCCCCGGAATTCCTGCAGAACAGCCTTGTAGACAAGGTATGGGCTATTGAGTTCCTTGGGTATGGTACTTGTACCCCTCTCTCTATGCGTATTCTTGGGCTCTTGTCCTTAGAATTACTCTCTGCACATTCGGCCATTCCCATGGTGCTGATGACTGGGCAGATCAATCCCCCAGCCCAGGCCTCTTCTGGAGACTGATGATACCCCTAGATCCTGCTGTCCTACCCATGGCCGGCCACCAGAACCGTGTCTAAGAGCCGCTCCATTTCCTCCCATCAGCCCATCATTTCCACCTGTGTCACCCGCTGTGCTCATCCTCTCCCTCACTGCCCTCTGCCACTGCCTTGGGTGCTTGCAAATGCAGCCGCTTGTGTTCTTTGCTCTCAATTCTGCAGCTGCCCCCTTGCCAGGCTCTGCCTTCAGCCTCTTTGCACACAGCTTTCAGAGTTTGTGGGCTGCCCCCAGAACTCCCTCACTCAGCCCCCTTTAGGCAGAACCCACGCACCCACCTACTCCAGGGGCTGCCATGAGATCTCTTCCATGTGCATCCAACATGGAAGCCCCTGCCTGGCTGCCTGGGGGCCTGGGCTGAGGGTGGGGGATGGGGGGCCTGCAGTAGCACCCCAGCCTCTACACTGCACTCCACACACACTGCCTGCTCTGTGCTGGTGCCCGCAGCCCAGCTGCCTTCATAGGGTGAAGAAGGAGGACCTCCCTCCATTTTCTGTCCATCCTGAGTGCCAGCGCTGACCCAAGATCCTGGCAACCCCACAGTTCATCCAGGGTCCACATGAAGGTCCTAATGCCCACTGGGTAAGGATTGCATTTAATTATGGTTCAGCGTTGACCATTTGGATAACCTTGAACCAGGAAGTACAAGTCATTGGGGTACTATAGACTGAATATTTATGTCCCTCTCAACCTAACCCCCAAGGTGATGGGATTGGGAAGTGAGCCCTTAGGGAGGTGATAAGGTCATGTGGAATGAGATTAGCGCCCTTGTAAGAGAGGCCTGAGAGAGACCCCTTGCCAAAAGGCTGTCATGTGAGGATGCAGGGAGAAGTCACCGTGTATGAACCAGGAGCAGGGCCCTGTTCAGACTTACTCTGCCAGCACCTGATCTGGGACTCCCCAGCCTCCAGAACCATGAGAAATGAATGCCTGTTTATGAGCGACCCAGTTTATGGTATCACATTACAGCTGTCCAAATGCACTGAGCTAGGGGGCAGGTGGCCTTGTAACAAAATGCTCCATTTTTTTTTTTTAGAGTTAGATTACTTTTTAGCATTTTTTAATTATTATTATACTTTAAGTTTTAGGGTACAGGTGCACAATGTGCAGGTTAGTTACATATGTATACATGTGCCATGCTGGGGATTAATGTTAGGAACCTATTAGATAGCAAGCCTCCCTAGTATGCGTTTAAAGCCCAATTTCACTTACTAGCAAATGCCCACTTTCAGGGACAAACTAACATGAACAGTTCAGCTCACACCCCTGAGGAGTAAGGACCCCCGGTTCCTTCAGACCCTGGCAGTCACAGTACACTGCAAAGCTGTTGACACACAGGCATGCATTGTTTTCCTCAGTATTCCTAAGTCTTGGGGTCTTTGCCTTTAATTGGGTTGTAGCTTTAGTAGAGGAAGGCAGGTCTCCACTGAATTGGGATGCCCCTGTCCCCACATACCTGAGGCTGAATGCAAGGAAAGGTGAACCTTATTAGGACAGGGCAGCTGCCACTTCTTACCAAGGAAGGAGAGAGTCGGGAGGGGCCATGTGCTGTCAGATCTCCAGTCACACCACAGGCTGCAGGCTGCCCCTGTGCCTTGCTCCCACTCTCCCCACAGATTCTGGCAGCCACCATCCAGGAAATACACTGAGCAAGAAGACCCAACCAGAAAGTCACACCAAGGGCTTGGCCCTTTGGAGCATTCCCGCAAAGCCCGAGTGGTTAGGAAGTACATGTGTCGCTATCTGGAAGTCCCACACTGGAAGTATTATGTGGAATAAGCTTAAGACACAGCCAGGCCATTTGCCAGGCCCTACTGGGAGCGGTACCAGGCGGTAAGGGGACCTGGCCTGGGGCAGCTGTCAGGGGCAGCCCGAAGCATAGGCCCAGAATGCACCTCCCCTCTCCCTGCACAATGATGGGGCGCCTCTGCAGTGTGTGGACAGGTGCAGGTGGCTGCGTGGCAGTGGCACTCTGTCCTTGTACTCTTCCCTGTGTGTCTTTCCCTGGAAATGTTCATCAGTTCTGTGTCTGTGTGTGTATGTGTATGTGCGTTTTAACCTCAGATATTAATTTGGTGACTTCTGGACTGAAATTAAGCTTTGAATGCACTGCTGCTGGAAATCAAACATGAATTTGAGAAATCAAGGCTCTCCCCTGGATGTGGCTTGGCTTTTCCAGCCCCAGGTTCAGCTGATTCAGAACCTGTCCTGAGGGATACACTCACATTCTTCCCTTTCTCGCCTCCTGCCCCTGCTGCCATGCCCATGTCTACACTCATTCCTTCAGGCGTCTAGGAGCAAATCTTTTCCCCTTAAACTACAAGCCCATTTAGTAGAACGGGGTTAGGAGAGTAGTATCCTCTGTGGGGAAAACAGATCACGTTTTGTTACTTAAAAAATTCAGCTTCAAAGAGTATTTTCCTCCTAGATATCTGCACAGTTGATCTTCAAGCTTTTGCACAAATGTCATCTCAATGAGTCTCTTCAATTTTACAACCCACTCTTCAGACACCCTGTCCTGCCCAGCAAGCCAGGTCTTCTGTTGTAGTCACAGCACTTACAGACTCATAACCTATTGTTTAATTTATTTATTTTTTTCTCTGTTCTTATTGGAGTATAAACTCCACAAAGGCAGAGGTTTTCATCCACTGATGTGTGCTGAGCACCTAAAATAATCCTCATTACATAATTATTTGTTGAATGAATGAATATGTGGCTTTTGTTATTTTTAAATGAATCTACAGTGTTGGTCTTAAAACTGCCTTGGGTCCATATATTTTGGCATTTTATTTTCTTGAGCAGCTGAGTCTTTCAGAAAGTGAATAAAGATGATTAGCGTAGTCAAAGTGAAACTCCATAAAACTTTGGAATGGGTAAGTGTTGAAGAGGGGAGGGGTGTGTGTGTGTGTGTGTGTGTGTGTGTAAATGCATGGACATGTGAGCGTACACACGTGCATGCATAGGTCAGAGGAGAGGATAATGTGTTTGGATGTGATGTTGTGTCTCTTTTTACAGCAGTATCACTTTTTTTTTTTTTTAACTATCTTTTCAATCAAAACTGTTCCACCGAGAAGGCATTGGGTCGTCCTTGCCTGATGAGATGGCCTGACCCCCACGAGAAGGCCAGGACAACGTCACAATCCGCTTGGGTGGTCTGTGGATCCCCCTGGGTTGTTGACTCTTAATTCTAAAAGACAAGTGTTATAAGCTTTTGCTGTTACGGTGAAAATACATCTTCCTTTCCTAAATTAAGGGGAAACTTAAGTGGCTGATAGTATTTCCCAGACAACTGGGATCATGTTTGAAGCCTTGATAAAAAGTGTGCAGAAAAATCTCTGGATGTGGCACAGAAACTGATGTTGCTGTAATCAGCAACTAGCAGTAAGTATCTGAGATCCCCCTCTGGAGATGCACCTGACTGTGTTTATGTGCCTGATACTAACATGTCCTCATTAACAGAGTGTGCTGGAGCTGGAGCTTTATTTCAGAGTGGCAAGTTCAAGCCAGAATGTTTCATGGCAGGCAGATAGTCATTCACTTTCCTTCTGGGCTGGTCTTTCAAAGTTCTCTTTTTCTCCTCCATAGAGGACAGTATTTTCCAAGGTGTTCAAATGTTTTGGTGATAAGACATTTTAAAGCAGTCTAAAGCGTCATGAAGAGCCGGCAGGAGGCCCCTAGGTGCAAGGCACAGGGTGATCGCAGGGCTGGTTATGGAGCTGTCCCTGGGCTGACTGACTCAGCTGGCAGCCTGCTTCAGCCTGTTCCTGGGCTGCAGAGAGCACCTTGCTCGTCAGAATTTGCTGCTGTCCCATGGCTTTTTGTATGGCCCAGGAAACCACTGAGCAGCTGTCAACTCCAGAATGCATTTCCATGGAGCTCAACTGGGAGGACTTTATTTGGGGAAGAAAAGAAGCCTCTCAGACTATTCTCTCATAGTGCATGGCTGTGTGGCTGCTCTGGGCATGTCTTCAGATAGCCTTGTTTTTACTTTTTACCCACTGTGCCATTAGCTTCATTTCAATGACTGATAAAGTGTTCTTCTTGACAATTAAACAGTGCATTTGCTGATAATTATTTCTTTTTGTTGTCAATTTTAAAGGTGCTGGTCAACAGATTGTGAGTCGATTATAAATTGCCTCTCCCAGCCTCCCACCATCTCATTCACTATTTGTATGGCATGTTAAAATGTTTTGAGGAGTGGAGCATTTACATAAGCATCTGTTGGTCGACTGCAAATGTGTGTGTGTATTTCATATATTTAAACCCATCAAAAACTCCAGCATCCAGTTTGCTGTTCTCACATTTCAGATGAAAAACTGAAACACAAAGATTAACAAAGTCCCCTAAATTTATATAGATGGTTAATAGTGGAAGCTGGGATTAAACTGGTATTACAGATTACATGTTTGTATCCCCTCCCCCAAATTCATATGTTGAAATCCTAACTCCCAAGGTGATGATATTAGAAGGTGATGCCTTTGGGAAGTGATTAGGTCATTAGGGTGTATCCCTCATGAATGAGATTAGTGCCCTCATAACGGGGACCCCAGACATTCCATTGCCCCTTCTACCATGTGAGGATGGGGAGAAGGCACCATCTATAAATGGGTAGCAGGCCCTTATCAGACATGGAATCTGCAGGTGCCTTGATGTTGGACTTCTTCCCTCCAGAACTGTGAGAAATTGTCGATAAGCTACATATTCAATGGTATTTTTGTTATAGCAGCCTGAACTAACTAGACTGAGTGTGGAAGATGTTGCTTCACCAGATAATGAATTCTGTCAAAGGACATATCACTCATCTTAGCAAATGTCAATATGTAAATGTTTTATATAAACAAAACTCCATCTTCAGTTTCCTGCATTTTGTCATTTAAATGGAGTACATGCTAAATAATAATCGTTCATTAAATGTTTATAGAATTTATATTCATATATACAGATACATAGATAGGTTTAGATCTACATATTAAAATATACATATCTGTAATTATATTAGCCAGGTAGTATCGAGTAACCAGTAAAATCAGCTAAAAATTGAAAATAGTACAGAAAAACACCACTTTCAACATTGTTAATATTGAAACAAAGTGTTCCTGTAGCATTACTTGACATTATATACAAACTTCTTTAATACATTGCAAATTAACAGGTAAAAATGGTTGTGCATATTAACCACAGTTAGAATTTAAGATAGCACGTCTAGATATATTTGGGCTTATAAAGTATATTGTAGGTGCTATTTGAACTTCATATATGTTTAATATACATAAAAGGAATATATTTTTCTTTTTAAGAGTTTGTTTTTATATGCTTTTATTTCAAAAAGTAAATGTCAGCAGTTCCCCAACTTTGCTGCACATTGAAATCAGCTGGGGGGCTTTCAAATGTCCTAGTGTATGGCTGTCAGTCCCAGCCATTCTGATTGAATAGGGTTTAATCTGTGTATTGGGATTTTACCAAGCTACCTAAGTAATTCTAATGTGCAGCAAACTTTGGGAATCCCTGGTGTATGCAGTGCATGGAGAATCGTCAGATTTAGTGTCTGTGTATGCCCCACAACTCATCATTTTTTTTCGTTTATTCCTTTACTCACTGTACCCTTGCCAACTATCTGTCAGGGATTATGCAAATGCTGGGCACATAAAGGTGAATGAAAAAGGCATAGCATTGCCCTCCTGCAGTTTTAGTCTATCAGAGGGATATAAACAGTTTACAGGTAAATAAATCAACACTCTAAAATATTTTTTTTTTTTTTTTTTTTGAGACGGAGTCTCGCTCTGTCGCCCAGGCTGGAGTGCAGTGGCGGGATCTCGGCTCACTGCAAGCTCCGCCTCCCGGGTTCACGCCATTCTCCTGCCTCAGCCTCCCAAGTAGCCTGGGACTACAGGCGCCCGCCACTACGCCCGGCTAATTTTTTGTATTTTTAGTAGAGACGGGGTTTCACCGTTTTAGCCGGGATGGTCTCGATCTCCTGACCTCGTGATCCGCCCGCCTCGGCCTCCCAAAGTGCTGGGATTACAGGTGTGAGCCACCGCGCCCGGCCCCCACTCTAAAATATTTTTTAAACATTGTGGAAAGTGAGAAGGAGGTCATGAACAAGAGGCTGTTAGGGAGAATAAATATAGGTCCAGGCATCAAGACAACATGGATGAACACTACAAGTCAGGAAGGAGTTTGGCAGGCTCTAAGGCCAAACAGAAGGCTGAAGTGTCCCATGGGAGAGGCTGAAGAGGTTGGAGAGGGGGGTCTGGTGCAGGGGCTTTGAAGCCATGCTAGTGACTTTGGACTTAGACTTCAAACATTGTGATGCTGTTGGTTATTTTAGGCCAGGAGGCTGGGGTCAGGGTGGAGGTGGAGATGGAGATAAGGTTCTAGTTAACCATTTTAAAAGTTCTTTGTGGTGGCTGTTGCATTCATTCAAGTAAGGGATGATAGTAGCCTGGAGAAGAGTGGTGTAGTAGACGTGCATTCATGATGTATTTGGAGGAACCCACTGGCATCACTGGTGAATTGCATACGTGATGCAAGGAAGAGAAAGGAATCAAGGACAATTCCAAGCGTTTGACCTAAGCAATCACGTAAATGTTGATGTCATTTGGTGGGAAGGGAGATGGTTCATGGGCCGTTGCCAGTGGATGTGGATTTGAAAGTAAAGTCGGTATTTCTATCTGGCATATTAAGTTTGAGATGCCAGATAGACATCTAAATGGAGCTGACAAATAGATAGTCCAATAAACCGGTACCCAGACCAAGAAACAGAACATAAGCAGCTGAACAGAAACATTCTTCTTCCTCTTTCAGTATCTACCCTTCTATGACCTTGTTAAACTCAAGTGTTAGTTCTAGTAATTTTTCTGTACATTTTTTATAATTTTCTAAAAAACTCATCTGTGAGTAAAGTCAGTTGAGATTTATTTCTTTCCAATATGTATGCCTTTAATTTGTTGTTCTTATTTCATTGGCCAGAGCCTCTGGTACAATGTGGACCATGAGGGGCAAGCGCAGGGAATCCTTGCCTTGCTCTTGATCGTAGGTGCAGAGCATGCACACTTGCACCGTCAAGTCTGATATAGGCTGTGTGTTTTCAAAGATGCCCTTTGTCAGGTTGCGGGAGTCCTTTTATATTCTTAATCTGTTGAGAATTTTTTATCATGAATAGATGGTAGATTTTGTCAAAGGCTTTCCTGTATGTTCTGTATCTAGTGAGATTATTATTTGGCATTTTCATTTATTCTGTTAACATAATATCATTATTTTCTAATGATAAACCAACCTTCTATTACTGGAATAAATTCAAATTGGTCATGGTGTATCTTTTTAAATATGTTGCTGAATTTGGTTTGCTCATATTTTGTTAAGACCATTTATGTCTGTGTTCATGAAGGATATTGGCCTATAGTTTCTTTTCTTTGTCTGGCTTTGATATCAGACTAAAGCTAACTTCATAGAATAAGTTGAGCAGTGTTCCCTCCTCCAGTATTTTATGAAAGCATTTGTGAAGGATTAATATTATACTTTCTTTAAGTCCTTGGTAGTATACACCAGTGACACCATTTCAGGGTGGACTTTACTTTGTGGGAAGAGTATTGTTACCAGCTTAATTCCTTTGCTTGTTATTGATTTATTCAGATTTTCTACTTTCTTTTTGTATAATCTTTGGTAATTTGTATATTTCTAAGAATTTGTCCACTTAATATGAGTTTTCTGACTTTTTTACATAAAGTAGTTCATATTCCCATGTAATTAATACTTTTGGTGTCTGTAGTTTTGATAGCAGTGTCCCCTCTTTCATTCATGATTTTTGTGATTTCTGTACTCTCTTGAATTATTGGTAATCTGACTAAGGGTTTGTCAGTTTTGTTAATATTTCCAAAGAGCCACCATTTGATATTTTATTTTTCTGTTTTCTGTTCTGGTCTTCGTTGTTTTCATTGTTCTGCTTTTGTGTTTAGCTTGCTTTTTTTCTAGTTTCTTAAGGTGGATGCTTAGCTTATTAATTTCATACCTGTCTTTTCTAATATAGTTACATTTTTAATTTTACTTTTTGAATTGGCATACCGCAAAATTGACTTTTTGTTGTATAGTTCTGAGTTTAACACACATATAGATTTTATTTAACCACTATCACAATCAGTGTGCAGAACAATTTCATCACCTGGCAAAACTCCCCCAAGCTGCCCGTTTGTAGTGAGCCCTTCCTTTACTCCTAACTAACCCCTGGCAACCACTAATCTGCTCTCTGCCCCTATAGTTTTGCTATGTTCAGGGTGTCATAAAAATGGAATCATATGCTATGTATTATGTTTGGACTGGCTTCCTTCACTCAGCATAGCAGATTTGAGATTTATCCTTGTTGTGTGAAATCAATAGTTAATTCCTTTTTATTGCTGAAAAGTATGTCATTGTGTGGATGCACCACCGTTTGTTTATTCATTCACACTGTGAAGGATATTTGGGAGGTTCTAGTTTGGGATTATCACAAATAAAGTGGCTATGAACATTCGTGAACAGGCATTTGGGAAAACTAAGTTTTCATTTCCCTAGAATAAGTATCTATGAATGAGATTGCTGTGTCATGCGTAAGTATATGTTTAATTTTATTTAAAAACTGCCCAACTGTATTCCAGGTATTTTTTGCTTCATGTAATTTGAAGCTCTGTTGTTAGGTGCATACACATTTGGGATTGTTTTTTCTTTTTGGTGAATTGAACCTTTTATCATTACATATTATCTCTCTTAATCCTTGGAATTTCCCTTGTTCTAGTCTACTGTATCTGGTGACAATATATCTGATGTTAATAGAACTACTGTAGCTTTGATTCCATTAATGTTTTCATGACATATCTTTGGCCATCATTTACTTTTGACCTATGTATTTTGTTGAACTTAAAGTGGATTTCATAGAGAAAGCATATTGTTGAGTCTTATTTTTAAATTCATTCCAATAATCGATGTCTATTAGTTGGCATATTTCAGCCCTTTGCATTTAATTATTGATTTGTTTGTACTTAGATGGACAGTTTTTTGTTATTTGTTTACTGTTTGTTCTTTCTTTTTTGTACCTGTTTCCCCTTTCCTATCTTTGGGATGCTTGAATTTTTTTAGTATTCTATTTTAACTTTTCTGTTTTTATATTCTCTTTGTATGCTTTTTGGTGATTGCTCTAGAGATTACAATATTCATACTTATTTTTTCACAGTCTGTGTAGAACAACATTTAACTATTCAATATGGAATGTAGAAACCTTACCACCATATAGGTCCCTTTACTTCACCCCCTTTATGTTGTAGGTGTCTTATGTATTACATCTGCAGACGCCGAAAGTGCCACCAGTGTTATCACTTTTTTTTTTTTTCTTTGTGATGGGGTCTCTGTCACCTAGGCTGGAGTGCAGTGGCACGATCTCGGTTCATTGCAACCTCTGCCTCCCAGACTCAAGTGAGCCTCCCACCTCAGCCTCCCGAGTAGCTAGGACCACAGGCATGTGCCACCATGCCCAGCTAATTTTTGTATTTTTGGTAGAGACAGGGTTTCGTCAAGTTGCCCAGGCTGGTCTCAAACTCCTGAGCTCAAGCGATCCACCTGGCTTGGCCTCCCCAAGTGCTAGGATTACAGGCATAAGCCACCATGCCTGGCATCACTTTTACTTTATAGATATTGTATAGAAATTGTGAGGCCAATCCACGCAGCCCTCTATGCTATACAAGTTGGCGGCAGGGCCAATGGTTGTGCCGAGACTCGCCGCTGCCCGGGCTGCTGGGTCTTGAGTGTCACCTACACTGCCATGGATGCCACCGGACGCTGACAGACCTGTGGAGAGTCGGGTTGTGCCTCCCGGGCCTTATCGGGCCACCAAGCTGTGGAATGAAGTTACCACATCTTTTCGAGCAGGAATGCCTCTAAGAAAACACAGACAACACTTTAAAAAATATGGCAATTGTTTCACAGCAGGAGAAGCAGGGGATTGGCTTTATGACCTATTAAGAAATAATAGCAATTTTGGTCCTGAAGTTACAAGGCAACAACTGTTGAGGAAATTTCTTAAGAATCGTATAATTGAAGATATCAAAGGGAGGTGGGGATCAGAAAATGTTGATGATAACAACCAGCTCTTCAGATTTCCTGCAACGTTGCCACTTAAAACTCTACCACGAAGGCATCCAGAATTGAGAAAAAACAGCATAGAGAACTTTTCCAAAGATAAAGATAGTATTTTTAAATTACAAAACTTATCTCGTAGAACTGCTGAAAAGCATGGATTACATTTATCTCAGGAAAATGCCGAGAAAATAAAACATGAAATAATAAATGAAGATCAAGAAAATGCAGTTGATGATAGAGAACTAAGCCAGGAAGACGTTGAAGAAGTTTGGAGATATTTTATTCTGATCTACCTGCAAACTATTTTAGGTGTGCCATCCCTAGAAGAAGTCATAAATCCAAAACAAGTAATTCCCCAATATATAATGGGGCCAATACAAGTAAACATGGAGTAGTTATACTACAAAACAAATCAGATGACCTCCCTCACTGGGTATTATCTGCCATGAAGTGCCTAGCAAATTGGCCAAGAAGCAATGATATGAATAATCCAACTTATGTTGGATTTGAATGACATGTATTCAGAACAATCACAGATTATTTTCTAGATCTCCCTGAACCTCTACTTACTTTTGAATATTACGAATTACTTGTGAACATTTTGGTTGCATCTTCATTTTTGTTTCATTTCGTGGTAGTTGTTTGTGGCTACATAACAGTTTCAGATAGATCCAGTGGGATACATAAAATCCAAGATGATCCCCAGTCTTCAAAATTCCTTCACTTAAACAATTTGAGTTCCTTCAAATCAACTGAGTGCCGCCTTCTCAGTCTGCTTCGTAGAGAAAAAAAAATAAAGAAGAATCAGATTCTACTGAGAGACTACAGATAAGCAATCCAGGATTTCAAGAAAGATGTGCTAAGAAAATGCAGCTAGTTAATTTAAGAAACAGAAGAGTGAGTGCTAATGACATAATGGGAGGAAGTTGTCATAATTTAATAGGGTTAAGTAGTATGCGTGATCTATCCTCTAACAGCAAACCAAGGTGCTATTCTTTGGAAGGAATTGTAGATGTGTCAGGGAATTCAAGTAAAGAGGCATCCAGTGTCTTCCATCAATCTTTTCCGAACATAGAAGGACAAAATAATAAACTGTTTTTAGAGTCTAAGCCCAAACAGGAATTCCTGTTGAATCTTCATTCAGAGGAAAATATTCAAAAGCCATTCAGTGCTGGTTTTAAGAGAACCTCTACTTTGATTGTTCAAGACCAAGAGGAGTTGTGTAATGGGAAATGCAAGTCAGAACAGCTTTGAAGGTCTCAGAGTTTGCTTTTAACAAGTAGTACAAGAAGGAATAGTTATTATCAATACACCAGTGGCTGAAATTACCATGAAACCAAATGTTGGACAAGGCAGCACAAGTGTGCAAACAGCTATGGAAAGTGAACTTGGAGAGTCTAGTGCCACAATCAATAAAAGACTCTGCAAAAGTACAATAGAACTTTCAGAAGACTCTTTACTTCCAGCTTCTTCTGTGTTGACTGGCACACAAAGTTTGCTGCAACCTCATTTAGAGAGGGTTGCCATCGATGCTCTACAGTTATGTTGTTTGTTATTTCCCCCACCAAATCATAGAAAGCTTCAACTTTTAATGCGTATGATTTCCCGAATGAGTCAAAATGTTGATATGCCCAAACTTCATGATGCAATGGGTGCGAGATCACTGTTGATACATACCGTTTCTCAATGTGTGTTATGCTGTGCTGAAGAAGTGGACCTTGATGAGCTTCTTGCTGGAAGATTAGTTTCTTTCTTAATGGATCATGATCAGGAAATTCTTCAAGTACCCTCTTACTTGCAGACTGCAGTGGAAAAACATCTTGACTACTTAAAAAGGGGACATATTGAAAGTCCTGGAGATGGACTATTTGCTCCTTTGCCAACTTACTCATACGGTAAGCAGATTAGTGCTCAGGAGTTTGATGAGCAAAAAATTTCTACCTCTCAAGCTGCAATTGCAGAACTTTTAGAAAATATTGTTAAAAACAGGACTTTACCTCTAAAGGAGAAAAGAAAAAAACTAAAATAGTTTCAGAAGGAATATCCTTTGATATATCAGAAAAGATTTCCAACCATGGAGAGTGAAGCAGCACTTTTTGGTGACAAACCTACAATCAAGCAACCAATGCTGATTTTAAGAAAACCAAAGTTCTGTAGTCTAAGATACTAGCTGAATTAAAAAGTATGTAATACTTGTGGAACTTTGATAAATGAAGCCATATCTGAGAATGTAGCTACTCAAAAGGAAGTCTGTCATTAATAAGGTATTTCTAAATAAACACATTATGTAAGGTAGTGCCAAAATAGATGTTTATCAATGTGAGACTCCTAGGAAACTAACTAGATCTCAATTGAGAGCACATAACATATACTTTTTGTTTTTAACACAGCTATCCAGTAAGGCTATCATGATGTGTGCTAAAATTTTATTTACTTGAATTTTGAAAACTGAGCTGTGTTAGGGATTAAACTGTAATTCTGTTTTTTAAAAAAAATTTATCTGCACATGTGCAAGTTCTGAGATATTAGCTAATGAATTAGTTGTTTGGGGTTACTTCTTTGTTTCTAAGTATAAGAATGTGAAGAATATTTGAAAACTCAATGAAATAATTCTCAGCTGCCAAATGTTGCACTCTTCTATATATTCTTTTTCCACTTTTGATCTATTTATATATATATGTATGTGTTTTTAAAATATGTATATATTTTATCAGATTTGGTTTTGCCTTAAATATTATCCCCAACTGCTTCAGTCATTCATTTGTTCAATATATATATTTTGAATTCTAATTTTCATAATCTATTAGAAGATGAGGATGTAAAAGAAGTATAAGGCAATCATATATTCATTCAAAAGATATTTATTTAGCAACTGCTATGTGCCTTTCATTATTCCAGATATGCGGAGACAATGATAAATAAAACATATAATCTCTTCCATAAGGTATTTATTTTTTAATCAAGGGAGATACACCTATCAGATGCTTAAAATAACAACATTACCCACTGAAATCAGGGCATATAGAATCATTCAGCTAAAGACTGACTTCTATGATGATGGAACAGGTCTCTAAGCTAGTGGTTTTCAAACTGGTGCACGTTAGACTCACCCGAGGAGTTTTAAAACAGCCTATATGCCCAGGGCCTAATTTATACTAATTGAATCTGAATTTTGGGGATGTTGTATAGGGATTAGTATTTTTTTTTAATCTAGGTGATTCCAATATTCATCCAACTGTGAGAATCAATGGCCTAAATGCTTTTTATAAACATTTTTATAAGTGTCAAGATAATGGCACATTGACTTTATTTTTACATTGGAAGAAAACGCTTGCCAAGTATAAATGACTCTCATCTTAAAACAAGGTTCTTCAGTTTCTGCTTGATTGACTTGGTACAAACTTGAAGCAAGTTGCCTTCTATTTTTTACTTCAAGATTGTTTCATATCTATTCCTTAAGTGTAAAGAAATATATAATGCCTGGGTTGTAATAAAATCTTAATGTTTAATGACTATTCTCATTTCTCAATGTAATTTCATACTATTCCTCTATAAAATGATAGTGTTCCATTTAACATTACTGATTTTTATTAAAAACCTTGACAGAAAATTATGAATTATAAATATGACTTTATCCTGGCTATAAAATTATTGGACCAAATTGAATTCTTTCTAAGGCATTTGTATACTAAAACTTCTATTGCTTATAGATATGTAAAATGTGGATTATGTTGCAAATTGAGATTAAAATTATTTGGGGTTTTGTAACAAAAAAATTATGAGAAGAATCTATTATATTATCCATATATGTACCATTTCTGTTGCTTTTTATTTCTGAAGTTTCAAGTTTCCCTCCCGTGTCACTCTTGTCTGAGAAACTTCCATTAACATATCTTTCAGAGCAGCTCCATTGACTAATTCTCTTCATTTTCTTTCATCTGAGAATATCTTTGTTTCCTCCCCATTCTTGAAGATTATTTGTACTTAGTATAGAATTCTGGGTTAACAGTTCTTGTCTTTCATTCCTTTAAAAATGTTGTGCCTCTGTGGTTTCTGATGAGAACTCTGCAGTCATTCAGAGGGTTGTTCTCCTATTTATAATGCGGTGATTTTTCCTTGCTGTATTCAGGCTTTTTGTCAAAAATCTTGTCTTTGGTTTTTCAGCCACATGATTATGATTTGTCTGGGCCTGGATTTCTTTTATTTTCTTTTGCTTGGGGTTCCCTGAGTGTCTTAAATCTATAAATTTGTCTTTCACTAAATTTGGGAAGATTTCAGCCACCGTTTGTCAAATTTTCTTTTCCACACCAGACTCTTACTCCTTTCTTGGGACTTTGGTGACACAAATGTTCAACCTTTTGAATTCTTTCCCTCAGTTTCCTGAGTCTCTTAATTTTTTTCATTTTTTTCTCTCCGATGTTCCAATTAGATAATTTCTATTGATTTCTCTTCAAGTCCAGTGACTTTCCTCTGCTATCTCCATTCTGCCATTTAACCCATCTAAAGAACATTTTTTACATGTCAGCTATTGTATTTTTCATCTCTAAAATTTCCACTTGATTCTTCTTTATATCTTTTTTCTTTACTGAGACTTCTGTCTTTTGTTGTTGTTGTTGTTGTTGTTGTTGTTGAGATGGAGTCTCGCTCTGTTGCCCAGGCTGGAGTGCAGTGGCACGATCTCTGCTCACTGAAACCTCCATCTCCTGGGTTCAAGTGATTCTCCTGCCTCAGCCTCCCCAGTAGCTGGGATTATAGGTACATGCTACCAGGCCCAGTTGATTCTTGTACTTTTAGTAGAGATGGGGTTTCACCATGTTGGCCAACCTGGTCTTGAACTCCTGACCTCAGGTGATCCGCCTGCCTCAGCCTCACAAAGTGTTGGGATTACAGGCGTGAGCCACCGCACCTGGCTGACTTCTGTCTTTACATTTGTTTATTCTTACGTCTTGGAGCATGGTTATTATAGCTGCTTTTGTCTGCTTTTGCCAATATTTTTGTCGTCTCGGAGTAGCATATGTTGTTTTTCTCTTTTCTTGTAGTAAAGATTTTCCTGGTCATTTGTGTACCAAGTAATTTGGATTGAATCCTGGACATTTGGAATATTACGTTATCAGACTCTATGTCTTATCATAAGGAGAATATTGATTTTGTTTGTTTTATCAGGCAATCTACATAGCTAGGTTCAGGCTTCAAGTTCTGACCCTTTCAGGGATGTGGTTCCAAAGTTGAGTCTGTTTTCAGAGCTTTCGCAATGCTATTTGGATCCTTCTATAGCTTACGCACCACTCAGTGGCAAGCCTGGGACCTGGATGATAGCTAGTCCTATAGTTCTATAATCAAAGCCTTTGGTGTACTGTTTAGGGTTAGATTCGTGCATGCACAGCTCAGAGGTGAGCCAGAAGATCACACCTCCCTTTACAGGGTTACTTTCTTGAGCTCCTCCTCTTCACAGTCTTTCTGGTTCTTTATGCTCCTTTCAGTGTCCTTTGATCAGATAGCCAGGGCTTTAGTGTCCCTGCTTTGTCTTGTACTTTATGACTTTATCTGTGTGGAGGTTAAATGGTGGGAGGACAGAGAAAAAAAGCAATGAGGATTTGCTCCAAGCCCTTGAGACCACAGCTCCTGTGGGCAGAGAGGAGAATTCCCCTCCCTCAGAGTTTTAGGAACATGCCTGGAAGCTGTGGCCACCACTCCTGCCACTGCAGAATTGCTACCACATCATTGATTTTACTGTTAGTTTTGAAAAACCAATTTGGTTGAGATATAATTCACATACCATAATTCACCCACTAAAAGTACAGTTTATTGATTTTTAGTATATTCACAGATATATGAAACTATTCGCACAATTTAATTTTGGAACACTTCATTACCCCAAAAAGAAATTCTTACCCATTACCAGTGACTTACACACATGCCCCCCTCTGTAGGCAACCATTAATCTATCTTCTGTCTTTACAGATTTATCAGGGCATTTTATACAAATGGCATCATATAATATATTATCTTTTGTGTTTGGCTTCTTTCACTTAATGTTTTCAAGGTTCATCCATGTTGTAGTAAGTACCAGTACTTCCTTCCTTTTCATTGCTGATTGATATTCAATTGTATGGATATATCACATTGCATGTATCTGTTAATCAGTTGATGGATATTTGGGTTTTTCTACTTTTGGCTAATATGAGTAATGCTGTTATGACAATTCATATACAGATATGTTTTCATTTCTCTTTGGTATATACCTAGGAGTAGAATGTCTGGGTCATATGGGAATTCTATGCTTAACTTTTGAGTAACTGCTGAACTATTTTTTGAAGTAGCTGTATCATTTTATGTTCCTACCAGCAGAGTATAAGATTTCCAGTTTCTCCACATCTTTGTCAACACTTATTATTGTTTGTCTTTCTTATTATACCCATCCTAGTGGGTGTGAAGTTATATTTCGTTGTGATTTTGATTTGCTTTTCCTTAATGACTAGTGATGTTGAGTATCTTTTCATGTGATTATTGACTGGTTTTATGTATTCTTTTGAGAAATATCTATTCAAATCCTTTGTCCATTTTTATTGGTTATTTGTGTTTTTATTATTGAGTTGTATATATCCTGTATACAAGTCCCTTATCAGATGTACATTGTGCAAATATTTTCTCCCATTCTGTAGGTTGCCTTTCCATATTCTTGATAGTGTTCTTTGAGAAAAAACTATAAATTTTTGTAATTTTGATGAAGTTCAATTTATCTGTTCTTTTGTTGATTGTACTTTTGTTATTGTACCTACAAAATTATTGCCTAACTCAAGATTACAAAGATTTACTGCTATGTTTTCTTCTAAGTGTTGTTATGCTATTGTCTCTTAGGTTTAGGAGGCTCATGATCAATCTTGTCTTAATTTTTGTGTACAGTGTGAAGTAAGGATAGAACTTTATTCATTCACTTGTGGATACTAAGTTGCCCGACCATTATTTGTTAAAAAAACAAAAAAACAAAAAAACCCAAAAAAACCTGTTCTTTCCCCACAAAATTATCTTGCTGCTCTTGTAAAGAATCAACCAGACATAAATGCAAGGGTTTATGCCAATACCATACTATCTTAATTATTGTGGATTTATCATAAATTTTAAAGTCAGAAAATGTGAGTCCTCCTTTGTTTTTCGAGATTATCCTGGCTATTCTCAATCCCTTGAATTTCCATATGAATTTTAGGGTCAGCTTGTCAATTTCTGAAAAAAAAGCCAGCTGGAATTTTGAAAGGGATTGGGTTGAATCTGTACATTAATCTAAGGAGTATTGCCATCTTAGCAACATTGCATTTTCTGGCCCATGAATATGGGATATCTTTTAACAGCAACACTGGGAACTGGAAGACAACGGAAGATAACTTCAATGTGTTCAATACAAAACCCTGCAAAACTAAAATTCTAATTCCAGTGAAAGTATCTTTATAAAATGAAGGGAGAAGAAGTGAGCATTTGGTGACAGAGAGTATAGATAAATCTTCAAAGATTGTTGCTATAAAGGACAGCATAAAAAGGATTGGTAGCTGGAGGGAGATATGAAGTTGATTTTTAAGATGAGCAACTTAAAAACATCTCATATAGAGAAGAAGGAAGTGATGAAACAGTGGAAATCAGGGCTAATTGGAAGGATGATGTCCCTTAGTAACTTTTAGCAGGTGAGGAGGGTAGCATCCAAAGGGAGGTAAGGTGAGAGAAGGATGAAGGATGAGGGTACAGAAGCTGAAGAATAATGATAGGGAAGATCAAGAGTTCTCCATTAGACCACTGTGTGGAGTAGGTAGCAAAGTTATAAGGGAGACTGAAGGGAAAGAGTTTGTTGGAAATTTGAGAAAAACAGAAAAGTATGAAATTGTCATCTTGGGGAATAACAAAGTGAAATTTCCATGAAAATAAAACAATTTAGCAGTTTTCAGTGCCTATATGATATAAATTTGAAGACAGCCTAGTCATCAGAGTTCTAAGATTTTTTTCCAGTGATGTTCAGGTTTGGTACAAGTCCAGAGTAAGTGATGCAGAGTAGAGGGAAGCATGGACAAAGCGTGAATATTATGTGTAAAAGCATGACTCTGGCCGGGTGTGGTGGCTCATGCCTGTAATCCAGCACTTTGGGAGGCTGAGGCAGCAGGATCACTTGAGGTCAGGAGTTTGAGACCAGCCTGGCCAACATGGCAAAACCCTGCACTACTATACAAAAGATAGCCAGGCATGGTGGTGCACGCCTGTATCCCAGCTACTCGGGAGGCTGAGGTAGGAGAATTGCTTGAACCCGGGAGGCAGAGGTGGCAGTGAGCTGAGATCACACCACTGCACTCCATCCTGGGTGACAGAGCAAGACTCCATCTCAAAAACGAAAAGGCAAAAATGCATGCCAATGTGGTAAGCCACGATCTATTAGGTGAGGCAGTTAAAGAAGCAGGACTCAGAAGGAGGAAAGTGTGAGAAGTGACAGGATTAGCAGAATGTAGGCCCTGAGAAGGGCAGACTCATGCACACATGGCCATTGGATACCTTGCAGAAATTAGTAGTTCTCTTTGGGGTAGGTGCCAAATAAGTGGTAATTGACTCTGGCCACATATTATGGTCACCTGGGGACCTTTAAAAAATTTATCAGTGGGATTCAAGCCCATTGGTTCAGGATCTCTGAGCATTAGTGTCTTTTAAAAGATGCACAAGTGATTCTAATACAGAGACAGAGCTGATGGCTGCTACAAGAGAGCGTGGAGTGCTGGAGACCTCGAGGCCTGGAAATACAGAGCTGCTGCCTTGCATAGCTCCCAATGGCACATTGATATGGACTGCAGTGTCCCTGGGTGGAGGGTTATAGCAATCTTAGAGCATTTTAAGATTGACAACCCACGAGAGGAGGTGTAGACCCATTAAATTATTAGGGATTTAAAATATCTAGAGCAGTGATTCTAAACCCTGGAGGGGGCAGGTCAGAAAAACACTTCAATGCCTAGATAGCATCCCAGACATCAAAATCAAAATTACATCAAAATCACTGTGGTTGAAGCCCAGGCTAAATCAGGACATTAAAAAAGCTCCCCAGTTTTTTTTGTATGGTAAATACTGGGTGGGGTGCAGCGTTGAGTGGAGATTTGATGATTTCTGATGGAGTCGTGTTGAGTTTGAGGAAGTTGTGCTTCATCCAGTTGGAGATGTCAAAGAAGCCATTAGCTCCAGGTCTGGAGCTTGGCAAAGTCTTGAGCTGAAGCAAAATAATCCTCCCCACTATGGGTGAATTGTTGATTGCTATATATTTTTAGAACATATTAGTTTTGTGATGTTCCAATGCAAGTCATAGTCTTTATAAATGACCATGTCTGCTCTCTGGTTCGAGCAGTATTCCCATAGCTAGAGAGGAGAATACAGTTCTGGCACTGATGTGGGATGCTTGTAAAATGCAGTTAGAAGAGCGTCGGGGAAGGGAGGTTTCTGCAGAGTTTGTGTGATCGTACCTGCTAATTTTAGAGTCAAAGGCCCAGATTGGAGAAAGACTCAGTAGAATGAGACCAGCTGAAGCTCCTGACTTACACAGCAGGGCCGTTCTTGGCTGTGTGCCCAGAGGGCGATGACCACATGCTTAGCAGGAAGGCACTATTGTTTCCTGTTTTGCTTGTTTGTGTGTTTGATTTTGTGTGTGTGTGTGTGTGACAGACATGTTGGTATTTCCCTTTATCTAAATGATACTATCCATTTCTACAGTTTTATATGTGTTTAAGAGGAGGTAGCTATCTTGAGGCAGTTTTTGAACTTTGACTACATGACTTTTAAGGTCCCTCAGTCCATTTTGATAATTTGTCAACATTAAAAGTAAATGAAAACCTACGTTTTAGGATTCATATGAAATAAAAATCGAAGACATTTATTTTTGTGAGTTCCCTTAAAATATGTCAAACTACCTAGCATTGAATATTGTTATGCTTGTTCAAGTGAGAATCTGGCCGTTGTTTTGGGGTGACACAGTTCTTGCCACATCTGTTCTAACGATCATCAGTGGGTCAACCTCATTTGTGAAAGCCTCTTCACATCCTCCTATTAATTTTTGTGGAATATTTGTTTACTCAAGGCACTGACAATGCTCAAAGAATTCTATAGAATTATTTTAAAGGGCTTCCTTATTAAATTCTAATTTACCATATAAACTGCTTTGTCCACATGAAAGTGACCCACAATTACACTTTGAAATGTAATTGACATTTCATTAGTGACTGTGGGTTTGTGTCTTGGAAGAGAGATTTTGTCTCCTTAGGGCCAGGGTTGCCCATGGTACAATACATGGGAATACGTTGCGGCTGGCTGGTAATGTCCAGGGGCTGGCTCCCAAATCTCCTTGTTACATTGATTTATGTATTTATGTATTTCTGGGGTTATTGGAAATAATATTGCAGTTGTCCTCTTGACCATTGTGTTTAAGTGGTAGCAGTAGCAGTGGTACTAGGAGTGGTATAGTGAGATCTAACCTCTAGCAAGTCCTTTCTCTGTGCCAAGAACCCTTTATATATATAAACGTATATATATATATAATATATATATTATTTCATTTCATCCCTGCAGTAACCCTATGAGGAAGGCGCCATTTCCATCCACATTGTATAAAAGAAGAGATGAAGTAACTTCCCCAAACTTTGGGGTTAGAATTAGATCCCTGGCTGTCTGGGCTCCAACTTAAGATCCCTGGAGATTCAGCACCAGGAGGTGCAGGATTAATGAGATCTGCCTCTGCCTTAGAGAAAAGCAGGAGCTGGGGTATGGGAGTGGATATGACAGCACAGTGAAGTTGGGTTCATCTGGACAGGGACAGAGGTTAAAGAGCCTCCATGTGATGTGTGCCTGTGCCATCTAACCCTGCTCAGTCCAGTGGCATTCCAGTGGCTCCGAGGAGACAGGAGAGATCTCCTGCTTTGAGGAAGAGGATGGTTTCCTGCCATCATTTCTATGTCATGGAGCAACTTCGGTGGCCCCCACATACCCAGTATACAATCTTTACTGCTTTCTTGTGCGTACTGTTCCTTAGAAGCAAGAGGGATGCTGAGTAGTTGTTAGGTCCGCAGTAGCTGGTGTGAGGCCAGAAGTTTTGTCAAAATTCCAAATAATGGTAAATTGTAAGCTGATTTCATCTAATTTATTTATCTTGCATAGGCTATCCCCATATTCTTATTTAACTTGAGCTGGTTCAGAGTTACTAAAAGCAGTGTGTGTGTGTGTGTGTGTGTGTGTGTGTGTGTGTGTTGGGTACACTGGGTTTTTATGCATTCCTGTCCTCAGAAAGGACCCAGTGAATGGATGAGAGGGCAGCCCTGTCTCTGTCACCCTGGCCATGTTAGCTTTGGGGGATGGAGCATTGAGGCCATAGTTGATTACATCACGAGGACAGTGACTTTGTGCGTCAGCACTGACTTTATGGCCTTCTCTGGGACCACAGTGGCAAGACTGTCTTATAGACATTTCCAGGGCCCTGAAAAGTACCTTGAGAGGAGAAACAAAAAGGTTTTCTTTAATGTCTACATTATTCTCACAATTATTGTTTGCAGGAGAAATCCCTGTTCCAATTTAATAAGTAAAGAGAAGTTAAAATAATGATGAATGGTAATAATGTAAAACTCAAACTACAAAATAAAAAGAAAGATACACTGTAAAAGAGTTATTCTGTGTTTAGAAAGAAAAAGCAACAGAGGACCCACAGGCCCTTAGTCAGAGGTGTGGAAGTTGAAAGCAGGTGTCCACAGGCGCTGAAGTGTTACTGGGCACAGCTAACTCCATGGCCAGTGGGGCAAGACTGGGCAAGGGGCAGCAGCTGGGCTCATCTTCAGCGGAGTCCCCACTGGAGGTGAGGCTGGAGTCCTCAGCTCTGCTCCCTTGCTCTGTGACTCATGATGCGCCTTTGCAGAAGGCTTAAGCCCATAACCCCTTTCTAGCGGACACCAGGTAGACAACACCAGCCACTGCACACCCCTGTTTGCCTTGCTGCCTGCCTGGCTGCCAGTCTGTTAACAGACCTAGGCCGCCACTGGGTGGAAAACAAGCAAACAGGCAAGGCCAAAGCTCGAAGGTAGATTGAGAAGCATTTCAGTGAAAACACCATTCTTACTTGAAAATTTCTTTGACGTTGAAGACCAGTACTTTTTTTTTTTTTGAGACAGAGTCTCGCTCTGTCTCCCAGGCTGAAGTGCAGTGGCGCAATCTCTGCTCACTGCAAGCTCCACCTCCTGGGTTCACACCATTCTCCTGCCTCAGCCTCCCAAGTAGCTGGGACTACAGGCGCCCGCCAGCACGCCTGGCTAATTTTTTTGTATTTTTAGTAGAGACGGGGTTTCACCGTGTTAGCCAGAATGGTCTCGATCTCCTGACCTCGTGATCCACCCACCTCGGCCTCCCAAAGTGCTGGTATTACAGGCGTGAGCTGCCGTGCCCAGCCAAAGACTAGCACTTTTGTTTAAGGACTGCACAGTTTAGGTTTTCCTTACATGATGCTTCCTATCTGATACTAATGGACAGGAAAGGCCCCATTGAGAGTTCTCACCCTGTAGCATTCTAGCTCGCCCTCAGATATATGAAGAAGTTCTCTTGTGTTTTCAAATGCTTCTGGCACCATCAGGCTAAAAAACCATGTACGCCACATATTATTAATACTTCCTCACTTTCCCCCTCCTTCCATTCCTCCTCCTTCCCTCTCTCCTATCTTCCCTTATTCTCTCTCCCACCTTCACTTCCCCTCTTCCCACCTTCCCTTCATCTCTCTCCTCCTTAAATAGAATTATCTCTCTTCTCTCTTTCACACACACACACACACACACGAACACAGAGGAACACACACATAATCACACACACACACCATCTCTCTCTCTCTCTCTGTCTCTCTCACTCTCTTCGTCTTCCTTCTGTGCCAGCCAACTAGACTAATAAGGAGACCAACCAGTTATTCCAGGAGAACCTCCTTCATACCCCTACTCCAGCAGTTCTCAAACTGTGGTCTGTGGACCCCTGGGGTCCCTGAGAAGCTTTCAGGAGGTTCACAATGTCAAAATGATTTTCATAATAATATTAAAAGTGCAAATCTGGAAGCATCACATTACATGATTCAAACTATACTATAAGCCCATAGTCACCAAAACAGCATGGTACTGTTATAAAAACAGGCACATAGACCAATGGAACAGAATAGAGAACCCAGAAATAAACCGAAATACTTACAGCCAACTGATCTTCAACAAAGCAAACAAAAACGAAGTGGGGAAAGTACACCCTTTTCAACAATGGTGCTGGGATAATTGGCTGGCCACATGTAGGAGAATGAAAATGGATTCTTGTCTGTCACCTTATACAAAAATCAACTTAAGATGGATTAAAGACTTAAATCTAAGACATGAAACTATAAAAATTCTAAAAGATAACATTGGAAAAACCCTTCTAGACCTTGGCTTAGGCAAGGATTTCATGACCAAGAGCCCAAAAGCAAATGCAATAAAAACAAAGATAAATTGCTGGGACTTAATTAAACCAAAGAGCTTTTGCATGGCAAAAGGAACAGCCAGCAGAGTAAACAGACAACCCACAGAGTGGGAGAAAATCTTCACAATCTATATGTCTGACAAAGGACTAATATCCAAAATCTACAATGAACTCAAATCAACAAGAAAAAAAAATCCCATTAAAAAGTAGGCTAAGGACATGTATAGACAATTCTCAAAAGAAGATATACAAATGGCCAACAATCATATGAAAAAATGCTCAACATCACTAATGAGCAGAAAAATGCAAATCAAAACCATAATGCAATACCACCTTACTCCTGCAAGAATGGCCATAATCAAAAAAATCAAAAAATAGTAGATGTTGGCATGGATGCAGTGAACAGGGAACACTTCTACACTGCTGGTGGGAATGTAAACTAATACAACCACTATGGAAAACAGTGTGGAGATTCCTTAAAGAACTAAAAGTAGAACTACCACTTGATCCAGCAGTCCCACTGCTTGGTATCTACCCAGAGAAAAGTCATTATACAAAAAAAGATAACTGCACATGTGTGTTTATAGCAGCACAATTCTCAATTGCAAAAATGTGGAACTGATCCAAATGCCTATCAATCAAGGAATGGATAAAGAAACTGTGAGATATATATATATATATATAATATATATATATATATATATCACAGGTTATATATATATATATGATGGAATACTACTCAGTCATAAAAAGGAATGAATTAATGGCATTTGCAGCAACCTGGATGAGATTGGAGACCATTATTCTAAGTGAAGTAACTCAGGAATGGACAACCAAACATTGTATGTTATCATGCATAAGTGGGAGCTAAGCTATGAGGATGCAAAGGCATAAGAATGACACAGTGGACTTTGGGGACTTGGGGAAAGAGTGGGAAGGGGGTGAAGGATAAAAGACTAGAAATAGGGTACAGTGTATACTGCCTGGGTGATGGGTGCACCAAAATCTCACACGTCACCACTAAGGAACTTACTCGTGTAACCAAACACCACCTGTCTCCCAATAACCTATGGAAATATAAATAAATATTTGGTAGAATTCTTCAGTGACACTGCCTGGATCTGGAGATTTCTTTTTTTGGGAGTTTGCTTAAAAAAAAAAAGTCATTTGCCTTTTTCACTATGTGAACATTTGGGCCATGGTACAAGAAGTAATGGTGGTAAAACTGCTGGCACCTTAGCTTGAATCAAGCTTGTGGCATCAAACTGCGCCATTAGTCATTGTATTCCTCACTGTTTTGCACAATGTAAAAGTAAATGCTAATTTCCCTTAGTAATGTCCCTGATGAAACAGTAAAAATGATTCATTTTATTAAATATTGACCCTTGACTACAAGTCGTTTTAATATTCTGAGCACTTCTGCTGCATATGATGATGGTGGTCTTAAAACGAAATCACCATCTGTGCAGTTGTTTCAGTTGCAAGCTGAACTGGCCCCCTTTTCCATGAAACACCACTTTTACCTGAAAGAATGACTGACAAACTATGTTTACTCAGACTTTGTTATATGGCAAAGATTTTTTTTTTCAAAAATGATGAGGGTAAGTCTCTCAGTTAAAACAATTAATACCATTTGTTGCTTTCCAGTCAACATTCATATTCTTTAAAACATGACCTAAATAGCTTACCAGCACTTAAATTCTGCATTAATATTGGCGGTAATATTAGTGAATGTGATTTTTGATATTGCATAATATATAGTATGTCAACATTTGAAAAAGTTTCATAACTCAGCAAGCTAATGTTTTCCAGATGACTAATGCATGATGTAGCAAAATTATGCATGAATGAAAGATTCATTTGAAGTGTAAGCTAGACCAATGGATTTTAGAGTAACAGAGTACAAAATGTTCATTGATGTCATGTTAGATTCCACAGTGCCACTAGCTTTTAAGCAACTATCACTTGTCAAGTTTCAGAGTGATATCAAAGAATATCCTACAATTATTTGAAAAACCTACTAAAATACTCCTCACTTTTACAACTACATTTCTCTATGAGGATAGATTTTCCTCATATACGTCATCCAAAACAACATAGTTTTGCTTTGTAGTTGTACTGTATTTGTATGTATCCATACACATCATACTTTAGCATTGCATGTTTTCAACTTTACATAAATGGAATCATACTGTATACATTTTGTGTTTTTCTTTCTTGTTTGATTCAACATATACATTGAATCAAAGCATCACTGTAGGTACCTGGAGTTCTTTCATATTCAGTGTTTTATTTGTATATGAATATGCCACATTCATTTATAAATTATTTTAAAATTTTAATTTTAGATTCAGTAGCTATGTGTGCAGGTTTGTTACAAGGGTATATTGTGTGATGCTGGGGTTTGGGCTTCTGTTGATCCCATCATGTACATAGTGAACATAGTACCCAACAGGTAGTTTTTCAGCCCTTGCCCCCCTCTCTCCTTCTCTTCCTTTGGAGTTTCTGGCATCTGTTATTCCTGTCTTTATGTCTGTGCATACCCAATATTTAGCTCTCACATACAATATTTGGTTTTCTGTGTTAATTGCACTAGGATAATGGCCTCCAGCTCCACTTATGTTGTTTGAAAAGGACATTATTTCATCCTTTTTTTGGCTGCAGAGTATTCCATGGTGTATATGAAACACATTTTCTTTTTTCAGTCCATCACTGATGGGCATCTAGGTTGATTCCATGTCTTTGTTGCTGTGAATAGTGCTACAATGAATATACGTATGCTTGTATCTTTTGGGTAGTACAATTTATTTTCTTTTGGGTAGATACCCAGTAATGGGATTGTTGGATTGAATGGTAGTTCTCTTTTTAGTTCTTTGAGACATCTCCAAACTGCTTTCTGCAGTGGCTGAACTAATCTACTTTCCCACATGCAGTGTGTAAGTGTTCCCTTTTCTCTGTAGCCTCACTGTCTGTTATTGTTTGGATTTTTAATAATGGCCATTCTGACTGGTATGAGATGGTGTCTTTTTGTGGTTTCGGCATGCATTTCTCTGATGATTAGTGATGTTGAGCAGTTTTTCATATGTTTGTTGGCCACTCATATGTCTCTTTTTGAGAAGTGTCTCTTTATGTCCTTTACCCACTGTTTAATGAGGTTGTTCCTTGCTTATTGATTTGTTTGCATTCCTTATAGATTATGGATATTAGTCCTTTGTCAGAGGCATAGTTTGTGAATATTTTCTGCCATTTCTCTAGGTGGTATATTTACTGTGTTATTTTGCTGTGCAGAAGCTCTGTAGTTTAATTTTGTCCCACTTGTCAATTTTAGTTTTTGTTGCAATTGCTTTTGAGGACTTAGTCGTAAGTTCTTTGCCTAGGCTGATGTCCAGAAGGGTATTTTCTAGGTTTTCTTCTAGGATTTTTATAGTTTGAGGTCTTACATTTAAGATTTTAATCCATCTTGAGTTAATTTTTTATATGGCGATAGGGAGGGGTCCAGTTTCATTCTTCTGCATATGGCTAACCAGTTTTCCCAGCACCATTTGTTGAATAAGGGAGTCCTTTCCCCATTGCCTATTTTTGTCAACTTTGTTTCTATTCAACAATGACTAGTTCAACTTATCCTGACACAAATAATAATTATACATAGTATTAAAGGGTGGGAAGATTAGTTGGTTGTAGATGTGTGGCTTTACTTCTGGGCTCTCTGTTTTGTTCCATTGATCTATGTGTCCACTTTTGTGTCAGTACCATACTGTTTTGGTTACTGTGGTCTTGTAGTATAGTTTGAAGTTGGGTAATGAGATGCCTCCAGCTTTGTTCTTTTTGCTCAGGATTTCTTTGGCTATTCAGGCTCTTTTTGATGTCATGTAAATTTTGGATTTTTTTTTCTAATTCTGCAAAAAATGACATTAGTGATTTGATAGCAATAGTGTTAAATCTGTAAATTGCTTTGGGCACTATGACTTTTTTTTTTTTTTTTTTTTTTGAGTCAGATTCTCTGTTGCCCGGGCTAGAAAGCAGTGGCATGATCTTGGCACACTGCAACCTCTGCATCCCAAGTTCAGGCTATTCTCAAGCCTCAGTCTCCTGAGTAGCTGGGACTATAGGTGCCTGCCACCACACCCAGCTAATTTTTGTATTTTTTGTAGAGACAGGCTTTCACCATGTTGGCCAGGCTGGTCTCGAACTCCTGACCTCAAGTGATCCACCCGCCTCAGCCTCCCAAAGTGCTGGGATTACAGGCGCGAGCCACCATGCCCGGTCGAACATTTTAACAATATTGATTCATCCAATTCATGAGCATGGAATGCATTTCCATTTGTGTCATCCGTAATTTCTTTTATCAGCGTTTTTGAGTTCTGCTTTAGAGATGTTTCACCCTCTTGGTTAAGTATTCCTAAGTATTGTATTTTTTTGTGTGGCCATTGTAAATGGCATTGTGTTCTTGATTTGACTCCCAGCTTGAATGTTATTGGTGTATAGAAATGCTACTGATTTTTGCACGTTGATTTTGTATCCTGAAACTTTACTTACTATGTTTATCAGATCTAGTGCCCTTTTCATGGCATCTTTAGGGTTTTACAAGGTATGGAATTATGTCATTCACGAAGAGAGATAGTTCGACTTCCTTTTTTTAAAAAAAAAAATTGTACACCTTTTATTTCTTCCTCTTGCCTGATCGTTCTGGTTAGGACTTCCAGCACTATGTTGAATACGAGTGGTGAAAGTGGGCATCCTCATGTTGTTCTAGTTTTTAAGGGGAATGCTTCCAGCTTTTGCCCATTCAGTGTGATGTTTGAATATGCCACTTTTAAAATGCACTCTACTGGGTAAGCATTTGGATTCTTTGCAGTTTGGAACTATTATAACACTGCCATTAGCCTTCTCAGACTTGTACTCTGGTGTCTATGTGCGTAGGTTAGTCTAGGGGTATATAATGATGTGGCGTTGTTGGCTCATGGGGGATATCTGTCTCAAATTCACACACTGAATACCAAACTGTTTTCCAAAGTGGATGTGCCAATGTATACTTCTACCAGCAGTGTACGAGAGCTCACTTTACTCCACATCCTCACCAAAATTTGTTTTTTGTTTTATTTTTTATTATACTTTAAGTTTTAGGGTACATGTGCACAACGTGCAGGTTAGTTACATATGTATACATGTGCCATGTTGGTGTGCTGCACCCATTAACTCGTCATTTAACGTTAGGTATATCTCCTAATGCTATCCTTTCCCCCTCCCCCCACCCCACAACAGGCCCCGGTGTGATGTTCCCCTTCCTGTGTCCATGTGTTCTCATTGTTCAATTCCCACCTATGAGTGAGAACATGCGGTATTTGGTTTTTTGTCCTTGCGATAGTTTGCGGAGAATGATGGTTTCCAGCTTCATCCATGTTCCTACAAAGGACAGACTTTAAAATGTGTGCTCACATGGTGAATGTTTGAGTATCTTTTTTTCACTGGTAACTAATAAAGTTCAGCACCTTTCCATGCTGTTTGTAAGAGCCCTACACTGGAAGCAACCTAAATGTCTATTAAGGGTATAATGCAAAAATAAATTGTGATATATTGACGCAAAGGAATGCTATGCTATTATAACATTGCTATGAATATTCTTGTGCATGTTTTTAATGGCCATATCTATGTATTTCCATTGAGTAATACCTAGGAATGAAATTGCTGGTTCATAGGGTATTTGTACGTTTAGCTTTGGTAGATACTGCCTAATGGTTTTCAATGGGTAGTTGTCCCAATTTACAGTCCCATCATTATAATAAACCTTCTCGTGTATTTTATTTTGATCTACTTCCACATGTATAGAAAAGTTGCAAAAATGACACAAAGGACCCCATATATATTTTACTCAAATCAACCAATTGCAACTGTATACCTTTTAACTCATTTGCTCTATCTATATATATTTTATATATATGGTATGTCATATTTTATATATATGGTGTGTCATATATATAAAATATATATAATAGTTATGTGTGTTTGTGTATATATAGGCACATGTGCATATTTATGAATATATATTTATATGTGTGTGTGTGTATATCATCGTGGAGTTTTTTTTCTGAACCATTTGAGACTGGTAGAGACATCATGCCCCTTTACCACAGAAAATTTCAGTGCATATTTTCTTTTATAAAAAGGACACTCTCTTTCATAACTATAGTGCAATTATTAAAATCAGAAAATTTAACACATACAATTCTAGTATCTAATCTACACTCCATATTCAATTTTATCAATTCTCTCAATAATGTCTTTTATAGCCATTATTTTCCTGGTCCAGGGTTCAATCCAGGATCTTAGGTTGCACTTAATTGTCATGTCTTCTTAGTCTCTTTTAATCTGGAGCAGATCCTAAGCCTTTCTCTTTCTTGATTTGGTGTTTTCCAAGAGCATGGACAAGTTAATTTGTAGGATGTCTGCCAATTTGATTTTTCCGAGGTTTCTTAAAGTCCTGTTATGGATTTTTGCCAGCAGTGCCACGGAAGTGATGTTATGTCCCTCAGTGCATTGCATCAAAAAGGCGTATGGTGTTGATTTGTCCCATTACTGGTTATGTTAATTTTGGTCACTTGGTTAAGGTAGTGGAAGTTTCTCCCCTGTAAAATTATTTCCCTTTGTAATTAATAGGATTTTGCTCATTAAACTTTTATCTAGTGGTTATCTACTAGCTTTAGCACTCATTGATGAATTTCTAACTATTATTCCTCCTACACTGGCATTCTTCTGTATGTAAGAGGTTTTTCTTCTCCATTTACTTAATCATCTATTTATATGGACTTATGGATCTTATTTTACCCAGTAGATTATATTCTGTTACTACCATTATTTATTGTGATGCTCAGGTTGCCCCAGATTTGATGGGTGGGGAATCCCTTCAAACTAGCTCTCTGTCCTTTGGATTTGTGTCCACTGTTCTCTCAACACCTCCTTCCTTTCTGGTGCAAGGAGGTTGTCTAGGATTTCCTTTTACAGTCTTTGCTCCAGCACTGAAATCAGCCTTTTCCTAGGAAGTTCTGCTTTCTTTTATTTAGGGAATGTTATTTAGAAATAAAAATTTGGGTGCTGGATGTGCTCATTGCTTCTAGGCGTTGTCATAATTAAGAAATGTGGGTATGTATCAAAAATGAGAACTTATATTGATACTTTCAGCCCCGATCTGCACAACCCTTCCCATCTTGGTAACTCCTTTTACCAGTAGTAAGACACTTTGCTTTCAATAATCTTAATATATTTACTCATTTGTTCAAATCTAGAATACACAGAAAGTGGTATCAGAATTGCCATCAAATACTAAAGAAAAAAAATCAACCAAGTATAGTTCAACATTTGTGTGGTAGTATTTTTAGGTATAATTTACATCAGTAAAAAGCACATTTTAAGTGTGCAATTGAACAGATTCTGACAAACGCATCTACCAATATAAATGACACCCCTACCAAGATACAGAAATTTTCTCTCACCCCAGAAAGCTTCACTGTGCCCTGTTCCAGTTAATACCCTCCAAAAGCAACAAGTTTTCTAAAAATTATTTAGACTGTATTTGTTTTGCCAATTTTAAAACTTCAGGTAGGCCGGGCCTGGTGGCTCATGCCTGTAATCCCAGCACTTTGGGAGGCAGAGGCAGGTGAATCACCTGAGGTCAGGAGTTCGAGACAAGCCTGACTAACATGGAGAAACCCTGTCTCTACTAAAAATACAAAATTAGCCTGGTGTGGTGGCGCATGCTTGTAATCCCAGCTACTCAGGAGGCTGAGGCAGGAGAATCACTTGAACCTGGGAGGTGGAGGTTGCAGGGAGCCGAGATCGCACTCCAGCCTGGATGAGAGTGAAACTCTGTCTCAAAAAAAAAAAAAAATATGTAAAAACTACTATGGAGTTTGATTTACCTTGTTTCCAGCTTCTATGAGATTTACCCATATGGCCGAGTATATCCATATGTCGTTCTTTTTTTATCATTGAATAGTAAGTATTCTATTGTAAAGAACATATGTATACATATGTGTGTGTATGTGGTGTGTGTATGTACATAAATACACACCACAGTCATTACCCATTCTCTTCTTGATGGACATTTGGGTTGTTTTCAGTGTTGTGTCACTATTAATAAAGCTGTTTTAATCATTCTTGTACAAGTCTTTGTGTGTGTAGACACATGTTTTCATTTCTCTTGCATAAATACCTAGTGGGGAAACCCCAGGATAATAGGGTTGATGTTTGCTTAGTTTTATAGAAAGCTATCATATCTTTTTCCAAATGAGTGGCATCATTTCTATGTTCCCTCCAGTAATGTAAGCAAGTTCCAGATGCTCCCCATCCTTGTCAACACTTGATGTTGTAAGATGTTAATTTTAGCCATTCTAGTGGGTATCAAGTGGTATCTGTTTGAGGTCTAAATTTTCATTTTCCTGATAACTAATGATGTTGAGCACTTTTTCATCTACTGTTGACCATTTGTATATCTTCCTTTTAAGTTCCTCTTCCAAATTTTTGGCAATTTTTTTAAAAAAATTGGATAATCTGCCTTTTCATTGTTGCCATAGGACTTTTATCATAGAGGTTAGAATTAAATCATTTGTCAAGTCTGTCTTGTGAATATTTTTTTCTCATTTGGGGATTTGTCTATTTTCTAAATGATGCTTTTCAGTGAGTTGAAGTTTTTATGTTTTGATAAAGTCTAACATGTTCATTTTTTTCTTTTATGATCACTGCTTTCTGTGTTCTGAGAAATCTGTAGCTACCCCCAATTGTGAAGATAGAAGACTGTGTTTACTTCTGAAAAAGGTTATAGTTGTAGGTTTAATGTTTAGTTTTGTGACCCATCTTGAATTAATCTTTGTTTGTGGCATTAGGTAGGAATTGAAGTACATTATTTTCCCACATGAAAATGCAGCTATTCCCAGCAACCTCTGCTGAGGCCTTCTACCTCTGAATTACCTTGTCATGGTTGTGGGTTTCTTTCTAGCTCTCCTGTATTTTGTACTATTGAGCTATATCTTCATCTTTGTCCCATTGATTTATATATTTGCCTTCATGCCCATATCATATTGTCTTGATTACTGTAGCTTTATAGTAACTCTTTAAGTTCTGGAATGCTTCCAGCTTTATATTTTTCTAGATAATTTTGGCTATTCTAGATCAATTGTATTTTTATTTAAAATTTTGAATAATTTTGTCAGTTTCTACAAAAAGGCCTACTGGGATTTTTAGAAATAGAATTGTCTTGAATCTGTAGATTAATTTTGGGAGAACTGACCCTAATATTGATGTTTTGAATCTATGAATGTAATATATTTTTCTATTTTGTAAGGTCTTCTTTAATGTCTCTCAACAGAGGTTTTTGTTTTAGTGTAGAAAGCCATGGCACCTTTTGCTAAATTTATTCTGGATTATTTTATGTTTTTTCAAAGCCATTATAAATTGATTTCTTTTAATTTCATTTTCCAACTTTTTGCTACTAGTATATAATCATTTTCCAACTTTTTGCTACTAGTATATAAAAATATAATTGATGTTTTTGGCATATTGACCTTGTAACTTGCAGCCTTACTAAATGCATTTATTAATTATAGAGCTTTTAGAATTTGCTACACTGACATTCATATCATCTACAAATAGCAAAACTTTTCATTTTTCCTTTTTAACCTTTATCCCTCTTTTCTACTTTATTGCACTGGCTACAATCTTTTGTACAAGTATTAAGACTAAATATGCCTAACTTCTTTTTAATCATAAGGGAAAATAATTCAACGTTTCATCATAAAGTAAGATTCAAGGATAGAATTTTTAAAAATGCCCTGTATTGCAGGAGGAATTCTTTCTTATTTCAAGGTTGCAGGATTTTTTTTAAATGAATAGGTATTAAATTTAGCAAATGTTTTACTCTTTTTTAGTTAATATAGTAAATAATTTTTATTGGTTTTTGAATGTTTGCCCTATCTTATGTTCTTGGGATACACTCTACTTGGTCTTGATTATTTTTCATTTATTACAGGACTCAACTAATACAGTATGAGTGATTATGGCAATGTTCATGTTGGTTGTTGATCTGTTCTTTTCTTTTCACATTCTTCTTTTAGTGTCAGAGGTATGCTAGCCTCATGCCAAACTTGGGAAATGAGTTTTTCTTTCTCTTATCTTCTTAAAGTTGTATAAAATTACTATTATTTCTTCCTTAAATATTTGATAGAATTCACCAGTGAAGTCATCTATGTCTTTTTTAAGGGAAGAATTTTCATAATAAATACGATTTTCTTAGCAGATACAGATTCAGAATAAAATATGCAGTTCAGATTTTCTGTTTCCTTTTATGTCACATTTAGTAAGTTGTGTTTTAAAAGAAATTTGTCTAATTAATCTAAATGTCTAATTTATGAACATATTTCTTCACAGTATTTTCTTATTCTTTTTATATGTGTAGAATCTGAGGTGCTGTTCCCTCCTTCATCTGTGATGCTGATGATATAAGCGAGCTCCTGCTTTCCCTCTTTCCCTCCCTCACCTTCTCATTTCTCTCTTTCATCAGTCTTGCTAGGTGTTTGTTTACCGGTCTTATGAATCTTTCAATGAATCAAATTTTAGATTGTTTAATTTTCTCTTCTTTTCTTTTCTTTTCTTTTTTTTTTGAGATGGGGTTTCAACATGTTGGCCAGGCTGGTCTCAAACTCCTGGCCTCAAGTGATGTGCCTGCCTTGGCCTCCCAAAGTGCTGGGATTACAGGCATGAGCTACCATCCCCAGCTGTTGATTTTATTTATTTTCTATTTCGCTGATTTCACCTTTCTTTTTTCCTTCTTTCTACTTACTTTGGTCTTGATTTGCTTATCTTTCATATATACTTAAGGTGAAAACTTAGATCACTAATTTTAAGCCATTCCTCATTTATGTGTTTAGTACTATAACTTTCACTGGAAGCACAGTTTAGCTGCATTACCAAAATTATATGTTTTTATTATCTTCAAGTTTAAAATTATTTTCTAACCTCCCTTGTGTTTTTCCTTTCTCTCATGAGTTATTTACATGCATGTTATTTAGTATCCAAATATTTGGGACTTTTTTACATATCTCATTTTTCATGATTGCCAGATTAATTCCTTTTTTGTCTTAGGACATATTCTGTGTTATCTCAGCATTTTGAATTTTATTGAGACATGTTTGGTGGATCAGCATATGGCTTTTTCACCAAGATATGAAGGCTCTTTTTGCACTTGAAAAAAATTATATTTTACAGTTTTGAATTAGAGTATTCTGTAAATGACAATTAGGTTATATTTGTTGATGATGTTCTGGTCTTCTATATCCGTGCCTTTTCTGTCTAGTTGTTCTAGCAGTTCCTTTAGAAATAGACATCAAAATCATCCACTATGGTTATGGATTTGTCTATATTTCCTTTTAGTCTTGTCATATTTTGCTTTATATATTTTGAAGTCGTGTATTTATATATATTTATTGTCTTCCTGGTGAATTAATATTTTCATTATAGTGAGGTGTTTATCTCTGGTAATACTTTTTTCTTGAAGTCTCTTTTGTTTGATTTTAATACATCCATTCCAACTTTCTTATGCTCACAGTTTGCATGTCATATATATTTTTAACCCCTTTTCATTCGCGCTACCTATGTCTTTATATTTAAAGTGAGTATCTGTAAATAAAGTCTATTCGGGTTTTGCTTTTCTATCTCTGACTTAATTAAAATAAATGCTCTGTATGCAACTTGGAAATAATATTCTGCAGTTTGTCCATTAGCATTTAATTCAATTATGTATATGTTTAGGTTTAGTTCTATTTTTCTGTGGTAGGAAAAGCTTTTGACATGTTACAAATATGAACAATGTTGTGCCAGATTTTTTCTAAGGAGCCGTATATCAGATAGAAGAAATTTCCTTCCATTTCTAGCTTAGATTTATAAAATCTCAGTGGTTCAGTTTTTAAAAAGCCTTATCTACATGCATGTGTTGTAACACAATTTTTTTTCCCTTAATCTGTTGATGTGGCAAATATTGTAGTGTTAAACCATCCTTGCATTCCTGTAATAAACAGAAGTTTGCCATGATTGTAATAAATGTATATAACCAATCGTTGTGGATGAGATTGCCCTGTTATTTTTTTTCTTTTTTCTTACTACTTCTTGTCACATTTCCATTCCAAGATTATGTGCTAGTCTCATAACCTGAGTTTAGGATTGTACCCTCTTGTTCTTTATTGTGGATTAGATTGTAAGACTGAATTATTTCTTTATTTGTTGAGAAAACCATCTGCACCTAGAGATCCTTTTATAAAGAAAAACAAAAGTATGTATCTGTTGATTTAACTTGTTTAGTGGTTATAGGGCTATCCAAGTTTTCTGTTATTTTAATCAGCCTTGGTAAGTTTTATTTTTCTAGGACTGTGTCCGTTATGTTCATATTTGCCAATTTATTTGCATAGAATTATTTTTAGAGGTTCTCAATATTATTATTCTTTTCATAAGCCTAATGGTTGATTTTCTTGGTCCTGTCTACCATATATTTGTTTTCTGGGGTTTTTAAAAAATTTCTGATCTTCATCATTGTCTTTCTTCTAATTTTTTTTGTGTTTATTTTGCTATTTTTCCTATCTTATTGAAATGGACATTTGGCTCCTAAATTTTTGGTATTTTTTATTTTCTTGTATATGCATCTAAAGCAATAAAACTTTCTCTGTCTATGGCTTTTATTGTCTCTTACTACGTTTTTGTGAAATATTTTATGATTTAGTTCAAAATATTTTATTATTTCAGTTGTGATTCTTCTTTCATTGTTGGGTTATTGTATTTTTATAATTTTTCATGCAGATTGTATTCATTTTACTTACGTTTCTAACATTTAACTCTTGAAAATATTAAATATCTATGTGTATATGGAACAATAAAGTGAATATCCATGTATTCATCACCCAACTTTTATAATTATGAAGTTCTGGGGTGCAGCAAACCAACATGGCACATGTATGCCTATGTATCAAACCTGCACATTGTGCACATGTACGCTAGAACTTAAAGTGTAATAAAAAATTTTTTTAAAAAATTATGAAGTTGTGGCCAATCTTACTTTTTCTATATCCTTGTTCCCACCACAACCTCCTATATTATTTTGAAGCAAATCCTATGGGTTATTTGGAAGTATGTGTTAAATCTCCTAACCATATGGGGATTTGCTAGTTATCTTTTTAAGTTAATTGTAGTATGGTCAGAAAACTTGGTCTGTATGATCTCTTCTTTTTAAATTTTTTATGATGCATTTTATGGCTCAGAGTATGATAAATATTTTGTAAATGTTTCATTTGTACTAAGAGCATTTTGTATTCTGCAGCTCTTGAGAGTATAATTCTATATGACCCTTAAGTAAAGTTTGTCAATAGTACATTCACATCTGTGTCCTACTTTTGTCATTCTGAAGTAATTCTTTTTATCACTAGCAAATGCTTTTTACCTAAAAGTCTATTCTGTCTGTTATTAATGTCGCTACACCAGTTTTCTGTTGGTTACAATTCACATGATGTATTTCTTACCCATCCTTTTAATTTTGTCCTTTCTGTGTATGCTTTAGATGTCTTCTATAAACAGCATATAGTTGAATCTTGCGTTCAGTCTGCCAATTTATTACTTTGAACTGGAGCATCTGGTCTCTTTACATTTAATTTAATTAGTGGCACATTTGGGTTCACCTCTACCCAGCTCCTCTTGTACTTTCTATTTGTTTCACATCTTCTGTTTTTTTTCCCCCTCTCACTTATGCCTTCTTTTGGATTCTTTTTTAAACCAATTTTTCAAAATACATTGAGAATTCACCACTTTGTCTCACCCCCACGGCAGCCGTCCTCGCCAGACCATTCTCCTCCTTCCTCTGGGAAGGCAGTGGCCTCCTGACTCATCTCCTCCTTGCTTCTCTCCTTCCTCCCACCTCCCACCCTCCCCCCACCATCTGCTCACTGAGCAGCAGCCAGAGTGAGCCCCATCACATGTGAGCTCTAGCATGAGGCAGCTGGGCTCCAAAGCCTGCAGCGACTCCTGGTTTCACACAGAGGGAAAGCGGAGAGTCTCATGGGGCTTCCGGCAACCCGAGAGGCCTCAGCTGCGACCCCACCTCTGCTCCAGGCACTCAGACGCACCTGCCCACCAGAAGCTGTTCCAGCCTCTGGGGCTGTTGCCCTGCCAGGCACTCAAGTCACCAGCTCACCTCCTCCACATCCTTGTTCCAGAATCACCTTCTCAGTGAGGCCTGCTCCGGCCACCCCACTCATGTCCTCACACTCCGCTAGGCCTTCCTCTCGCCTGCCCTTTTCTGTTGTCTTTTCACCGTGGTAGTAGTCTGTCACCTGTAAAATCCTGTTTGGAGCACCAAGTGTAGCATCATTCAAAGACGGGTCTGCCCCTTTTAGAAAAGAAGCCACATGAGGGATTTCTGCCTCTTCTGTTCACTGATACATTGCAGTGCCTCAGAAGGGCCTGGCCCAGTGTAGGCATTCAAGACATGGTGAGGCCAGGCGCAGTGGTTCAGCCTTTAATCCCAGCACTTTGGGAAGCTGAGGTGGGTGGATCACTTGTGGCCAGGAGTTCAAGACCAGCCTGTCCAACATGGCAAAAACCCATCTCTACTACATGGTGGTGCATGCCTGTAATCCCAGCTACTCTGGTGGCTGAGGCACAAGAATCACTTGATTCTGGGTGGTGGAGGTTGCAGTAAGCTGAGATGGTGCCACTGCACTCCAGCCTGGGCAACAGAGTGACACTCTGTCTCCAAAAAAAAAAGATATGGTGAGCAAATGTGGGCATTGCATTTTAAAAACCTTAGTAGTTATTTGAAAGTTTTATGTCTCTTTTGTCTATTATGTTAACATTACCATAGAAATGGCAACGTGCATATTTATCTAATTAAGTCTAAAGTTAGCCAAACTGTTATTTTCCTCCTGGATTTTGCAATGACTTGTGACTACTTTTAAGATATTATTTCATTTCATTTTATTTCATTAATTTTTTGAGAAAGGGTACAACCAAGAGTGAATATCCAGTTGTTTTTGATATACTGAATCCAATACTTTTAGCATTGGACTGGATGACATCAGGCGACTAGTAGACATGGAACCTCAAATTGCATTCATTATAGAAAGCCAATCCACAGGTGTTTGTTGGGTCCCTACACTGGCTCCAAGCACTCAGTACTATGAGAGTTTTGAGTGGTTTCCAAAGTCTTTTGATCCAAGATGAGTGGCATAACAATACCTGGGGTGTTTGTAAATCAGTCCCAGACCCACATCCAGAAATTTCTCTGTGACAAGTCTGGGCTGCTCCCCAGAAATTGTGCTTTCATAAGACCGTGGCCTTTCTGAAGCCCCCAGCGAGTGGACAGCCCCTTCCCCAGCAGGTCCAGTGTCCTCAGAGACCTCTGTACTTGGTATCTGATCTGATGCCATGTGGCATTTACAGGAATCCTGGCATGGTGTGGGAATCCCTTGCTTTAAGGATACTTAATAGGTGTAAATGAAAGTTTAAAATCGTCCGCTGAAGAGTAATTTGAGTCATCTTAAAATCAGGAAGGCTGCTTCTAAGCTTTTTGGCATCCACGCTGTCAGATCAGCAGTGTGCCTTTGCGTACTATCCCAAGAAACAATCATTTTGGGGCCACTGTGATTGTAAGGCTGGATTTCAGGAGTCAACAGGCTGCACTTGCGGAGAGAGCTGCAGAGGAGCAGCGTGTGCATGTACAGGGGGTAACAGCCCTATCAGCGGAGGCAGCATAGGTGCTGGTCCTTTCCTCCACAGAAAACTGTCACGGCAGATAATCCTCCTGGGTTGTCAAATTAGGGATCACTGTCATGCTCTATCAGAATGCCTCTGGGACCCTTGGAAACTATGGGATTGCTCCAAGGAGGATGCAGGCAACTGATCTCCCTCCCTGGACCTCTTTTGTAGATTCAGCGCTGATGGTGGTGGCTGGAGTTCCTTCTTCTCTTCCATTCTGACTTATTGCATGCTCAGGTCTCCATCCTCAGCCAAATTCTTCACCTCTCCTCTTTACACTTAGGATGCCAGTTATAAAGATGGGAGATAAGGGATCCACAGAGGTCCTCATCTGGCCCCATGGAATCCTCATCATTAGCTCCAGGCCCCCTGCCATTCTCCCTCCTCCCTCTCTCCCCATCCCCCCATGCCCAAGTTCTTCTGTCTTTGCTGTCTCCTATTTAACTAATTATTCCCTCCTGGAAATTCTCTGCCTTGTTTTCTCTGGCAAACTGTTAACCTTTTACAAAAATGCTCTCAATTAATTTTTTCGCAAAAATAGTGACATTTTTACAGCCAGTGAAACAATGAAAAGAAGCTAAAAAATGTTAATAATACCACCCAATTTATACTTCCTTGAGCTAACAGATACTATGTACAAACTACCAGCTACACCTATACATTTATGAACATAAATATGCACTTTTATAAATAGATACTTTTTTACAACCAGTGACTGTCCATGATTCCCTACAATACATATGATTCTGAAGCTTCCCTTCCTCAGGAAACTGTACAGCATGGATGTCCTTCCAGATGAGCAAATCCAGTCTAATTTCTTTCTCGAATGCTGTGTGATAGTCCCGTATGAACACATTCAGTCTATCCAGTTATTTCCTGCTGAGAAGCATGCTGACTTTCTCCAGTTTCTGCCACTTCAAAAATTCTTTATATCATTGAACACTTTCTAATATACTCCTGCTCTTATTTCTGTAAGATATATTTCCAAAAATGGGACCACTGAGTCAACAAGTTCTTAGATATTGAACTTGAATCGCCGTTTCCAGATTACTTTCCAAAAAGGGCATAGAAGTTCACATCTTCCCCCAAAATGCAAGTGCATGCAGTGCTCAATAAATCCCTCTGACCCTGGATGTCATCCCCAGGGTTTTTCCAGTTTGTGTGAAAATGATATGGCATTGGCAGTTTGCGTCGTTTTTTCATGACTACCTTTTTTGATGCATTACTGGCCATCTTGATTCCATTTCTGTAAACCGCTTGTTCGTGTCTTTTGCTGGAGTTTTTGTGGGGTTGTCTGTCTCTATTTCAATAGTGGATAGCAGTTCTTTGTTTAGAGGGCTGTTAGTCCCTTGCCTGTGTATGTGTTTCAACGATTTTTCTAAGTATATTAATGTCTTTTTATATTGTTTATTTTGCCATATTAAGAAACATTATCTGGTTAAATATTTCTATTATTTTTATTTATGATTTCTACCTATCCTACATTGCTTAAGAAGGTCTTCATGCCATCTGTAATTCCAGCACTTTGGGAGGCAGAGGCAGGCATGTTGCCTGAGCCCAGGAGTTCAAGACCAGCCTGGGCAACACAGTGAAACCCTGCCTCTACTAAAAATACAAAAATTAGCTGGGCATGGTGGTGTGTGCTTGTAGTCCTAGCTACTTGGGAGGCTGAGGCAGGAGAATCACTTGAACCTGGGAGGTGGAGGTTGTAGTGAGCCAAGATTGTGCCACTATACTCCAGCCTGGCAACAGAGCGAGACTCCGTCCCCCCGCCCCCCCAAAAAAAAGAAGGTCTTAAGCCAAAGTCATACAAATACAAAGTCATACAAATATTTGAATATATTTTCTTTTAATATTTTTACGGTTATTTTATTTTACATTTATATTTTAAATTTATCCAAAACTTATTTGTGTTGAGGGTGGGAGGATATAGATTTGTTTTCTGCCAGCTCTGTCTGTTAAATAAACTACTCTTCCCTGGGGACGGAAATGGCACCTGGAACATACATTGATCTCATAGTGCATTGGTCGGCACAGCTTCAGTGTGAGGCGTACACTCCCTCCCTGTCATTCTTTTCTACAGTTTTCTTGTTTGAGTTTGGATGTATGTTAATATATCTGAAGAGCTTAAGACAGCACCTCTTTTTTGTTTTCTGCTAAATTTATTTTGTTTTACTTACATCTTTAAACATTCAACTATGGAAAATATTAAACATCTATAAATATATACAGAGTAATATGCTGAGTCCCATGTACCCATCACCCAGCTTCTGTAATTATCAAGCTGTGGCTAATCTTTTTTTTGGGGGGGTGGAGTTACCCTCACCCATTGCTAGTGCAACTACAAGTGTAAACGTGTTCACTGCTTTTATCATTATTACTACTAATCTTATTTTTATAACTTTTAAGTTCAGGGGCACATGTTTGTTACAAAGGTAAACTTGTGTTGTGGGGGTTTGTTGTACAGATTATTTCATCTCCCAGGTATTAAGCCTAGTACCCATTAGTTATTTTTCCTGATCCTCTCCCTCCTCCCACCCTCTGCCCTCCAGTAGGCCCCAGTGTGTGTTGTTCCCCTCTATGTGTCCATGTATTCTCATCATTTAGCTCCCACTTATAAGTGAGAACATGTGGTATTTGATTTTCTTTTCCTGCGTTAGTTTGTTAAGGATAATGGCCTCCAGCTCCATCCATGTCCCTGCAAAAGACATGATCTCATTCTTTTTTATGGTTGCATAGTATTCCATGATGTTTATGTACCACATTTTGTTTATCCAGCCTGTTATTGATGAGCATTTAGGTTGATTCCATGTCTTTGCTGTTGTAAATAGTGCTTTAATGAACATATAGGTGCATGTGCCTTTACAATAGAATGATTTATAGTGCTTTGGGTATATACCCAGTAATGGGGTTGCTGGGTTGAATGATATTTCTATGTTTAGGTCTTTGAGAAATCACCACACTATCTTCCACAATGGTTGAACTAATTCACACTCCTACCAGCAATGTATAAATGTTCCTTTTTCTCCACAACCTTGCCAACATCTGTTATTTTTTGACTTTTTTTTTTTTTTTTGAGACAGAGTTTCACTCTGTTGCCCAGGCTGTAGTACAGTGGCGCAATCTCAATCTTGGCTCACTGCAACCTCTGCCTCCCAGGTTCTAGCAATTCCCCTGCATCAGCCTCCCGAGTAGCTGGGATTACAGGCGTGTGCCACCACACCCAACTAATTTTTTTGTATTTTTAGTAGAGATGGGGTTTCCCCATGTTGGCCAGGCTGGTCTTGAACCCCTGACCTCAGGTGATCCACCCCCGCCTTGGCCTCCCCAAGTGCTAGGATTACAGGCATGAGCCACCATGCCCTGCCATTTTTTGACTTTTTAATAAAAGCCATTCTGACTGGTGTGAGATGGTATCTCATTGTGGTTTTGATTTGCATGTCTTTAATGATCAGTGATATTGAACTTTTATTCATATGATTGTTGACTACATGTATGTCTTCTTTTGAGAAGTGTCTGTTCATGTCCTTTGCCCACTTTTTAGTGGGGTTGTTTTTTTCTTGTAAATTTGTTTGAGTTCCTTATAGATACTGGATATTACGCCTTTGTTAGATGCACAGTTTGCCGAAATTTTCTCCCATCCTGTAGGTTGTCTGTTTACTCTGTTGGTGTTTCTTTTGCTGTGCAGAAGCTCTTTAATTAGATCCCATTTGTCAATTTTTGCTTTTGTTGCAATTGCTTTTGGCATCTTCATCATGAAATCTCTGCCTGTACCTATGTCCAGGATGGTATTGCCTAGGTTATCTTCCAGAGCTTTTATAGTTTTGGGTTTTACATTTAAGTCTTTAATCCATCTTGAGTTGATTTTTGTATATGGTGGAAGGAAGGGGTTCAGTTTCAATCTTCCATACATGGCTAGCCAGTTATCCCAGCACCACTTATTAAATAGAGAGTCTTTTACACGTTCCTTGTTTTTGTCAGGTTTGTCAAAGATTAAATGGTTGAAGGTGTGCGGTCTTATTTCTGGTCTCTCTATTGTGTACCATTGGTCTACGTATCTGTTTTTGTACCAGTACCATGCTGTTTTGGCTACCGTAGCCCTGTAATATAGTTTGAAGTTAGGTAGCATGATGCCTCCAGCTTTGTTCTTTTTGCTTATGATTATCTTGGCTATTCAGGCTCTTTTTTGGTTCCATATGAAATTTAAGATACTTTTTTCTAGTTCTATGAAGAATCTCAATGGTAGTTTAATAGGAATAGCATTGAATTTATAAATTGCTTTGGGCAGTATGGCCACTTCAATCATATTGATTCTTCCTATCCATGAGCATGAAATGTTTCTCCATTTGTTTGTGTCACTTCTGATTTCTTTAAGCAGTGTTTTGTATTTTTCCTTGTAGAGATTTTTAACCTCCCTGGTTAGCTGTATTCCTTGGTATTTTATTCTTTTTGTGACAGTTGTGAATGGGAGTACATTCCTGATTTAGCTCTTGGCTTGACTGTTGTTGGTGTGTTACTACTATTATTATCAGTTCTTTTGTTCATACTTCAAAATAATTGTATCCAATTCCCCGAAATGCAGTATTAGAACTCTGCTTGACAGTGTATTCCAGCTTTGGGTTAATTTTGAAAAAATTGACATTTTTTATATTAACGTGTTTCACCTGCCCCTGCTGAAACATGATCAGCTTCTCTAGCTTGTCCTGTCTCCGTACCTGTAGCTTTCAGGCATCCTCTGAACACTCTTGTTTTGGATGGCTGGTTGGGTCTCCTCTTTCTCTTGACTGCTGATTGTATTTCCCCATTATGTGGCTAAGACTTGAGTCTTGAATTCTTTTTCTGACAAACTTGCCATTTGAGAGCACTCAGATAGCATCCTGTCTATAGCTGACCCCATGGTGACAGTTCCAGCCATGACTTCATTTATTCAGCAGATATTTGTCGGGTATTATGGCCCTGTGCCATGCTAGACACTGAAGAGACAATGGTGAACAAGACAGATGTAATCTCTGTTCCCTGATAGAGCCACGGGCATGCTCGGGATAGAGAGCCAGAGGGCTGACCTGGTCTGGGCAGCCAGGGGGTGCTTCCTAGAGGAAAAAGCGTTTAAGTTGAACTCTGAAGGACCAATAGGAATTAGTCAGGCTGAGCAGCAGGATGTGAATGTTGGAGTAGAGGAGGTAGAGGGTGGAAAGAACACCCAGGCAGAAGAAACAGCTTATTCACAAATCCTACAGTTGCTCAGATAGTGAGTGGGGCCCACGGTGAGTCTGGTAAAGGAGGGGGTGTTGGTGGAGGGTCGGAAAGAGCCAGAGTTGACCAAACTCAGGGGAGGTAATGGTGACAGATGTCAGTGTCATCTGGTTAGATTTGCTCTGAGCTGGGCTCTGTTCTCAGCCCTTTGTGTTTGTCTCAGTTCACCCTCACAGCAATCCATTGAGTTAAGATGTAAGGAAATGGAGTGCTGATACATCACCAACTTGGCCAGGTTTGCACGTCCCCAGGATCATGAGTCAGGACTGAAACTCGGGCTCCAGAGCCCACTGTGGCAAACTAAGATGCTGTTAAAGAGCTTTTTTTCAGGAGACTGGCTGAGTTTTAATTCTTATGTTTTGTCTGCTGTGTGAAGGAGCAATTAGAGATTGAACCAGTAGTTGAGGGGAGGACGTCAAGATTGTGGTTTGGGTAAGATTTTTTGCAACCCTAGCAAAACATGGAGACTGATATCCAAAGGAATGCACAACTAGGAAAGTGGGGAGTAACACAGAAACCAAACAAGTAAGCAAGTATTCTGTGTGAAGAAGCCCTGGAAGAAGGACTTGGAGGTGGAAAGAATTCTTTGTCACTCTTTGTCTTCTTTGTCATTCTTTCCACTTAGGGTGAATTATTTCCACAGTGTGAATCTGTCTTCACTAATACAATATTTTCTGGAGTGCGATGCAATTGATAGAGCCACCTGTACATAGGAAACTTGGGAAGTGCATGCTTGTTACGTATGCCCCAGTTGAAATCCACGCTGTGGCGTTTCCAAGTGACTAGAGTAGACTTCTCCAAGAACCAACTTTTTAGTTGTTTTAGCCGTGTGTTATGAACAGCTTTCTAACATGAATTGTATGTTTCAATAGCCTGTTAAGCTGTAGTCATGCAACTACAAATATCCTCTCCTTGATATAAATATGAAGCATGGCACAATCAAATCACAACTAGGAGGCCACATGTACCCTTTTAACCCCAGCTTCCCCTTGGGGGAGATCAGGCATCTCTCAGAGCCTCATTTTCCTCAAAGTTATCCACAGCAGAGCCAGGGACAGAGGAGACACCAGCTCTGCGCATGTGTACCAGTCAGGAATAACTTCTCTTATGACAGTAGAATGCATCTACATGGTTTCTGCTGTTTAATGAGTTCCACTGACTCCAGGTGTTCTGTTTGCATGACTAAGTAAAGAAAAATAGTTGTAGGAAAAGGCCATGAAGTGTAGGAGAGACTGAGGGGATGATTAGTCTGTTTTTAGACATGATTTTAATATGAAAGTAGAAATTCCAGGGAAGACAGAGGAGAGAGCTTAGCCCACCTTTAGCTCTCAGGATCCTGTATCTCCCTCCTCCTGGTTGGCATTGTTCCCCCCAAAGCACTAGGACAGTTTCAAAAAGTGTTACTGAAAGGGAAATGTCTGTTTATGTGATTATATATTTTTTCATTGAGGATAATTTCCTATCTTACCCTTTTTTTAATACACTTTACTTTTAGTGCAGTTTTAGGTTCACAGCAAAATTGAGAGGAAGGTGTAAAGAGTCCCTGTTCACCCCCAACCCCACACATGCATAGACTCCTCCATTGTCTCAGCCTCCCCCACCAGAGTGGTCCAGTTGTTACAACTGATGAACCTACATTGAGACATCATTATTGCCCAGAGTCCATGATTTACATCTGGGTTCACTCTTGCTGTTGTACACTCCACGGGTTTAGACAAATGTATAATGACATGCATCTACCATTATGGTATCATACAGAGTAGTTTCACTGCCCTAAAATCCTCTGTGCTCCACCTGTTCATCCTTTCCTCCCTCTAGCCCCTGGTAACCACTGATCATTTTACTGTCCCTGTGATTTTGCCTCTTCCAACATGTCAGTCATAAAGTATGCAGCCTTTTCAGATTGGCTTCTTTCACTTAGCAACATGCACTTAAGTTTTCTCCGTGGCCTTATACCCCATTTCTTTTTAGTGCTGAATAATATTCTATTGTCTGTATGTACCACAGTTTATTTATCCATTCACCTACTGAAGGACATCTTGGTTGCTTCTGAGTTTTGGCAATTATGAATAAATCTGCTGTAAACATCTGCGTTCTTATCTTACTCTTTTAGAATGCAAAATCAGAAAATACTCCCAATTCCTGAATGTGGAAAACTCCATAGGGATGTAAAAAGAGATCACCCTTTAGAGAAGGAGAAAATGCACATGATTCACCAGCATTTGACTGAAACATCAAACAGTTATAACAAAACAGATTACGCCACAAATGCATTATCCCAGGAGTCTGGTGCTGCACATCCCCTGAGACCCAAGAGATCATTTCAACTATTAGGGAGAAGAGAGGACCTTGGATTTAGTCCTAAGGATATTTTGTACGTATATTTTGTAGTTTTTCCTTTGACACTTCAGCAACTTGACCAAGGTGCTACTAAACTCTTCTCCAGGGAGAAAGCATGCAGTACCTGAGTTTGAACTATCAATGGTCCTCCATCCCTCCATCATGTCCATCACTGACCTCCTGTAGACCATGTGGGGCTCACTCTGTATTGGCCGTGGGCTCAGTGCTCTGGGGGATGACAGCAATCCTGCCACCGCCCCCATGTTGGAGATGAGAACAAGAAGTTGTAGGAAGCCTGAGTATCCTGCCCAAGGTCACACAGTTGAGAAATAGTAGCATTGGGATTTAACCTAGGTCATCTCCACCCAACTGCATTCTTACTACACCTTGGCAGCAGCTGAATCTGACCTCTCATCATCTGGTGTGGTCACTTCAGTGTATACGCCAGGAAATAAAATTCTGCAGCAGACAACTGGAGACTGAACTGAGTTTGAATTGAGAGGCTGGCCAGAAGGTTGACATTTCAGAGCCAAACTCATAGAGGGAATTTGATGCCTTTGACAGGGATGGATGAACTCTCTCAAGCAAGGCCCATTCAGAACAAGGCAGTTAGAGAAGGGAGAGAGCCAGCATTAAAGGTAGTTATGGAGAAGGGGAAACAAAGTAAAATCTCATAATGGGAGGTAAGAGCTTTAAATGCAGAGGGTTGTCTCTCAGGCACCGTGGGCTGCTATCACAGAATACTGTAGCCTGGGTGGCTTAAACAACAGACATTTATTTCTCACAGTTCTGGAGGCTGGGAAGTCCAAGAATAGAGTGCCAACATGGTTGGTTCTGGTGGGGCTCTCTTCCTGGTTGCTGACAACCACCTTCTTGCTGTGTCCTCACATGGCAGAGAGAGAGGAAGCAGATGTCTCTTCTTAACAGGGCACGAATTCCATTCATGAGGCTGCACCCTCATGACCTAATCACCTGCCAAAGGCCTCACCTCCTAATAACATTACCCTGGGGGGCTAGGGTTTCAATATATGAATTTGGTGGGGACACAGACATTCAGTTCATAACAGGAATCATTAGTATCATAGGAGAGAGAAGGAAAAATAAAGCACACATGAGACCCAGTGGGAGGAATAAGAGTGGAGGACAAAGGGCAGAGGGCTGGGAAGCATGTAGAGAGAAGGAACTGATAGAGCAGATGTGGATAGGAAGGTTAAGAAATCTGACAACGAGCAGGAGGCTACAGCTGCAACCATCGTTTGGAGGAGCCTTGCCCTCCAAGGAGAGTGTGAGGTGTGCTTATGGAAAGGTGCATTGACCTCAGGGCATGCATGTGGGTGAGGTGGGATTAATCACACAGAAAGCAGAGGGTTAAATCTAAAAGTGAAAATGAAAATAATACCCAATTTTAGCTATATTATTTCCCAGGTACCACATGGAATGCCCGTGAAGGTAAACTAGATATCAGATCTAAGTGCCAGTTTTAACTTTAAAAGGAAAACCAAAAAAGGGCCACACTCAGTAGCCATGTTCTTTACTACTTTAAATGCAAGCTTCCGTATTAATGTGACTGTGGCCATAACCCATTGCCTGCCATATGCTAGGCATTGAAGTCACCATGCTGTTATTTCTTCTTTGTCATGACAGTCAGTGTCAGAGTTATTATTACAGACCAGGACTAACAGCCCATGCTTTTTTTGCTCATCCACAGGGTATCATGGTTATAAACTTTAGTTATTTATTTCTTCAATAAACAGATACAGTAACCCCTTAACACCCCCATACGTGGAGAATACATTCCGAAACCCCAGTGGATACCTGAAACTGCAGCTAGTACCAAACCCTATATATACTAACTTTTTTTCTGCATACCTACCTATGATAAAGTTTAATTTATAAATTAGGTATAGTAAGAGATTAACAACAATAATTTAGAAATAATTATCACAACATACTATAATAAAATTTATGTGAATATGGTTTCTGTCGCCCTCTCAAAATATTTTATTGTACTGTACTCACCTATTTTCAGACCCTGGTTGACCATGGGTAAGAAAAACCACAGATAAGGCAGGACTACTGTATACACATCTGTTTTTAGCTGGTGCTCTCTAGGTATCTCTGCACTGGGCATCAGGCCAACTGCTGGATCTCCAGGGGAGAATGACAGACATAGTCCATCCCTACCTGGACGTCACAGTATAATAAAAGATAAGCTAGTAACACACACATGCACATAGTTGCAATGAATGTGAAGCATAGTAAAGGAAAAAAGTGGGTTCGTGAGAAAATAAAGGTGGGACTTCGTTGAGATAATTTAACCAAGGAAAGCATTTGAGCAGGTGACATAGCACCTGAGACCTAAAGGATATGTGTGAGTCCTTACAGGAAAGATTCTGGGCCAAGGAGGAACGATCCTGAGAGTGTTGAGGGAAGAAAGCTCACAAAGCAGGAGGATGAGGAATAAAGAAAGGTCATGCGTAGAGAGGTGGAGAGTTAGGCAGGGGCTGCCCAGGTCACAGAAAGGGTCTTCTGTTTAATTCTCTCTGTAATTCTCTGTAACTGTAGAATTAAGGTGAAGGAAAAGTATGAACCCATTGAAAAGATCATACAGATCACTAAACGGAAAATGGATTGAGGTGGGGACAGAGAGGAGGAATGAGGGGCCATCTCAGCTGCTCTGTGCTGGGGCAGATGGTAGAAGTGAAAATGGGGAGAATCCAGTAGCCTCAATGCTATTTTGAAGGTGGAAATCCTGCCATGAAATTACTGATGCATCGTGAAAGAAGGCAGTTTAAGAATGGCTCCCGGGATACTGGTTTGATCAACTGAGTAGATGGAAGAACTTTTACTAAACTCAGGAAAATTGGAGGAGAAGCCAATTCAAAGAAGACAGCCACATGTGCTTTTTGCCTCATTATGTTTGCAATAACTGTGAGGTATCCAAGTGGAGACTAAGTGGTCAGATGTACAAAACCAAGGTAAAGTTCAGAAGAGAGTTGGGGGCTTGAAATATAAACCTGGAAAGTGTTGGCGTTTGGGTGATATTTAAAGACGTGGCTACTGACAGCTTCATCTGTGGAGAAAGCATAAGTGAGCATAAAGGAGCTCAGAGTGGAGCCCTGGGGTGTCATTTACATGTCAGATAGCCACAGAAAGTCCAGCCAAGAAGAGTCAGAAGGGGCGGCTGAGAAGTACTCAGATGAAACAGGAGAGCCAGGTGTTATTGCAGCAACAGAGGAGAATGTTCAAGGAAGAAGTCATCAAAGACAACAAACACAAGGAGGCAAATACAACAGGGAATGACACACCCACAGTATTGGTAACAGGGCCATCCCGTGGATCTTAGCAAGAATAGTCTTGGAGGAAAGGCCAAAGCTGAGGCCAGCTGGCACCAGGTTGAAGAATGAATGAAGGATATTCATTGGAATTTCATTCTAGATCAAAAGACTCAGTGTGGTGAGATGACAGTTCCTCATGAATTGGTCTCAAAATACAGTCCAAATGCTCAACATTTCAACATGGATTTTTGTGGAATTTGACAAAATAATTCTAAAATACCTATTGAATACTAAAGGTCTGAGACAGCAGTGGGGAAAAAAAAGGAGGGTGGATGGAGAGATCAATGTTTTAAATGAACAGTAACTACAATATGTGGTATTCCTGCCTGGGCTGGTACTGTGGGAGAAACTGGAAAGCCTAGAACAGGCCTTGGACTATGTAGGAACTTGTACAAAATAGAGGCAGCCTTATAAATCAGCACAAGCTCTGCTGTGGGAAGGTTGGGAAAGGTGGGGATATGAGGTGAGGTTGAGAGATGAGCCACTTGGAGTATGGGATACCAGGCTGAGAATGGATGCATGGCCAAGTTCTTGTGCTGGACATGATGGGGTGATGGATTTGAGACCTGGTAGGGGAGAGAGTCTCTTAGGGGAGAATGAGCGCTTGGACCTAGCACCTGCTCCCACATGGCCCATGGCCCTGGTCCACAGCCTCCTGTCTCCCTCTCAGTCAGCCTCACCTCTCTGATGAGGAGTCAAAATAGGGAGATGTAAGTGAAGATTTCAGACGTTTCCATGTATCGTAATAGGACATAGTGAAGCAGGCCGCATGTGTTTTTCTGTTACTATTTTTGCTGTTTTCCATCGCTAATTCAAGTGGATTTTCCTAGAAATTGACCCATGCAGGAACAATCTTCCCATTGAACACTGTTGACAAAAAGAACCGTGGCAATGCCATCGTCACTTCTAACATTGAGAAATCCTCTAGAATATGCTCTTGGCTGGTAGGTACAGTGGATCATTGCAGCCATTGGAGCCCACATGAAGTTACTGATGACTGAAGTGTCCTGTGAGAGCAATGTTCTCAAGGGCATATTTCTTAAGGAATATACGTCTTGGGAAAGGGGCTAGTTTAGGTTCTGATTCTTGCTTTGCAAAATGATTTGTTGAAGCCAGGTTGCTAATGGGGTACAATAACATTCTGTCCGTAGTGTTTACATTTTCTGTTTGATGTGATCAAGCTTAGATCTCCCTTTCCTTTTCTCCTTCCTTCCTTTCTTCTTAGCTACACTGTTCAAGGGATTTTTTTTTAATTATGAAATTTGCTCCAGTCTTACTACTTAAGTGGGAAAAATGCAAACACTATTTCACAAAGTGTGTGTGTGTGTGTGTGCGTGTGTGTGTGTGTGTAATTCGAGAGACAGAGACAATGCTTAAATTCAGTTTCAAGAGTCCAGAGTCATGTAGGAACTATCCAGGAATTAAGCGATGTGTACTAGAGAGGTATTAGTCAGGGCTAGAGATTTAAATTTGGAAGACACTGGTGCTTAAATATTTAAGGCCCGATAGGGAATAAGATTACAAGGGAGGAAAGTGTAGACAGAGAAGAAAAAGGAGCTCAACACGGAGTCTTGGGCGCTTGAATATTCATAGGTTAAGAAAAGCAGAACCAAAAAAAAAAAAACTCTGTCTAGCTCAGGGTTGAGGACTGCATTAGAATTATAAATCTGAGAGTCATCAATATAGAGATATTTGAGTCCATGGGAATGAATGAAGGTACTTTCAATTAGTTTAAGTTAGATACAGTAACACATAGCCCCCAGATCTCGGCAGCTCAAACCACAAAGGTTTATTTTCTGCTCCTGGTGCACAGGGAAGTCAGGGCTTGCTACATGCCATTCTCCTCCAGGCTGATGGAGCGCTGCCATCAGGAGGTCACCAGGCTTAGGGGCAGGAGGAAGAGAAGGACTGGAGAGGTAAGCACTGGCAATTAAATGCATCCACTTAAAATGACATCTGCCACTTATATTTCATTGGTCAAAGCAAGTTACAGAGCCACGTGTAGCTTTGGGGAGGCCAGGAGCTGCAATTCTTCTGAGAGCCCAGAAGCAGAAGAAAAGTGGATATTAGTGAACAGTTTTAATGCCAACCACAGTCTATCCTTCTGGTCACTGAATATTTGATTCAGTCTTTTTGCTACACAAATATCAAAGGTAGTGGGAGACATCCTAAAGTCTCATCAGCCTCAAAGTCACGGGCTTCTGCGTGATGCCCAGTGGTCTCTTTGAAAGATGCAGATATAGCTTCTTTGAGTCTGGAGACCCATGGGCTAAATAAAAGAACAAGTTAGCTGATACCACGCAACCATACAGTCACACCCACACAACAACATGCAGTAGTAGAACAGGAATGGAATAACTGGGAGACAGGCGACTGTCAATGGCCATAGAAACCCTGAAATTCCACTGGGCAGAGGCTGTGAGGTCCCATCACCCTTGGTCGTTCAGTTTCCCAGCAGGGCAGGGACTTCATCTCCTACTCTCCTGGCCTTAGCTCCTCTTTGGAGAATAGGGCACTAAAGAGACCATGGCATCCTTGCAAGCTCGCAGCTTTCTCAGCCTGCTTCCTACCTGTAGTCATGTGGGGGGCTCTGGGCTCATTTTGTGTCTGGAGCAGTCCCAGGTCTCTGCTACATGAGGCTCCCGATCCCTCTGCCCCGCAATCACTCACAGCCCAGAGGCTTGGAATCTGGTGGGTCCCTATCAGCTGCAGGTGCCAGTTGCCATCCACATTCCTCTTGGAGATTTCAGATAAGTGGCATTTCTTTGCTTTCGTGCCCCCCACCCCTGCCCCTCTCTTGACTTAATTGTAGCTGGCTTCAACAGGAGGACCTACCCTTAAGCTCTTTTCCCTAAAACATCGTGTCTAGTTTTTCCACTGTGTGTGAGTCAGCCTTCAAACAACCATAATCCAGGGAACATTCCTTCAGGTAAAGGCTGGATGGTCCTTTCACATTGGTTTCAGGACCCCAGCACTCCTGCCCTTGTATTCTGACTGTGAAAGATGCGATCTCAGGTGTGTGAGAGCAACTGCATGGCTCAGCTTCTATGTATGCCCCCATTCTGTGAGTAGCAGAAACAATCCCAGTTCCTTGAAGCCCCACTCCAGCTTCTATCACCCATTCCTATCTCCTTAGGATTGCATCAGAGGCATATTGTGTATGATAAATGTGGTATTTCAAATCATTGATGAAGCACAGATCATGTAACTGTGTAGTAACACTTGGTCATCCATGTGAAAGCAATTCACTAGGGAAACCCTTTACCATTTGCAAATGTTACTTCCAGATGCATTAAAGTGTGAACATTTAGGAGAAAAATAACCCCAAGAACTATTACAAGGAGATATCAGAGAATAGTATTTATTTTACGGGAAGAATTTTCTAAGCAAACCCAAAACCCCACAAGCCATAGAAGAGAAACAGCACAGATTTTATTTCATTAAATTTTCAACTTCTGTAGGGAAAATCGTTTTTGTAAATGAAAAGACAAGCCACCAATGATAATGTAATGCCCGTAATACACAGAGTGCCTCAGATCAATAAGAAAAATGAGCAAGTAAAATTAACCAGGAAATATATACATAGGCAGTTCACCAAAGAAGAAATATAAATAGCCAATAAACATGTGAAAAGTTAACCAGCTCCGTGAGTAATCAGAGGAGAGCCAATTAACAACAACAACAAAACTCTGAGGTACCACGTTTTACTTACTATGTTGGCAAACAAAATAAGAAAGATGTCCAGTCTTGGCGAGGGTGTGGGGAGACGGCACTCACCTGGCTAGTGACTGGTGATGCGTTACTTGGTATATGGTCCTTGAAGGACAATATGGCGGTCTCTGTCTAAATTTTGCAATTCCATTTTGACCCAGCAACTCCACTTGCAGGATTTTTTTTCTACAGCAACTTCTGCCTCTGCAGGCTGAGAGAGTCAGACAAGTGTCCCAATTTTACTTTTGTTTTGTAATAGGAAGACAAAGCCCATGAAACAAAAATGGTTAAAGGAATCACAGTACATGTACACAAGGGAAAGCAATGCAGCAAGTCGGGGGAAATGAACTAGCTCTCTCTGGTGACACAGAGAAATATCTATGGCATAGGAAAAACAAATCACCCAAGAACATATCATATGATCTTAATTATATCATTGAAAAAGTTGAGGGCTTGAGTGTCAAGGGAAAGTCCAGAAGGATGTATGACTTGCGTTTCTTTCTCTCGGCAAGGCTGGCCTCCGAGATGAAGTGGCCAAATTTCATGGGCAAACGGGGGGCGGAGGGGGGGGGTGGCGTGCGGTGCGGGGGGCAGTTGGGAGTGGTACATATACTTTCAGAAGGCGGCAGGGCAATTGTGCCCCATGTAGCACTGGCACCACAAGCAAGGGCAGATTGTGTGGTGAGGTGGGGCAGCACCTCCAGAGCTGCGCCATCAGCTGAGTAGTTGGCTGGCAGGCCTCCGGGCCTCCTCCAGCAGTTTCAATCCCTTGCCACGCAGCCATCCCGAGTTCTCAGGCTCTGCAGGAGCTCCCCTCCTTTCTGGCTGGGCTCCATGTCCTTGCATCCTTCGCCTCCTTGCCCTCCTGCATCCTATCTTCCACTCTCCTGACTTCTGCCCCATGGTCCTCATGGTGGAATCACTGTCCTAGCTAGTAGGAAGGACTGCTGGTCATCTTTGCAGCAACGCTGAGGCACTCCAGCCAGCAACATCTTCCCTGCTCTCTTCCCATCTACACTGCTGTCAGGGGGCTAAGAGGATTTGGGTCACAGCTGCCCAGGCAATCAGACAGGCCAGGGACTCAGAACTTTCCTTTTTGACAGCCAGTTGGAAATCCCATGGCCTCTGTGTGTATTGCTGTCTCTGGGATGTAATCTTATATTGTCTAGGCCTCTGTTTTGCCAACTGTAAGACCACGAAGTGGACAAGGACCACTGTGCTAGGGACCTTTCAACCCAAACATCCTGCAGCCCAGCCTGGCTCATTAGCAGTTCCTCCTGGGCCCTGGGTGGTGGCAACTCTGCTGGCTCTGGTCACTCCCTGGGCCGCAGTGGTCCTGCCTGCATTCCATCCCTCTTCAAACCAGCATCCCCAGACCTCTTTCTGTGATGAACCTCGTCTCCCTGACAGGGCCACCATTCCATGCAAACTGTCACTCCATGCCACGTGGCTGTGCATTGAAACTGGCAGTGCATTCAGGAGTGTGTTTGCAAACCTGCGATTTCCAGCCAGTGAGAGTGTTTGGAGTCGGTGGGCACCCATGTCTGTTCTGTGAGAAGCTGCCCATTTTCTGAGAGATCCATGAATATCTACCAAGAAGCCTTGTGTAATGGCCATAGAATATATACCTGTGTAGACCTGGACAGCTTGGTTTTCTCTAGATGGGCGCTGTGGCAGGCTTGGAAACTTCAGGGCCATTCCTGCGTGGCTGAGGTGAGGAGGGACTGACTGTGTCCATACCAATCAGAGCTCATCCTACACCCTCTCCCAGTCCCTGCCAGAGATTCCCTTGACCTCAGAGGGATCGGGGGCCCTTCACTCCCTATGGTATGTCATGGCTCAATAACCAGAACCTGCAAGGGCTGATGAGACTGTGCCACAGACTGTGTGCCACTGTGCCTTCATGGCACAGTCCTGGCAGATCCTCCCTTAGTCTAAGTTCACACAAGCAGACCCCGCCTCTTCTCCTTCAGTTATTTATCCATTCCCTCAGGCAGGCAGGCAGCAGAGTTTTATTGAGCACCGACTTCGAGCCAGATGCTGCACTGGGCATCGGGAATTCAGTAAAAAGATGCAGTCCCTGGCCTAGGAGCCTGGGTCCGATGCGGAGGCTGCTGTGCAGCGCATTTGCCTTCAGTCCCGTGACACAGCCAGGCTGTGAGGAGCAGGCATCCCTGGTCTTCTCTGTGGGATACACTTTCATGGTTTTTCAATGGTCTTCATTTATTTAAGGTAAAATTTTAATTTTATGGGCAGAAAAAGGAAACCAACTGTTGATCACGTTGATTTAGAAATGATTACATTGTTTTCTATTAGACAGAGTTCTTAATGTCTTTCTCAAAAGATGGAGGAGGAAATGAGTGATAGGGCTTTGTCTTTTTTACTTGATTTTCAACTCATTCTTTAAAAATGCTTGAAAAGGCTAACTGTGGCTGAAGACCACTGTAAGGGAGGAGAAAGCAAAACCTGCATTGACGAAGGAAAGGCAGCATCTCTGGCGGAAATTAATCACCTAAGCCACCTACTATGACTGCACAGGAGACAAGTGGTGGCCCAAAGGCTCTGTGTGTTTACAGTGTGGACATTTGAAGCAGCATCAGCATGGCCTTCACACAAACCTCATGATACTGTTCTAATGCCTTCTCCCCAGTTGTAAACCATCTGCTGCCTTGTACTGAAATATTGCACCCTGCTGACCTCAAAAGCAACAAGCATTCATGTACACACACACTGCGTATCCAGACATATAGATACATAGATGTGTGCATGCAGCATACACACTGATTACATAGAGGTACAGTCATATGTTGCTTGACCACAGGGATACAATCCGAGAAATACGTTTAGGTGATTTTGTCATTGTGTGAACATCGTAGAGTGTGCTTGTACAAACCTAGATGGCATAGCCTACTACATGCCTAGGCTATGTGGTATAGCCTGTTGCTCCCAAGCTACAAACCTGTACAGAATGTTGCTGTACTGAATACTACAGGCAACTATAACACAATGGTAAGTATGTGTGTTTCTAAACTTAGAAAAGGTATAGTAAAAATACAGCGTAAAAGATAAAAATGGTATACCTGTCTAGGGCACTTACCATGGATGGAGCTTGCAGGACTGGGAGCTGCTCTGGGTGAGTCAGTGAGTGAGCGGTGAATGTGAAGGCCAGGGTGGTGAATGTGAAGGCCAGGACATTACACTGCTGTAGACTTTAGAAACACTGTGCCCTTAGGCTGCACTAAATTTATTTTTAAAAATTAAGTTACTGTCCAGGTGCGGTGGCTCACGCCTGTAATCCCAGCATTTTGGGAGGCTGAGGCGGGCAGATCAGGAGGTCAGGAGATTGAGAGCATCCTGGCTAACACAGTGAAACCCCATCTCTACTAAAAATACAAAAAATTAGCCGGGCGAGGTGGCGGGCGCCTGTAGTCCCAGCTACTCGGGAGGCTGAGGCAGGAGAATGGTGTGAACCCCGGGGGGCAGAGCCTACAGTGAGCTGAGAGCGCGCCACCGCACTCCAGCCTGGGCGACAGCGAGACTCCGTCTCAAAAAAAAAAAAAAAAAATGAAGTTACTGTGCCATGATGTTATCAACAGCTATGATGTCACTAGGTCATGAGAATTTTTCATTATAATCTGATAGGACCACCATTGTATATGCAGACCATTGACTGGAACATCATGATCTATCTGCACATGACTGTAAATAACAACTATTGGATGTGGCACAGATGGAAGCTACATAAACACTCTATACAATATGGCCAATTCACCGGGCTCCCTGTTAGTCTTGTGAGCAATTTTAAACTCTTCCACGATTCTTTCTCTGCTTTGGAGTGTTTCAATTAATTCTCCATTATATTACAATTTACATTTTTATTAAGCCTTTACAGAGAGCAGCTGAATTTCTTAATTATTCTGTCAATAGAAATTATATTAGCGTTTAAGCTTAAAAGGGAAAAAATATAGTATATATGTGTCATATATATTGAAGCACCAGGAAACTTGAGGAAGGGGACATGGGCTATCCCCAGACGGGGAGGATGGTCGAGGCCTGAGGCTGGAGTGTGTATGGTCAGAGGGGTGAGGGGACACTTTCAGGGAGTAGCCAGAGGGAGTGTGCTGGTGGGGAGAAAGGGAGAGGAAGTAGTTTATATCAGAGAGGAACAGGGTATCACATCATTCAGAGCATTGTAAGATGTGGTAGGACTTGGCTTTTCTTCTGAGTAAGATGTGATGTCATTGGAGAGGCCTGGGCAGAGGGACTTAATCCAGTTCAGTTTAACAAGATCACCGTGGCTGGTGTTTGAAAACCAGAAGTCAGCCTGGCAGGGCAGGGACGCTGGCAAGGAGAGAGCTGCAGTATTGCAAGGGAGGAATGACGGTGCTTGAGGATAGTAGCAGAGGAACAGTGCCAAGAGGAGGGCTGTCTCTTCAAATTATATTTAGAACCCAACAGGACTTGCTGATCGGCCAGATGCAGGTGTCAAAAATGTTAAAGTTGACTCCTGCATCTTTGGTCTGAACAAATGGAAGCTTGAGGTTGCCCTGATCAGAGATGTGGAAGATTACAGGAGAGTTTGATTTGCAAGGAAATACCAGCCTCTCTGCAGCTGAGTTTTGGCATGTTTACTTTCAGATGTGCATTACATGTCCAAGTTCTTGAGAAAATAAGGGAGTATGTTGGAGCCAACAATGAAGGAGGGATTTCAAACATAATGCATGGGCGAGCAATGGTGGTGCACGCCTGTGATCCCAGCACTTTGGGAGACTGAAGATCGCTTGAGTGCAGGAGTTCAAGGCTGCAGTGAATTATGATTGCACTACCGCACTCCAGCCTGGGCAACAGAATAAGACTCTGTCTCTAAAATAAAAATAAAACATAATGCCAGAACTTTCATGAATGTGAACCAATAATGCATTTCTCAGTAATGTAAAACAATGGGAAAAAATGACCAAAGACATAGATCCCAACAACAAAGTGATGAGACTCTATCTAATAGAAGCCTGTAGAATAGCAGGTTATATAAAGTCAGAGGGTTTACACAGTTTTTTTTTTTTCCTAATCACTTATTCAGCATACATGTATTGAGTTCCTCATGTGGACCAGGGAGGTGCCTTAGAAGGATAATAAAGAAATGTGAATCACAAACCAACTGCTTATAAGCCTAAACAAACAAGCACAGTGCACAGTCCATGATAATAATGGAGTCATGTGGTAGCAGCAAGATTTGGGACGGGAACATGAGAAGTTGGGGAAAGCTTCTAAGGGGGCTGTTTAACAAGTGCTGGGAATTATCCAGCCAATAAGTGGGTGGTGCCATTAGAAGAGCTGCAGAGAAGCATGATGTGTTTGCAGAACTAGCACTTCAGGAAAAAACAAGTGGCCAAAGAGTGATGGGGCTTGTGTGATGAGCACTGGGACAATTTGAGCCTCAAACTACTAATTATAGTAACAGGTGATTATTTATTAAATAGGTGATGATTCTTAAGAAAAATGCATATGTTTGTATTAAAAGAAAGAAATGGATGAATAGAGAAATAAATGGGGGAGAAGGGAAAGTGCTTTCTTATAGTGGAGTGTCAGCTAATAAATGTAGGAGAAAGGAAGGAAATAGTCACCATTTGATGACCACCAAGTGCTAATTGTTGCAAACAGAAATTTCATTCCATGCTAAAACCAATGGTGGAGAAATTTAATGAGAAACAATATTTACAAAGAGTATATCTCTGCAAGATACAAACACAAAAATAGTAACTATTTAGGGGTGGGACCTGATGCACATCACCTTAGCCAAGAGGTCAACATAAGCATCATCAACATGGACCAAGTAGACATGATTTGTCCCTGAGGTGGTTCACAGGGGACAGAGCATCACTTCCACAGTGTTCCTGCCAGCAATACACAACAGAGTCTAATCATGAGGCCTCACAGGGCAGACCCAGACTGGGGACATTCTACCCTAAGTAGGGTATCAGGGTTGCAGAATGATAGACTGAACCCTGCCCAAGGATACCATCTCTCACCAGTTAGAATGGCAATCATTAAAAAGTCAGGAAACAACAGACGCTGGAGAGGATTTGGAGAAATAGGAACGCTTTTACACTGTTGGTGGGAATGTAAATTAGTTCAACCATTGTGGAAGACAGTGTGGCAATTCCTCAAGGATCTAGAACTAGAAATACCATTTGACCCAGCAATCCCATTACTGGGTATATACCCAAAGGTATATAAATCATTCTACTATAAAGACACATGCACATGTATGTTTATTGCAGCACTGTTCACAATAGCAAAGACTTGGGACCAACCCAAATGCCTATCAGTGATAGATTGGATAAAGAAAATGTGGCACATATACACCATGGAATACTATGCAGCCATGAAAAAGGATGAGTTCATGTCCTTTGTAGGGACATGGATGAAGCTGGAAACCATCATTTTCAGCAAACTAACACAGGAACAGAAAACCAAATATCGCATGTTCTCACTCATAAGTGGGAGTTGAACAATGAGAACACATGGACGCAGGGAGGGGAACATCACACACTGGGGCCTGTTGGGAACTGGGGGGCGAGGGGAGGGATAACATTAGGAGAAATACCTAATGTAGGTGACGGGTTGATGAGTGCAGCAAACCACCATGGCACATGTATACCTGTGTAACAAACCTGCACCTTCTGCACATGTATCCCAGAACTTAGAGTATAATAAAAATTTTTTAAAAGAAAAAAAGTGATAGACTGAGAAACTGTTTCAGATTTTCAAAAACTAGATTAGAAACATGAAAACGAAATGCAATGTGGGATCCTGGACAGAAAACAACCATTTTGTTACAAAGGACATTGTTGGGACAATGGATGAAACCTGAATAGTATCTGTAGAACAGACTTGTATGTGGAGAGAATGATAAATGTAAAACTTTAACCTTTGAGGGGATCTAGTTGTGAGGTTATGTAGGAATTCTGTATACTATTTTTGCAAGTTTTCTATATATCTGAAATTATTTCAAAATAAAATTTTAAATAAAGTAGGCAGAGTTAAAGAAGGCCTTTTATGCCACATTATCGAGCAGGATGTGTGACGGCCCCACAGGCCACAGGCTTTGTGGCTCATCCCCACGGTGAAGGCCTCTGGGCAGCTTCAGCCAGGGACTTCCCCATGCAGCCTCCTCCCTTTGTCCATATGCACAGATTCTGCATAGTGTAGTCCAGGTACCTAGCCCTGGGAAGTCTTCATCTTTTGATAACTTTTAATCTGCAAAGTATCTCACTATAATTGATAGGCCAGGTTCCATGCAGCATTCCCCACTGTTGGATTCTCATCAGTTTGCCTCCAGCGTGCCTTTGAGATGCGGTAACAAAGGTATCAGAACATGTGTTGTCTCTCCCCACTGCACATTCTCACGGGAGCCATCGCTGGTCCATGTGTGCCCATGGTCTGAAGGCTCATGCTCCCCGCTGTCCTGTTGCTCTCTGTGGAGGCTGTGCCCACTCACACGTCATTTGCTCCTCCATCTTTGAATGCTAATGTATCTCAACAAGATGATCTCCTTTTAGAACACAGAGCAAAAGTGTTAATACAAATTCCATTATTGAAATAACATATGTAATAATATATAATATGTAATTAATCAGTATGTAATATATTAATCAATATTACATATAATACATAATATGTAGTATGTATTATATAATGTATATAAATATATAAAAATATATTTGTATATTTTATATATAATACATGTGTATTATGTTATATGTATTTTATATACTATTATATATAAAATATGTTTAAATAATATAATTGTAAATTATTTTATATATATAAAAAACACATATTTCTCATGCTATTATCTGTTTCTTTGGGTTTCTGCCAAAAAATCGTTTTTATATTTATATTATAAATTATAAACATTTTAATATGTATATATTCGTTTTTATAGTTTTTATAACTATCTAACTTCCTTACAAACCAGCATGAGCCACAGCTCTCTCTATTTGCGTCTCACTGCACCACTGCACTGTGGGCAGCACCCGTTCTTATTGTACCCTCAGAACAGTGTGCAGCCTAGCACCTGTAGGAAGGACTCGATAGAATTTTCTTGAATGGAAATAGCAGTGTACCCTTCAAGAAAGGGTCACTTTGGAGTTAGGAAAAGGATGAAATGCTCAGAGATAAAGCAGAGGAATGTGTTGAATGGCCAGTTGACTTTATAATTTTCATTTATTTCTTCAACTTGTTTTCACTGAGTGGCTGCAGCATCCCCTGAACTGTGTACTAAGGTCCCAAGGATAGAAAAGACAAAACAAGCAAGTTCCCAGAACTTAAATTCTCCAGGGAACAGAATGGCATATATGACTGGCTGGATGGATCAATGAATGGACAGATGATGTATGTAGTGTTATTACAGACAATGGTAGTGCTACAAAAGAAGTGATTGGTACTGCAGTGAAATAATGGGGAATGTAGTTCAGCAAGGAAGTCAGAGAAGGCTTCTTAGCAGTGGTGAAATTGAAGCAGACACTTGAACTAAAAGGAGGGGGAAGGGAAGCACTGTGGAAGCTCTTCCAGGTGAAGTCAGTGCCAGGGCACAGAGGCCAAGGAAGCAGCAGGCTGTGTGTGGGGCACACAGAAGGCTCAGCCTGCAGTGCTGGTTCTGGACAGCCAGGTGCCATCTGAAGCTGCAGAGGTGGAACAGCGAAGTGAGGCAGGACAGTTGAAGGCTTGGAAAGAAGTTTGGTCTCACTCCAGTGCAGTGGGAAGCTATTGTTGGGTTTCAAGCAAGGTAGGATGTGACATAATTTACATCTTTTGTTTTGTTTTGTTTTTTTGAGACAGAGTCTCACTGTTGCCCAGTCTGGAGTGCAGTGGTGCGCTCAGCTCACTTCAACCTCAGCCTCCCAGGTTCAAGCAATTCTCCTACCTCAGCACCCTAGGTAGCAGGACTACAGGTGCCCACCACCACACCCGGCTAATTTTTGTATTTTTAGTAGAGACGGGGTTTCACCATGTTGGCCAGCCTGGTCTGAAACTCCTGAACTCAGGTGATCCGCCTGCCTCGGCCTCCCAAAGTGCTGGGATTATAGGCGTGAGCCACCACGCCTGGCCAATTTACATCTTTTAAAGATTCTTGTGGCTGTGTTGAGAAGAAATTGGAGAAAGGGGCAGACTGTGGTTTGCTCATGTTAGTAAAAATACTTAAACTAAATGAACTGATCAATAGCACACCAGCAAATGTCCAGCTGAATGCCACTAATGCTGTTTTTCAAAAATGTGTGCTGACAGAAGTTGGAAAAGTCCTTCACAAGCTTATTTATTAGCTTTGCATAAGGGCTGTTTTATGGCCCGTAGATTTTTGCGGCTCATTGTTTTTATTGAAGAATAATGTACATACAGAAAAATGCACATCAAATGTACAACTTCATGAATTATAAAAAAATGTAAATATGCCTTTTTATTAAATAATCACTGCCCAGCTCAAAAACTAGAACATGAGATGCAGGCATCTGCCCCCTTGAGCCTTCTCCCTATTCTTTCTCCTTTATTCAGTCTTTCCATTCTCCTGACCTCTCACCTGCAGTTTTGCCTATTTTTAAACTCAGTGTGATGAATGGAATGAAATAATGTTTGCTGTGTGTACCACCAGTTCATTCATTCATACTACGCTATTCATGTACTATTTGTCCGTGTGTGAGTATACTGTAGTTTATCCATATATTCCAATTGTCCAGTGGATCCATTGGTTATCATTTGGGCTGCTTCTAGTTCTTAGTCCTATGGCGATATTTCCTGTATTTTTTGGTGCACAGGTGTACACATTTTGGTTGTGTAGGTACCGAGTGCTGAAAGTACTGGCTTACAGGGGTTGTGTAGGATGAGCTGTGGTAGATTCTGCCAAGCGGTTTTTCCAAGTTGCCTTACTAATTACACTCACACCAGCTCCGTGGGAGGGCCCTGGTTGCGTCACATCTTTGCCAACACTCGGTATTTTCAATTTTTGTAATTTTAGACATTCTGGTGGGTATCTAATTTTCATTTTAATTTAATTTCACTGATGACTAATAAGGTTGAGCAACTTTTCATTGATTTTTGGCCATTCAGATGTCATCTTGTGAAGTGTATGTACAAGTATATTTCCATTTTGCTATTGAATTGACTGTTTATTTCTTATTAACTTCTGAAGTGTTTATTCAGGGTACCAGTCCTTTACTGAGTCTATGGATTGCAATGATGTTTTCTCTCTGTGTAGGTTGCTTTTCACCTTCTCTAGGTTGTTTGCTAGTGCAGAGAAGTTCTTAATGTATCTACTTTATCTGTTAGGGTTTTTTGTTGTTGTCGTTATTGAGACAGAGTCTCTCCCTGTTGTCCTGGCTGGAGTGTAGTGGCACGATCTCAGCTCATTGCAACCTCTGCCTCCTGGGTTTAAGCGATTCTTCTGCCTCAGCCTCCCGAGTAGCTGGGACTACAGGCGCCCACCACCACACTCGGCTAATTTTTGTATTTTTAGATGAGACAAGGTTTCACCATGTTGCCCAAGCTTGTCTCAAACTCCCCACCTTAAGTGATCTGCTCGCCCCAGCCTCCCAAAGTGCTGGGATCACAGGTGTGAGCCACCGTGCCCAGCGTACTTTACCATTTCAATAGTAGTTTTGGCATCTTGTTTCAGAACTCTCTGCCCATCCCAAGTTCATGCAGATGCTCCTCCATGTTGCTTTCTAGAGGATTTATTGTTTTACCCTCTACATTCAGAAACGCCATCAACTTGGAGTTGATTTTCATGTATACTGTGAAGTAAGAAGACAGATTTTCTCATATGTCTTTCCCATGGACTCAGCACATTTACTGTGGACATAAATACTCTCTCAAATACTCCACAATGTCATTTTTGTCAAATATGACCTCTATAAAGCCACATGCAACGGAATGTCAGTATTGAAGTTTGACAGCAATATGGAAGTGTAACAGATGACACATCTAAAATGAGATGCCAGGCCAGAAGCCCCAGTTAGGAAGGAATGAGCTAGGATCATTTCCCTCATTTTTGAACACCTTGAACTGATCAAGAATATAAAGAAGGAATCAGATGTAGGGAGGAGAAAGGATTCTGTGAAGAGAAATTTTTGAAAAAGCTGTTAGAATGCCACTGTCAACTCAATGTCCTTCTGTTTCTGGGGCTTGGGGAAGGTGACCTACCCCTCACCTGGAGCCTTTAGGCTGAGGATCAAGAGAGTGTTGAAGATAAAGGTGCCAATGCTTGGATCTGGGCATCTCATGAGTGAGGAAAGGGACCAGGATGCATTCCTTACGGTTGTCAGAGTGCGTGAGGACCATTATGGCCCCCGGATGGGCCGTGCCTGTGGGAGCTGGCAGGGGTGGTGTTGGGCCCTGTCACTGGGGCAGCGTGGAAGGAGAGAGGGACCCGAGTAGCAAGAAGCTAGAGGAGGACTTCAGATGCCTAGTACGCTGACACTGCAGAAAGTGACTGTTAAGAGGAGGCGTGCAGCTGCCTGCGGTAGGAATGCTGCACGTGAGTGACCCCACCGTGGAAATCTCCAAAGAGGCTCCCAGGAGAGCAGCTGAGCCTCCTCCGGTGGCCGGACCCCAAGCCCGAGACAGGACATGAAGCAGTCCCTTCAGTCCAAAATGCTCCTTCCCCCACCTCCACACCACTACCCCAGAGCAGTTAGCAGAAGACAGATGCCAGGCACAGCACCTTCCCCAGGAAGGACCCTTTGGAATTCTCTCAACTAAATGCATTTTAAAGGGGCCAGAAAGAGATTTAAAACAATAAGTAAATAAGTTGCATTTTGATTACATCCCCAAAGTCCTGCTCTTTCAGTTTTCCTTTGAGCAGTTAACAACTGACCCTCTGCACCGCCCTAAGCAGAGGTAGCTGATCACTCAGGAGGGTCACTCTTGTGTGAGGGGAAGCCTCCCACTAGCCCAGAAGTGCTCTGGGCCATAATTGAGCTTTCATATTGCTGCACCATGTAGACGCTCAAGTGAGACAGAAACACAAAAACACAATAACTGCCATCTGCCAAGGAAGCAGGAAAAATCACCTTTCAGGCCATTGTCCTGGTAAGTGGCCATGGCCTTCCAGCCACTCAGCATTTATACACAGGGAAAGCCACTTTAAGTAATGCAGTTGATGTATCTTAATCTGAGATGACACAAACATCAAAGGCATTTCTTCTCCTTGATTTCCAATAATCTCAAATATGCATTCTTTTCATATGTTCTTTGAACCTCAGTATAAAACATGGAATCAACTCTCTAACTTAAAAGCAGTGCAGTTTTGCAAAGTATCTTGCTCTAAGAGATGTTAGGGAGGTGATGCCTTTGTCATTCCTGGTTTGTATTTTTCCATTTTCCAAAAACTCTGTAGGTATTACAGATATCATTGCATAATTTAGAATTTAATCCTCCTGGAGAGTCAGGTGTCTTCAAGGTGATTTATAGCAAGTGAAGCTTGCAGAATTCTGGAGAGTGGTGATATAAAGTAAGGTAAGGCAAGAGAGAGGGAGAAACAAAGGAAGGAAAACATGTTTTATGTGGGCTTCCAGTTATGGAAGTGTAAACTGCATCCTGGGAGACAGAACAGAACCGGGAAAAGAATATGACAAATACAGATTCATTGATCACCATGAGTGTGCCCTGATTTTGTAATAGAAATAAGGAATAAAAATGTTATCAGTCACAGCCTTTAAGTGATAGGATTCTAGATCATTGTTATTTTCATCTTTGTTTCTTATGTGTTTTCTGAACTTTCCCTAATAGACATCTGTCAGTTTTGTAACCAGAAAAACATACATATTAAATGAGCACAAAGGTGTTGAAGACTTCAACTCTATTTGCTATTCACCATAGAAAGGGTTTTGTTTTTTTTTTTCCTAGTCAGGCCACAATCAATTCAGCTGAATAAACATGAACCGAAATACACACCTGCACATGCTCCTCAGGTGAGTGTTCTGAAGGACAGGCACCCACCACTGGGCCACCGGGACTTGAATTTCACCCAGCCGCACGGCCATGGGAATACCTGGGAGGACAAGGTAGCTGGGCAATTAGAAAGAAAGACTCCCCTACCCCAAGTTTGTGGCCTGGGGGCCCCAGATGCTTGGCTATTGCAGGAGGTAAAGCTGTAGAAATTGACTGGGACTGCTTCTATGGACAGCAAAGGGAGAAACAGCAATACAATAATAGTGGATTTCAGTATTCCACTTTCAATAATGGATAGCTCTTCCAGACAGAAAATCAAAAAGGAAGCGTGGGTGTGAACAGCAGTGTAGGCCAAGTGGACCTAACAGACATTCACAGATCATTCCACCCGGCAGCAGAAGAACACACATTCTTCTTATTTCTTACTGCCCAGCTGTTGGCCTTGTCCTCCCAGGTCTCCCTCTGGTGCCCCCTGCCCTGAGGTCTTGCTGTCCTGCTCTGCACCTCTATGCAGGGCTGGAGGCCATTCTGGATGTCTGAGAACTTTTCTGGCAGGTATTCCCATGGCCGTGCGGCTGGGTGAAATTCATGTCCTGGTGGCCCAGTGGTGGGTGCCTGTCCTTCAGAACACTCACCCCAGGAGCACGTGCAGGTGTGCGTTTCAGTTCATGTTCATTCAACTGAATTGATTGCGGCCTGACTAGAAAAAGCCCTTTCTGTGATAAATAGCAAATGGAGTTGAAGGCTTCAGTGCCTTTGTGTTTGTTTAATATCTACGTTTTTCTGATTACAAAAAAGACAGATGTCTATTAGGGAAAGTGCAGAAAACACATAAGAAACAAAGACAAAAGTGACAATTAGGATCCTACCACTCATGGCTGTGACTGATAACATTTTTATTCCTTATTTCTATTACAAAATCAGTGCACACTCGTGGTGACCAGTGACTCTATTTGTCGTATTCTTTTCCCACTTCTGTTCTATCTCCCAGGATGCAGTTTATACTTCCATAACTTTTTCTGTACTTACACAAACATGACTATTTATAGGGTTTTATTTTGTTTTGTTTGTTTTGTCTTAACAAAAGGACTTAGACCATATATTCCTCTGCAACTTGTTTTCTTTAGTTAACAATAAACTATGGAAGCATTCCCAGATACACACACACTTGTGTGTGTGTATAATGTATGTGTGTGTATATATATATACACATATATTTGCATATACACACATACAAAAACATTTTTTAAGGCAGCTGCACAGTCCTCTTTCATGGGCAGCAGGCCTGCATATAGAACCACCACACACAGATATGCAAAGCAAATGGAGCTTTATTTTCCTCTAACTGATGTGTCCTCCTGTGCTCTGTGTTCTGTCTCTTCCCGCCCTCAGCCTTTCCATCAGTGTCATCCCATGCTCTGCGGCTGTAAATCCTCTTTGGTGAATGCCCGGTTCTTCAGGACCCCATCTCCTCCTGGTTCCCTGGCCACATCATCTGTTGTGCAAATGTAAAACTCTTGGGAGTGAGGGGGCACTTTAGTAAGGACACTGGAGCCACAAGTGTATCCGGGGATCTCATAGCTGTCCCTATGCAGGTTCCCAGGTGCCCCACGTGTGTGCAGGCTGGTGTCCAGAGAATGCTGCTGGGTTTGTCCACACCTGTGGTGCCCCGCTGGCACCTTTGTGGACGTCTGCATCTCATGGAGTTCCTGCCCTTTCCTGTGAGTGCTCATGCCCCTGGGTCCCTCAGCTCTCTGCTTCTGAGTCTGCCAGTCCTGCTTTTCCAGCCCTGAGTCTTGGGGATTCATCCTGTGGTCCTAGGCCATAGCATCCTTGCTCTAGCAGGCGTAGCTAGGAGGTCTGGCCTGTTCAGCCCTCTGCAGGAGCGCACACAGCTCTTCCTGGGCACGACCTGGGAGTGGCCTGTGCTCTCTCTCCCTCTCTGTCCTGCAGGTCTTTTGCATTACCTTGTATGCTGTGGCATTCTGCTCGGATTCTGTCTAGTCTCTTCCCACAATCCCAAAGAGGAGCAGAGTGTAATCTACTCCTCGACTGCTGTCACTTTCACATCTTCTCTGACATTCCCCTCCACTGGGGCCTTGGGCCCAGAAACAGCCCAGGCCACCTGTATCTCTCACTGCCTCCTTCCCCAGCTTCCTCCCCGTCAGAGTCCCTTGAAGTGGGGCTTTCCATTTCTTAGTCATCGAGTCTTGAAGTCCCCTTGTCCGTGACAGATAGTAAAATTCTCTGTCTGGGTCTCCCTCAAAAGACCCTTGAAATGCTAATGGAGCTATTGGAATTTAGAAAATTGGTTAATTGCTTCCTCTTCCTCCAATAAACCTGGATTTCTAGAGGATATTCTTGCTAAGGAGGTTAAGAAAAGTCAGCACTAAGGCTCAGGGCTGATCAGTGGCCTCTTTGATTCTGAATATAAATCAGTCTTAAAGAGGAGGGCTGCAAAGGAAACATGACTTAAGGAAGAAAGATATGACAGTGCGAAAGTGTATGCTCATTACAATATAGTGCGGCTGCGTCCAAATTCCTCCCGCCTCTCCCCTATGGATGGTGGTCACGCTTTTGCCATCCCAAATAATGCTGAGGAGGGGAAAGCCTCTTACACATGTCTTCTTCTTTATTAAAACTCTTAATTTCTGTGGAATAAAATCCTAACACTGTGATGCAAAGGGCATGTGCAATTTAACTTTTTAAATCTGCTGATTCATCTTTTTTCGATCCATGCTCTCACCATTAATGTATGAAGTGCTGTTTCCCCACATCTTTACCACCACCGGATGTTAGAAACTCTTTTTAAGTTTTACAGTCTCATTAGATTAAAAAGCAAAAGTGTCTTGTGTCATCTCACATTTGCTTGACTGCTTGTGCGGGGCAGGTGGTGTGTGCTTTCACAGGCTGTCAGCTGTCCCCAGCCTCTCTTTTACAGAAGTGGCTCCTGCCCATTGTCTCCTAAGGCTGTTCTCCCTTTTAATTCTCTATGGTGCAGGCTCTTTATATATTAGGAACTCTAACTTTTGGTCAGATGGGTTGGAAGTTTCTCCCAATCTCTTTTTTACTTTGTATATATTATATTTATGTTTTACCATAGGAATTCATACCAAAAGCAAGAAGTATGACAAGTATGACTTTTTATTAAAGGACTTAAAAATCTAGATAAATGAAAAATTATACTGTACTCCTGGATGGGGAAGCTGAATTTGAAGCCATCAGTTATTTTGAAATTAACATGTATTTGTAATGCAATTTTGGTCAGTACTCTAGGTTTTTGTTTTAACTGAGCCCAAGCTGTCCAGCAATGTCAGCAAGAAATTCTTCAAGAAGAATAGTAAGAGGGGTCTTGTGTCATCTATAAAGGTGTCACATAGCTACACTCATCAAAAAATATAGTATTGGTGCCAAAAATGAAAAAAATTAAAATCACTGAAAGAAGAGATTTTGCAAACAGATCAAAGTATAGATATATTTTAACTCACTTGGAAAAGATGGCATATTTAATAAGTATCTTGTTGTAATCAATGATGTTGGAAGGGAATAAAATTGGATGCCAACACTGAGGCACGCACATGAATAAATTCCAGATGGGTTTTGAACCTAAATGTAGAGCAAAAAAATCCAATTATGTAAATAGTAGGAAAAAGAGTAGAATGTGATCCATATAATCTCAATTGAGAGAGGTCTTCTTAAATAATGCAGGAAACCCAGAATGATAAAGAAATAGAGTGGCAGATATGGCTATATGAAAACAGTTTAGCATCTTTTCCTTTAGTCTTTTACATATGCAGTTTTACATTCTTGAGGTTTTTTAATATATATGGTTTTCTCTTGATTTTTTTCACTTCCTAAGTGTTTCCCCAAGAAATATAAAACTTCAAAAATGTAATTTCAGTATCTATGTTCCAGTTTATACATGTGCTGTCATTTAATTAGAACTTACCATTTTTAAACACAAGCCACAGTTCTTTGAAATTATATTTCAAAAGTAGAAAACACATTCCATAATATCTTGAATAGATCTGAATAGAATCTTGACATGCAAGACACATGGCATACCGTGGTAGCAACTCTCAGGATAAGACAAGTGTGCACTACATGGTAAACTAGACCTGGTGCTCATACATAGAATCCAAGGAGAAACAATGTTTAATAAGTTATTAGCATCATTTCATATAAATTGGGAAGAAAATTATTGGACCCTTTCCTCATCCCATGTATACGGACAAATAGAAGATAGAGGCAACAGAGATACCTCAGGGACCAGGCGCTGATTGCAGATGTGTGGCAGAAGTACTGTGTGAAATCCACGGCGCATCCAGGGGGCTTTTCTTTGATCACACCCTGAGAATTTTCATAAACTAAACACTGTTTGGGAGTTTTAAGAGGAGGAAAAGAACTTTGCTTCTGCAAATTATGGCAGTCATGTCAATGTTACCGAATATTCCGGGACAGATTTCCAGAAGAAAAGAGTGCATCTTGTGAACCGTCAGCTTGCAGTGGCCTTGGCTAGAAGTCAGCATAGGGTCTGACTTCATTTTCTTTCTGGGTAATGTTTTTGAGGGGGAACACCGGGGACATTATACATCTGAATTTTTGGAGTACGTTTGATTAAAGAGGTAGCATAGTGTAATTGTGAAAAAAAGTTTATTTGGAATTAGAAGAGTTGAGTTCAAATCTCTAAACCCTCACTTACCTGTTATTCTCTTTAGAGAAGTCACTTCACTTTCAAGACCAGATTTTCCATTTGTAAAATGAAAGTTTGGGATCTAAGTGACTTCAAAAGTCCCTTCAAGCTATAACACTCTGCTCTTGTAAATTCCTCATGACAGTCCTGTGGTAAAGATGGGAAAAGTGTAGCCTGAATGTCATTTTAATGAGATAGGAGTCACCATTGTCAATGACTATATACAGAGAACACATTTGTCTGTCAGTCCTTTAGTTAAGCCTAGAAAGGGGTCTCTGGCAGACTGCTGTGAGGCTGTGTCTTCCTTCCCATCTAGCCATTTTCTAAATGCTGTAGAATAAGGGTTAGCAAAGTTTTTCATGAAGGATCAACAGTAAATATTGCAAGTTTTGCAGGCTCTATGGTCTCTGTTTACAACCAGCCAACTCAGCCAATAGACATTACATAAATGAACAGTTGTGCTTGTGTTCCAGTAAAACTTAATTTATAAAAAACAGGCAGCTGATGGGCAGGCTGAGGTGCCCTGACACCTACTCTTGCACAGTGAGAACATTCGTGGCCCACAGATCAAATTGTCATTTATTTGGTTAAGTTTTATTCAGCACTAAGTCGTAGGGTTGCAAATATGCATGTGTCAGTTCTTGATCTCCAGGAACTTCCCAGTGAGGAGATAGCAGGTGAATGAGATGGGATGCTCCTTAAGATAGTGAGGTCCCTGGGGTGTGGATCCGGTCCTGTGAGTACGCAGAGCTGTGAGTGTATGATTCTGCCTGGAGGTTAGGCCGGGCAACTAGAGCCAAAAGGAGTCCAGATGGCTTGTCCTAGGCAGGAGTTGTGGTGCACTGAATCTAACAAGATGAAAGTCAGTACTGACGGAAATGGGACAGTGAGTATAGACTACAAGATAAAAGCAAAGAAGCAAATAAAAAACAGCTGTTCAAGTGGGAAGCAAAAGCTGTCACTTAACCAGCAACTTCATGTGAGTTTCTGCAGCTGCAGGAAACTAGAACAGGATAAATGGGTCCCAACTCATCAGGGCCTTGAGCTTCTCCATCCTGTGGGCCGATCGTGTCTGAAAGGTTGTCTTCATTTCTTGGCCAGTGCAAGGAAGGGCTAGAGGGAAGTAATTTCCTGACACTAGGCTGACTGTGATGGAAAAGGAAAGAGTAAGT